>NC_000023.11:15470821-15773851 GCF_000001405.40 Homo sapiens
TGAACTCCTGACCTCAAGTGATCCACCTGCCTTAGCCTCCAAAAGTGCTGGGATTACAGGCGTGAGCCACCGCGCCCAGCGCACCCCGGCCCCCCACCCCCCCAACACTCAATTTTTCTACTTAAAAACTCTTGGAATGTAGCCTTTAAGACATGAATGGTTTTTGTTTGTAATTGCAATGTGGTGTGGGTAGGATGTATAGGGAAATTTGTTGGGAATTTATTTGGACTACTTTCAAAGAATATTTCAGTTAAATTTCTACTCTCCCTCATGTGACCTACGCTTGTTAACACAGACGAGGCTTTAATTCTTTGCTGTGGGAAGTGGCCTGTGCACTGTAGGAGGTTTGGCAGCATCCCTGGCCTCTACCCACTAGATGGCAGTAGCACTCCCCAGTTGTGACACTCAGAAATGACTACAGAAATTGCAAATGAGTCACTTCTTGGGCTTTTGGCTAAGATCAAATGTAGAAATTGCCATATGACCCAGATGGACAAATCACCTCCAGTTGAGAACCACTGACATAGACAGCACTCCACAAAAAGCAGAACTTTTAGGCTAAAGATGGTTTTATTTTAACGTGATTGTGTTAAGTTGACAGTTTCAGGATGTGAAATATTGTTCATTCATCTATAGCTAGAGATCAAGCTTGGGCTTCGAAGCTTGGGCCTTCCCCAATAATGGCCCAACCTAAAATTTTAGACCCTATAATACTCCTCCACCTCCCATCCTTCCACATCCCATTTGTAAGCCCGATTAGATGACTCACTGTTTCTACTATATCCCCATACCGCGACTTTCACCTTTACCTCCACTATCCAGAGAGTCAAATCTTACTTATTGGTTAAGGCCTTACTAAATGGGCAAATTTTCCCTGAAGCCCTCCCAGATCCTTCTGTTAGAAGGGATAGCTTCTGCCTCAAAACATGAAACTTCTTCAACTATACCCATCTTGTTCCTCCTTAATTATTTTCTAACTTTCATGCAATTTGAAAGTCCTCTGCCTCCACTTCTAAACTCATGAGTGCACTCACTATTTTAATATCCTTTCAGCTAGGCAATGTGTTGTGGAGGAGAAAGTTATGCTTTTGATTTAAGGCACTCCTAAATCTCATGCGCCCCTCTAATGGTGCACAGATGTTTTCTAGAGAAAGTCCTCATCCCCATTACACAATGGCATATATTATTAGCTTATCTGGTTGACAGGAATAGAACACAGGTAAGGTTCACTTTATCTGGAGAGGGCAAACCCAAGTAGGAGGCCTCAGCAAGAGTTCCTGGAGAACAAGTGATCATCAGGACCTTCACTAACCATGAGGGCACAGTTCATCTTTAAATATCTGAATGGCTGGTATGCGAAGAAGAAATTTTGAAAACATGAATTTCTTAAATAATTAACAAATACAACTGAACATTCTAAAGGTACAAAGAGAAAAAAAGGGTTCAGCGAAAACCAATAATCTTGTCCACAACTTTCCCTTGTCACCCGCTAACCTTCCCTAGAGGTCACATTACAAGTTTCTTGGGGATCCTTTCAGAGATAATCCAGGCAAGTCTATGAATAAAGGTGTAAATGGAAACAACCCAAGTGTCCACCAATGGATGACCGGATAACAAAATGTGGTCTATCCATACAATAGAATATCCATACGATACAATAGAATATTAGTCAGGCATATAAAGAAATATATATGCTACAAACTGAATGAACCTTGAAAACATTATGCTAAGTGAAAGAGACCAACCACAAAAGGCCACATACCATATGATTCCTTTTATATAAAATAGTCAGAATAGACAAATAAATAGAGACAGAAAGTGTGGTTCCTAGGAGCTGGAGGAAGGAAGAATGAGAAAAGACTGATAATGAGTTCAGGTTTACTTTCTGGGCTGATGAAAGTGTTCTGGAATCAGCAGTGATGGTTGTGTAATCCTATAAGTACATAAACCACTACTTTTTAAAAAGCTTTGTAAATACATATTTGTACCTGTTATGATGTGTTCATTTTCTCTTTAAACACCATCTTCTTTGGGTACTATAACATGTATTTTGTAATTTTATTTTATTTGCATCAGGATAGTCTGTAGAAATAATCATTCATTATAATAATCCATCTTCCCCACAATAAACTTGGCAATAAGCCATTTAAAAAAGAAAAAAGGCATAGTTTTTGCTTTTTATATAAATGCTACACTATGCCACAAGAATTGTGCACCTTGCCTCTGTCACTTTCCAAATATCATCAAGATTGTTCTATATTAGGACCTATCAAGCCATGTCATTCTCCTTAATGACTGCATGGTAAGCCATGCTATTGGACACATATATTTAAAGTACTGGTTCTCAGCCAGGGGTGATTTTGCCCTCTCTCACACCCCCAGAGGACAGTTGACAATGTCTGGAGACTTTTTTTTATTGTCACAACTGGGTGTAGGCAGATGCAATTGGCACCGAGTGGGTAGAGGCCAAGGACGTTGCTAAACATCCTGCAATGCGTGGAACAGCCCCCCCATAGCAAAGAATTATGCATCCAAAAAGTCACTAGTTGTGGAGGTTAAAAAAAACAATCTAAACAGTTTATGATTGACGAATATTTAAATTGGCTACAATATTTGTCTTTATAGATAATGCTGCATAACATTCCATCTTTCAAATATATAATTTTCTTATAGATAATTTCTAGATATATAATTATTCCTCTACTATTTTGAATACTTTTTTATTTTTATTTATTTATTTATTTATCTATTTTTGAGACAGAGTCTTGCTCGTTGCCCAGGGTGGAGTGCAATGGCGCAATCTTGGCTCACTGCAACCTCCGCCTCCCAGGTTCAAACGATTCTCCTGCCTCAGCTTCCCAAGTAACTGGGATTACAGGCGCCTGCCACCACACCCAGCTAATTTTTGTATTTTTAGTGGAGACAAGGTTTCACCATGTTGGCCAGGCTGGTCTCGAACTCCTGACCTCATGATCCGCCCGCCTCGGCCTCCCAGAGTGCTGGGATTACAGGCGTGAGCCACCGCGCCCAGCCTCTGTTTTTTATTTTTTAAAAACTGTACCAGAATAAACATTTGTTAATAAGCCTTTCTTCTTACTTTGGATTTTTCCCATAAATAGAGTCATAGAAGTAGGGTTACTGGGTTAAAGGAGAATAACTTTTTTCTAGGGAATTATATCGGGTTCTTACTGCCATTATGAATACGATGCTTTCCCCTGTTAAAAGAAAACTTCGGACAAATTAAATTTAACAGAGTTTAACGGACCAAGAAAAAAAAATGATTAGCAGATCTGGCAGTCTCCAGAATCACAGCAGATTCAGAGAGACTCCAGGGATGCCACGTTGTCAGAACAAATTTATAGACAACAAAAGGAAAGTGACATACAGAAATCAGAAGTGAGGTACAGAAACAGCTGGACTGGTTCAAACAAGTGTTTGCCTTGTTTGAACACTCAGCAGTGTATGAGTGGTTGAAGTATGGCTGCTGGGATTAGCCAAGACCCAGCTATTGTTACAGGCACATACTTCTAAGTTAGGTTTTCAATATTGTCTATCTATTAATTTAGGTTATGGTGCGTCCACAAGGACTCAAATATAGAAATACAGAGTCCTTCTCAAGCCATATTTAGTTTGCTTTAACACCACCATTACATCTGATTATTGCTTTTAAGCAGGAGAATTATTGATTTTTCATAGTTATTTTATATCCAGCCATTTACTAATAGGTTTTGGTTGACATTCTTAGTACAGTGGTGCCAAGGGGTGTCTTGAGAGTAGAGGTGGCTTTAGCTTCCTTCTTATATCTGTTACCTTCACTCTCAAATCATGCCAAATGAATATATATGCTAAGATTTGTGTGCTTCACTGTAATCACAACTTCAGGACAAATCCTGAGCCTTCCTCCCTCCTCCAGTCATATCAACAACCAAAGCCACATTAAGCCACTGTGAGTTTCATTCTTATTTTATTACCTACAAATAATTTTTCTCCTCCTTTCCAACACTGTAACTCTTACTTATTAATAGCTTCAAAGTTTCCAGAACCATATTAAACTGTGATGGTACTGGTAGACAGTCTTGTCTTCTTTCTCATATTAATAGGAATATAGCTAATATCTCAGTGTTAAATATAACAAAAGATGCTCCCTGAACAATAGAGAGTCTTTATGATATTGAAAAAGTATCCTTTCCCGGTTTTCCAAAATGGATGTTGAATTTAATCAAGTTTTTTTTTTCAGCCTTGATGGTAGGGTTTGCTTTTGAAAGTGGTGCACAGCAAGCTAGAAAAAAAAAACAGGCTATGTGGGAGGTGGGAGGTTTGAATCGGGTCATAAGTTTTAGGTGTGAATCACCAGGACCTTTCCCTTCCTCTCCTGGGTATTGTTCAGGCATTGCACGCAAACACTGTCGGCTACCAACAAGTAATTATGAGCGTGGCTTTTCTGATGGACACACCCTTGGAAACAGGGTGGTTTTGTTCTCGTGAACAAAATCAAAGAACTTGCTGAGGCTTGTAGTGAAAAAATTTTAAAAACACTTCTCAGCCTAACTGAGAACACAGTAGACAAGGCCATCCTAAAATGTCCCTGAAAAGCAGGCAGGATGGTTTTCTCCTAATAGTTCCTAAGTTTAATTAAACAGGAGTGACCAGTCATCTCAGTTTGCTAAGGACTGAGAGGTTCCTGGGGACAGGAGCCTTTCAGTGCTAAAACCTGAAAAGTCCAGAGGCTATCATTTAAGGATGATTTCAAAAGGCACAACACATGTTTCTTCCTAAGGTAGGTGAGAGGTTCATCAACGGAGTCCGATCTATAAGTACCTCCTTTTTCGAGCTAAACTTTAGCGGGACTTTCCCATGTCTCTGATTGTTCTTTGTTTCTGATAACTGAAGTTGCCCTAAACAAATCACAATATCAGGCCTGACCAGAAACAGGGTAAATGCAGAAGTATTTCACCTTTTACCACTCAGGCCTTTTGAAAAACAATCCTCCCCAGAAAACAAACTCCTGGTAGGAAAAACTGAATGCATTTCTCCTTTTGTGTTGTGACCACCAGCTGTGCCTCTTCCCTAGAGTACGCCTTCTCAATTTTCAGGCAAATTTTTAATAGAAAATATATAGCTATTCAAACCTAAGAGTTAAGTTTAAAAATGGCTTAGCCATTAACCCAGTAAAATTGGGTTCTCTCTCTTACTTATCTCATAGAATCGTATTTCTGATTTGGAAGATCTAGACCAGCATTTCTCAAATTTTAATGTGTATATCAATCATTTGATGATGTAGAAATGTAGATTCTGATCCAGAGCTCTGAAGTGGAGACTGAGGCTACAAATGATAACACTGCTGGTTCATGGGTCACACCTGAGATAATGAGAATTTTATAGAATAATATTTTCCACATTTCTTTGATCATGTATCACTACCAGTTAAAATAAATGTGAGTGTGCACTCAAAATATGTATATTAGTTACATTTTATACTCATGTGTTAGTAAAATTTCATTTTTATTAAAAAATAAATAAATGGGAGCTCCAGCACATCACTATTTTGAGGACCTTGATCCTGATAACACATCAAGTATGTGACCATTCAGTACATGCTTATGTTGTTCCAGTGCATGCTTATATTAGTTATTCTATCTTTGCATAACTAATTGTTACAAAGTTCTTCCTTCTATTTTGTATCTATGCTTTGTATTCAAAAGTTTACCTCTGAAGGCATACAAAACAAGCCCAATCCCTCTTAACACTATTGCAATTCCTATCACTGAAAATGATCTGACTTCCTTAATATATGAAGACCTTCTATAAAATAATAAAAAGAATACCAGCAACCCAGCAGGAAAAAAAAAATCCAAGAATATTAAATATGTATGGTGAATGAATGTTTTAAAATGAAAACAAAATCAATCTCGCTCAAATAAGAGAAATATAAATTAAAACTATCATAAAGCATTATTTTTCACTTGTAAAAATGGCAAAGGTCAGAAAAGTCGAATAAATACATTTATGTTGCTGATGTTGAGGGAAAACAGGAACCTTCAGAACACATCACTGTGGTGATATCAGTTGGTACAACCATCATGGCAGATGCTTAATGAGGCCATTAAAATTAGTTTTTTAAATAATATTTTTTAAATGCTTATAGTATAATACTAAGCTAACAAAAAGATGCAAAACATAGTGTGGTACCAGAAAAAAAGTACTGAATGAAAATATATCAAAATAAAAACAATAGCTATTTCTGGATGGTGAGCTAACATCACAGGTGATTCTAAATTTGTTCTTTATCCTAGTCAGCATTTTCAAAATGTACAAGCCTGTATAATTTAGAAAATGCTCCAGGGAGGTGATGAGAGAGTACAAGTGGGGCTGGCTTTAAATTTCAGCCTTTTAAAGCTCACATTAAGAGATAATGGCTTACCACTTGAGTCTCTGGCTTACCTACACTCCTGAGGAAAACTGATACAGTTGATTCTCATCATTTTTATAGAAAAAATGTTCTATATAGTTGCCATGATCACTGAATTAGAGAATACTAGACCATTGCTCCTAGGATAAATACAGGATTGTGTTCCTGCAAGCCTCTGGTCACAATATTTTGCTCAGTTGATCAATACATGACTTTGTTTTATGTTTATTTCTCTTTAAAGACACCTTATTTAACAAATATTGTTGATTAATTAACATTGAACTCTAGGCCAAGAGTGTTACAACTCATACCTGAATAAAGTTTATCTAAGACAGATATTTTCTCCGTAAGGCACATTTCAGCCTTCTTACACTTAGGAACACTAGACAGCATTAGTGTATTGTGTGTGGGAGCCATTTTAAACAGTGAAATTACCCACACAAAGCACAAAAGGTGGACAAAGTGGCACTAAATACACTGTGAAAGGTCACTTTCTTGTGAAACAAGAAAAAAAGAGCATCGCTTCATTCAACCTCAGCTGGGAATGTGTGCATTGGGCAGCTCAAATTTTTTGCCACTCTACACATGCCCACAAATTACTACAAAAGCACCACAGGTACTGATTTGGGGGTTACAAATGAATTTTAGCAAGTAAATGAACTGACAAATAATTACAGTTACAGTTTTAAAGAAAATTCTTAAAAGAGCCAAACATTAATATTCTACAGCTGCACTCCTTGAGGGAGTTGCTTAAAGCTGAGTACCTTATAATTTATAAAGTATTCCCCCCCCCCCAGAAAGCATTTTCCATAATGGAAATCAAAGTAATATATTTAATCATTCATTTTATTTAATATATTCATTGTCTTCAACTTTTTATTATCCAATTAAATTCAGCCAGTAGTTACTATCTCCACACAGAGAACACAGAGAATGATCTCAGCTGAAGCAATTTATGATCCTCTTGGGTATGTGAGGGGAGGTTGAGGCAATCCCCAATTCTAATGCAAGACAGATAGAATACAATCAAGGTCATCAAAAAGGCATAATGTGCATGAGACTGGTAAAAATATAATGCGATGAGGACCAAATGAAGGAGAAAGTGCATCCTCTTGGGATTGTCTGCAAAATTTGATGGAGCTGGTGATATCCGAAAAGACCTTGAAGGATTAGTAAGGTGGTAAGTGGAGCTATGGGATGGAGCACACAAGAAGTAGCTCGAGCAGGAGCACAGAGTGGAGACATCTTCCAGGAACAGGGTCAGAATCCAGTATGAGTGTAGGGTAGGTGAAAGGAATGGCTTCCATTATTGCTGCAAAGCAAGCCACAGCGCCTTCAACGTGTTAGCAGAGAAGGGAACTGGAAGGCGAATGGCTAAATGAGGAAGGGAAAAGAGTCCAACTACCCTGATCCTACTTCCAGAAACTTCTTGGTTCATTATCCCTTTACACTGTGGTGGTGCCCTTTCCCAAACATCTTTAACCTCCTTAACTAGACTGCATATGAGGCAAGCAGGGATCATGCCTCACCCTTCTTTAGCCTCCCTCCCTCTGCCTTCTGCTCACACTTCCCAACACACAACACACCCTAACATACAAAAGATCACCCTACACCAACGCCTGCATATCGCCAGCCTTCAATAAATATTTACTCATTCACTAATTGGGTTTATAAACACACTGAGCCTTTAACAAGCCCTGGTCTCTTCCCTACTAATGCAGGTTGTTCTGGTGAGTAGATGGTTAAACATTGTAACTAGGAAGTAACGATCCCTGAGCTTCCACAGAATATATGTGTGTGGACAATGAGAATCTTTGAAAGTGCCACAATATTATGTTACACATTTTATTTCTGTATCTAACTAAAGCTGAATATTAAGTGTTCAGTAGAATCTCTAAATTTTGCAATTAAACTAGTAAATGTATATGTATGTCCTTAAAATCCTAATTTTTAGGCTATGTTATATTTGGGCCCCTTGATTCTATAATTCCTTAGAAGTTAGTATAAATACTCTTGTAGTTCTTAGATTGTTTTTTGGAGTTTATAATATTACAGGAGGTTACACACATCTGAACATTCTTGGATAGAAACAAGATAGAAACAGGTTTTTTTCTTTCTTTTTTTTTTTTTCTAAGACAAGGTCTCACTCTGTTGCCCAGAATGGAGCGTAGTGACATGATTAGAAACAGGTTTTCTATATAAAAAAGTATTTTAATCACAAATAGTTTATTCTATCCCCAATGAATTATTTTAATTACAAAAATATTTTAATAAGCCAACTTATTAACTGCACAAATAGGAATGTTTTTGGTGGCATAAATTCAAAGAATACTAAAAACAGTAAATATTTAAATTTGAGTATATCTTATGTAAAATAGCCTGCAACTTATAAATGAATTTTTAGCCTATTATTTATTGCTTTTAAAATTGAATTTTCTATTAGAAGAAAGAGGTATGTTTCAAAATACACACTTCTGCAGTCAAATTATTGTACTTACTGTTTCAAAACCTCGATGTGGATGATCAGGAAATCCTCCTGGTCTACCTCCTTTAAATTCATCAAACAGTAAAAACGGATCCAGATTTTTTAACTGAAATAAAAATAAAATTTGCAGATTAGATATGTCTTTTAAGCCATACTACCAGGGGCTACATTTATGAACAGATCTAGCAAGCCTCATTGAAAACTACATAGCCAATGGGCAACTTTTTACAATGAAAATTGCTTTCAGGAAGAACTTCTTATACACACTGATATGGTTTGGCTCCGTGTCCCCACCCAAATCTCATCTTGTAGCTCCCATAATTCCCGTGTGTTGTGGGAGCAACTCAGTGGGAGATGACTGAATCATGGGGACAGGTCTTTCCTGTGCTGTTCTTGTGACAGTGAATGGGTCTCACGAGATCTGATGGTTTTAAAAATGGGAGTTTCTCGGCACAAACTCTTTTTTTTTGCCTGCTGCCATCCATATAAGATGTGACTTGCTCCTCCTTGCCTTCCACCATGAATGTGAGGCCTCCCCAGCCACATGGAGCTGTTTGAGTCCAGTTAAACCTCTTTCTTTTGTAAATTGCCCAGTTTCAGGTATGTCCTTATCAGCAGCATGAAAATGGACTAATACACACACACACACAAGGATTTACGGATTGTGTTAGAGAGTTGTCATTTTATGAGAAGCGCAAAGAGTGGACAAACATTTCATAATCATCTAAGATATAAATAGTCAAGTATAAACAAGATGTATTCTGTATCCTAAACAGATTCATAATCTTACAGGGGAACAGACTAGAAAATCAATTATTGCAACAAGATGATAAATGCTTTGGAGGAAGACAATTTTACACATATGAGAGTGGGAAGGGATCAAAGAAGGTCAGAAAACTCAGGAATATGGCACTTAATCTCTGTCTTGAAGTACATGGTTGAGTTAATCAAGTAGATGGGAGAAAAAGAGAAGGAAAGATATTCCAGGTAGAAAAGCAGAAAAACAGCTTGGCATGCTTGAAGAACTAAGGGATACTAATCTGTTGGGGCAAAAGATGCATATGGAATTATGAGATACATGGGCAGACGATGGAGGACAAGTCCTAAATGAGTTTGGATTTTATCCTGAAGGTGATGGGAGTTTTCATCAGAGTTTGATATGATCAGATTTAGAAGGATCACTCTGTGGTAAAGGAAGACAGGAAACAAAGAATATCTAGAAGGTTATCTCAAATAGTCTGAGCAAAGGCAAAGGCCAGAACTAAGGCAATGGCAGTAGTGATGGAGAGTGGTTGAGTGACTGGGTAGATATTTATGAGACAAAAAGGAAGAGCATTAACTGACTCCCAAATTTTTAACTATGGTATCTGGGAAGATGGTAGGGCCATTCAGCACTTAAAGAACATAATAGAAGAAGCTGCCTTGAAATAGCTATGATGACTTCATTTTAGGTCATACTGAATTTGATATATCCATATAAATGTTATCTGTATAAATAGAACTATTAAGTGCACATTATATTATGCAAAGGCTAGCAGACAACTAAAGATCAATCTCAAGCTCAAATGAGAGGTAGAAACATATCTGGTTGTCATCAACATATGTTTGTGATTGTCTTGCTTATTCTTGACCATGTTATTTTATATAAATTTTAGGAAATTTATCAAATTCTATGAAGAAAAATTTTGAACATTTGATTGGAATTAGTTTTAATCTATGGATCAAATTGTGAAGAACTGACATTTATATAATATTTAGTTTTCCTCAATGTTTCCTCAATAGAACCATGGTTATCCCCATTTATTTAGGTCTTTAAACATATTTCAATAAGGATTTGCAATTCTCTCCATAAAGGTCTTACATATTTTTAAAAATTATTTTTCTAGCTAACTTGTATTTTTAATGGAATTCTACTGCAAACAGCATTTACACATTATATTTTGAACAGTTTGCTGCTGGAAATTAGACATGCGCTAGGCAATTTTTGAACCCTGCTAAGCTCTTATTAATTTTAATGATTCATCTGTAGCTTCTTTTGGGTTTTCTTTGTAGATGTTCATATCACCAGTGTATTTATCAATAAACTTTTGCTTAATAGTTCACACACAAAAAAATTGTCTTGCATTGGATTAAAGCCGTGGCAGACTGCAATTTCTCTGGGTTTTTATGGGCCTGGCTGGCCTTGACATGTCTTCTCACTCTGGGATTCAAGCTGAAACAGCGGCCACTATGGAGGGCATTATGTTCTCATAGCCAAGGTCAGGAGCAAAAAGCAAGGCAAGTCAACCATTCACAATCACATTAACACATCCCATTGGTCAAAGCATGTGACATGGCCAAGCCCAAAGTCAGGGAGGAGGGCACTTAATCGCTCCCTATGTGTCTCATGGGTAATGTACCTAAAAATGGATGCGGGTGTAAAATCCTATTATAGAGAAGGAATGAATATTTGGTAGTAACATTTCGACCAACAACCATTAGCAAATAAGAAGGGATTTTTTTTTCATTTTCAATCGTTATATTTTCCATTTCTTTTTCTTGTATTTTTACAAGCGAGCATCTCTACAACAGTCTTGAGTAGAAATGGTGGTGGTAGACATCCTTGTCTTCTCCCTGATTTTACATAGATTGCTTTATAAAGTTTTATTGGTAATCTGGTTGTTTAATGCAGGTGTTTTATAGATTCCCTTCATAAGGTTAAAGAGTTTCCCTTCTACTTCTAGTTTACAAAGTTGTTGTTTTTTAAACATGAATGGATGTTGAATTGTCGAATGTCTTCTCCACACCATTGAGACACTTATATGATTTTTTCTCCTTTAACCTCTTAATGTTAATAAAATACACAAATAGATTTTCTAACATTAAACCAAATTTGCTCTCCTCAGATAATCCAAATTTGGTCATGATATATTATCTTTTAATACATTGTTGAATTTGGTTGGTTAATTTTCTATGATTCTTGCAAACATTCTCATAAATGTGATGTAATTATTCTTTCACTGGCTGTCCTCGTCTGGTCCTGATAGCAAGGTAATGTCAGCTTCATGAAGTGATTTGAGGAGCACTTCCTTGGATTTTATCCCCTGGAGAGTTTGTGCATTATTAGAATTACTTACACCTTAAATATTTTGTAAAATTTGTCTATAAAATCTTCTGGTCCTGCTGTCTTTGTTATAAACTTTTAAAGTATTCATTCGATTACCATTATGGCTATGAAACTATTCAGATTTTCCATTTTTTCTTTCTTTCTTATTGTTTTATACTCTAAGAGTTTCAGCAACCTCTTGGCAGCTCAGCTAATTAATTTTAAGTTATTTATCTCAGGATGTCTACTCTGTCATATTACTAGAAATTAAAGTATGAAACTTTCTCATTCTCCGGTTTTATCTTTATTTTAACTTTCTATGAAAAAAACATGCACACATATATACATAACATATACATTATACATATATATATAAATTCAACAAGCTACTGCAAGTTTTTTAACCTAACCAATTCTCAATTTCTTCATTTGAAAATGTGGACTGCAACCCATATAAAGCTGGGGCACTTTGTAGCCTATCTCAACCTGGTGTTTCATCCAGTCCAATATTTAAAAGTAATTGAAAATAAATTCAAATTATTTATTGAATCCTCTCAAAAACACCAAAAGAGGCTTCAATTTAAAGATATGCTTAAAATCCCTCTTACCCCTCTCCATGTATATATCTGTCTCCCATGATTCCATTTTCTCTCACTCTAACTCTTCAAATCACTTCAAACCATCAGAAGACACCTCTTTCCTTTTCTCCTCTCCTCTCACCTTCTGTATTTACTCTTTTCTCTTCCACTAGTAAGTCTCTGCCCTTTCCAGTGAAAATCAACCAAGCAAATTTGTTTCCTTTCAGTCTTGTCATTCATTTTTCCACATCAGCTTATTAAAAGTCCAGGAACAGAACTGGGATTGGTAGAAGGAGAGGTTGAGAATTCTCATACCTTATTATACATTGCTTTCTCCTCACATGATAATATATACCTTGGAAGATTATAAGGATTGAAAACAATGAATGTAGCACACCTGGTCCAGTGCCCAAAGCACTGTAGGTTCTACATAGATGGGTGGTATCTATTATACTGCACCAGTCCTATAAATATCACAGCCATCACTTCCCTAGGTACAAAACAAAGTGTTTGAAGCTCTAAGATAACTTTTAAATTCTGTGTTGTTGTGGTTCTATTAAAATATGGGTAAAGACAAGATAAAGAAATACTTATTGTTTCTTTGTATCGAAGAGTTTTATATGAGCAAATATGCCCTGCTGTCAAACTGTGAAAACCAAGAGGTTCTCTCTTTTTAGTCCTACCCTTATCACCATCCACCACCCTCAGAACAGTAGTTATTCATTGTTATCAAGAACTTGGAGCACTGATGTAATGAATACCTAAAACTGGAAGTAGCCTTGGAACTGCTTAAACTTAAAGAGTAGAGGCTGGAAGTCTTGAAGTCATGCTAGCAAAAGCCTACATTGCTGTGAATGAACTATTAAAAGCAACTCTGGTGAGGGCCCAGAAAGAAAAGAGGAGAGCGGTAGATACAGTCTCAATTTTCTTTTTTTTTTTTTTTTTTTTTTTTTTGAGACAGGGTCTCATTCTGTTGCCTGTGTTGGAGTGCGATGGCATGATCTCGACTCACTGCAACCTCTGCTTCCTGGCCTCAAGCAATGCGCCCGCCTCAGTGCCCCAAGTAGCTGGGACTACAGGTGCCAGCCACCATGCCCAGCTAATTTTTGTATTTTTTGTAAAGACGAGGTTTCACCATGTTGCTCAGGCTAGTCTCAAACTCCTGAGCTCAAGTGATCCACCCACCTCAGCCTCCCAAAGTGGTAGGATTACAGGCATGAGCCACTGCGCCCGGCCTCAATCTTCTTAAAGAATACCTAAGTAATCCTGAACAGATTGTTGTAGAAATATGGACAGTAAAGGCCATTCTGATGAAGTCTTAGACAGAAACATGTTATTGAAAACTGAAGGAAAGATTACCCTTGTTATAAAGTGGCAAATAACTTGGCTGAACTGTGTTCATATCCTAGTGTTTTGTGGAAGGTAGAACCTGTAAGCAATGAAATTGGATGTTTAGCTGATGCTATTTGTACACAAAGCGTTGAGAGACCGGGTTCCTCTTGATGGCATATAGTAAAATGCAAGAAGAGAGAAATAATTTAAAGGCAGAATTGTTAATCAAAAGAGAAGCAGAACTTAAAGATTTG
This sequence comes from Homo sapiens, assembly GCF_000001405.40. Classification (NCBI taxonomy): domain Eukaryota; kingdom Metazoa; phylum Chordata; class Mammalia; order Primates; family Hominidae; genus Homo; species Homo sapiens. Next base: position 15,484,965 of record NC_000023.11, read on the forward strand.
GGAAATTTTCAGCCTACCCATATTATAAAAAATGAGAAACATGTTCAGGAGAAAACACCAAGGGTGTGGCCAAATGACCATTTCACCATTTAATAAGGAGCCTTGTCAGCCATCAAAACAGAAACCAGGACCTATTGTTCAAGACAATGGAAGAATGATCCCAATTTCAGTGCCAATTTTCTGTCTTAGTCTGTTTGAGTTGCTATAACATAATACTATAAACTGGCTGGATTATAAACAACTGAAATCTATTTCCCACAGTTCTGGAGACTAAGAAGTCCAAGATTAAGGCACCAACAAATTTGGTGTCTGGTGAGGGTCCAACTTTCTGGTTCAGACACAGTGCCTTCTGGCTGTGTCCCACATGGTGGAAGGAGCCAGCTAGCTCTCCAGGGTCTCATTTGTAAGGGCATTAATCCCATTCCTGAGGGTTCTGCCCTCATGACCTAATACCTCCCAGAGGCCTCCCCTCCTAATACCATCATATTGAGTGTTAGGTTTCATGATAGGAATTAGGAGTAGGGAAGACACATAGATTCAGACCAAATCAGTACTATTTGTCATATTTATTGCCCATTTGATCCTTCTGGTCACCAATCCATGAAATATGAACACACATAGGAAGAAAGCCAGCACAAGAAAGAGACTGAAGAAGCTAGGGGGCTGATTGAGGTAAGAGTCAGAAGGATGAATTGATTATCTTGCCAGAAAATTGGTGATATGTGTAAGACACACTTTCCCTCCAAAAAGTAAGAATATCTTGCATTAGACTGTTGTACTAAAGTGTTATTTGCAGTACTGGGTATTAGTCCTCGTCAAACTTCCTAACATTCTCTAAACATTTAGCAGGAATTCAATAGCATGTAAAATAAACATGTGTTATCGGTAGACAAGATCTAATTTACAAAACTCTGATTTTTCTAAAATGTTTTCACTAAGTCCCCAACTCATTCACATCTTTCTCTCTCTACATATCAAATTGACAATCTTTTAACGTTTTTGAGCCACATGAGAATTTCTTTTCATTCAAATAGTTCTAAATCCTTTAGCTGCTGAATTCAAGTGGCAGCTTCCAATCTACTTCTTTTAGTCTCTTAAGGCCAATCAGGCCAGGCGTGGTGGCTCATGCCTATAATCCCAGCACTTTGGGAGGCCGAGGCAGATGGATCCCTTGAGGCTGTGAGTTAGAGACCAGCCTGGCCAACATAGTGAAACCCTGTCTCTACTAAAAATACAAAAATTAGCTAGGCGTGGTGGCTGAGGCAAGAGAATTGCTTGAACCCAGGAGGCAGAGGTTGCAGTGAGCCGAGGGAGACAGAGTGAGACTCTGTCTCAAAAAAAAAAAAAGAAGGTCAATCAAAACTTGTGGCCACCACCCCTCAGGCATGTGGTACTCCCATAATAAAGCCTGGAATTTTATTTACAACAGGAAGCACTGGAAGTAGCTAGCAAGAATAATAGTTCCTTGAGGATGGGGCCGATGCTATGCTTTTTTATGATGCTCCACTGAACTTACAATAATTCTGTGTACATAAAAGGTACTCCATAATATACTGAGTGGTACTTGTTTTAGGTCCATGGCATCTCTTGTAGCTAGTTGTGTTCATATGATTGAATCTAGCTACAACGTAGAAGTTGCAGGGTGGAACTTTTAGGAAAATTCCTTATAAGAGGAGGATGGACACAAGATGAGTATCATTTTGCCCTTCCCCTCTTCCTCCTTTCTTTGCCAGAGGGTAAATGGTTGCCATTTCCCTAACAGCTGTCTTGGACTATAAGGCGATGCACTAAGAATGTACTAAGAATTATGACCTAGGATAGAATGAACACAGGTCCCTGATAAGAGTGGAAGGCCACCCTGGAGTGCCTATTTTGGCACTTTACAAAAGAGAAACAAACACTTATGTATATCATTGGTTTTGGATGATGCTTTCTGTTACACACAGTTGAACCTAATCCTAACTGATAAAAGGGCAATAATGTCTATGGTAGTAGCCAAGAATCAGGTGATTCTAGGTCAGCCTACATCAAGACAATACGGGAGCAGCTGAAGGAACAGGCTCCTCAAGATTGACTCCAACACCTCAGGCTACCTTCTGGGTTTACTCGGCCTCTAGACTGGAACCTGGGGATAACAATGAGAAGGCAGAAGGAAACTGCAGCACATATCCTAGACTGAGATCTAGATACAGCCTTGAATGGACTTGAGCTGTGACTATATGGCCCACTTCCTTGATTCAATATCTAGAGACCTTGATAATGAAAAGCATCATCTACAGAGGCTAAATCAGTGAAGAACAAGATTAGTCAAGGCTATTTGATGATATTAAGGGATTTTTAAAATTTTTGTAAGTATGATAATGAGATTGTAGTTTTTTTTTTCAAGTTATCTTTTAGAGATACAAATTGAAATATTTATAAGTGAAATAAAATAATGGCTGGAATTCTCTTCAAAATACTTTGAGGGGAGAAATGGATGATAATATGGATGAAATAAGACTGCCATGAGTTGATCATTGTGGATGCAAGGAACATGGAGATTCGTCATACTATTTCTCTACTTTTCTATGATGATTGAAATTCTTCATTAACAAAATAAAAATAAGAGTGACCCATGGAGAATCACATTACACCGAGGAGTGTCTGGTAGCAGGAGTGGGCATAGAAGCAAGTGCAGATTAGTAGTGGATTTCCCTCCTGCTGGGAGCACAGAGGAACCACTCCCTAGCACCTATGCTACTCAGCCATTCAAATTCCAGTCTGGCTAGGCTGGCCCATGTATAACTGTGATGAAGGGTGTGGGCCAGCCCCACTCCATCTCTTCCTTGTTATTAAATCACAGAAAGGCTCAGTGAGAGCATTGTATATTCCTCTTCTATCTCCACATTTGCAGTCAAAGGAGTCAAAACACTTGCGGCTGTGAATATTGAGTGCTGTTGTAGACACTATGCTAAAATAGCTCTGGGTCCAAAGTTTATGAGATATTTCTTTAGAGACAGAAGCTTTGGTGCAGAGTTTGAAAAATAACCTCTTGGTCGGGTGCAGTGGCTCAGCCTGTAATCCCAGCACTTTGGGAGGCCGAGGTGGGCGGATCACCTGAGGTTGGGAGTTTGAGACCAGCCTGACCAACATGGAGAAACCCCGTCTCTACTAAAAATACAAAATTAGCCAGGCGTGGTGGCGCATGCCTGTAATCCCAGGGACTTGGGAGGCTGAGGCAGGAGAATCACTTGAACCAGGGAGGTGGAGGTTGCGGTGAGCTGAGATCATGCCATTGCACTCCAGCCTGGGCAACAAGAGCGAAACTCCGTCTCAAAAAAAAAAAAAAAAAAAAAAGAAAAGAAAGAAAAAGAAAAAGAAAGAAAAGTAATCTCTTGATGTTAGACAGATGCTTTCATTCTCTGCTGATGGGAGGGTTAGGGAGTCTACCTTTCTGGCAAGTTGGTAGTATGTAGAGTGCAAAAATAATATGGCAACAATCTAAATGGTCAAAAATTCACGAGTAAGAGAATAATGCAATGCTTATACATGGGATATGGCATAACTATTAAAATGATGTTTATGAAGAATTTATAATAACATGGGAAGTCCTTATGCTACCATTGTTAAATGAAAAAAATTGGAACATAAAATTGTTTGTTCTATATAATCCCATGATGTAAAATATACAATTATATGGAAACAAACAAAAAGACCCTTTGTCTCAACAGTAATTAAACCAGGCTGATGGGATTAGGAATGATTCCTATCCATTTATTTTTCCTTAGGGTAGAGTCATACCTGGGGTACAGGAGATCTGAATCAGTAAAATATGGGGATCTGTAAAGCATAAGTTATCAGCCATGGACTTTTACCTGGCACCACTGATAGAACTCAGAGGGGTTGTAAACTTGGACTGCTAAAAAGTTATATCTCTATTGTCACTAACCTCTACTAATTTTTTTGTTTTTTTTTTATTGTGGTAAAATATACATAACATAAAATTTAGCATTTTAACCATTTCAAGAGTACAGTTTTGTGGCATTAAATATATTTACATTGTACAACCATTACCGTCATCTCTAGACTGAAATTTAACTTCTTCAATTATGAATGTAGTCAATGCACCACAGTAAATTACCAGTACCTGTGACTTTGTCACCAATTGAAATCAAAGTTATTTTCATATCACATTACAGTTGTTAGTAGATATATCGAAATATTGTTCGTGTTCTTCACAGCTTTGAAATTCAGCAGTTACTAGAACTGCCACCAAATCGTGTTATTTAATGTAAAATTACCAGATTATGAAATAGTTTTTAAAATTGTTCTTAACCATGTTTCAGTATAAAAGTTTTCCTTGGTAATCCTATATATTTTATTTTAGTAATCCTATGTATTTTATTTTATGTATTTTAAAACATTGCTTTCAGAAGAAATTGATAGGTTTCATCAAACTGCCAAAGGGATTCACAGGACAAAAACAATAAAGAAATTCTCAGCAGATGTGTTCCTGACAGATGGGCTAATTAAAGTGTTAGTTACCCTCAATATATAATAGTGGCTTAGTAACAGGTGTGTTTGGGGCCCCAAAATTCTTTCCAATTGTTCTATTGGTGATGTAGCCTAGTAGAATATGATACCAACTCCATCTGCATCTCCCCAACACTCCCTGTGCATTTAGCCATTAGAATAATCTTGTTTGCAGGTATCCTTCAGAAAACACTGTTTGATGGACCTCAAAAGACATTCAGGTGTAAACAGGAAGCTAACTGGAAAGAGAAATGGCCTGATGGGGCTGATGGAGAGTTGTGTTGACAGTTTTTCCTCTGCCTCAGTGGCCAATCAACATTACGCTAGGTGAAATAAGCCAGGCACAGAAAGACAATTACTGCATGATCTCACTCATATGCGAAATCTAAAAAAATCAAACTCACAGAAGCAAAGAGTAGAATGGTGGTTACCCCGGCTAGGGGATGGGAGGATATGGAAGGAGAGATGTTGGTCAAAGGATGCAAAATTTCAGTCAGGAGGAATGAGTTCAAGAGATTCATTGCACAAAATGGTGACTATAGTTAATAACAATGTATACTCGAAATTGGCTAAGAGAGACTTTAAGTGTTCTCATCACAAAAAAATAAGTATGTGAGGTAATGAATATGTTAATTAGCTTGATTTAGCCATCCCACAATATAGACACCTATCAAAACATCATTTTGTACATCATAAATATATACAATTTTTATTTGTCAATTTAAAACATAACTAAAAAAATTGAACCCATCAAAAATGTAGATCAGCACTCATTGAGGAAGGCCAGGAGTTTTTTAAAACCCTATAAATACATTTCAAAGATTAAAAAGTTGAGAAAGTAACCCTTTTAAAGCTTAAGTTGAGCAACAAAGTAGCATGAAAATTATCAGAGTAGAGTTTAAGAGGGACAAACCAGTCTCACTTTTCAAAATGGAATCCATCTCTGTAATGTATTTCTTCTATTAGAAAATGTTTTGGGGATCTGATATGGTGCTAGGGGCTGTATTCCCTGGGCTATGACCACCATCTGATACCTTTCTGTGCATATAAGACTTATTTCCCCCACAAATCCCAAATTTCCCATATTCAAATGAAAACATTCTCTAAAGTTGAAAGACATCTACCTAATCTATAATCACCTTCTCTGAGAGCTAGACCCATCTACACGTGTCCCTCACCAGACGTCTACAGAGTTGGGTCCCAGCAGTCTCTCAGTGAATCTAAATCCTTGGCAACGGCAGATTGGCCAGCAGTGGAGGCCTGATCTATGCTCAACCAATCAGATTCTCTCTCCTGGGAATTTGGAATTGAGAATCAGAGTTACTCCCTGGTGCTTTGAAGTGTGGGCAAATAAACTTAGGGGCTGTGTGGTGGGCATGTTTGGCGATATGCATGCTGAGGCAGATAGCATGTCAGCCCAGGGTGGCACACCAGTGTGCAGAGAGAAGCAGAGACATTTCCTGAAGCTCAGCTGCACTTTCTGCCCAAGACCTCTGTATTCACATTACAGAAACCCCCTTTGGGCTGGGGCTGGTTTGCCCCCAATTGCAAACTTTAAAGTTTGCACTTATGCACTCCACAGGCCAGCTCACGACTATCTTGGCCCCCTCTTCCCAAAATCACCATCAACATCCCACCAGTCCCTTCTGAAAAGAAAACAAGGAGCAGCCACCCAACTAGCATACCTCGGGTCTGCCAATGCTTCTCCGGACCCTCGCTCCAACCCCTTCCGACTGCTCCCGGCTGAGCACTGAGAGAGTAACTTTCTTGGAGGACCCCATATCGGAGTCTAAAAAGAGAGTGTTCTGATGCTGAGCTGTAGAGGATGGAGGGCTAAAGGAAGGACAACAAAAAAAAAAGAAGTCATAAAGGAGGGAACATCCAAGGACTACAAAATAAATGATATTAAGATTAGATGCGCAAAATAGTAGCAGCTACAATTTGTTGATGTCTTACTATGTGCAGGGCCTGGGTTAGGTGATTTAAAACAACCATAATGATGGTGAACATGTATGCATACCTACTAGGTGCCCAGTACCCCACCAATTATTTACAACTATCTCATGTAATCCTACAGTAATCTTGTGCGAAGGTTAGCGATACAGTCATGTGCCTGCCACATAATGACATTCAGGTCAACATTACACAGTCAACAATATATGGACTGTATGTATGACAGTAGTCCCATAAGACTATAATGCCATATTTTTACTGTATCTTTTCTATGTTTAGGTATGTTTAGATACACAAATACTCACCACGGTGTTGCAGTTGCCTCAGTATTCAGTACAGGAACATGCTGTATGGGTTTGTAGCCTAGGAACAATAGGCTATACCATATATCCTACTACACACCTAGGTTATACCAGCTAGGTTTGTCTAAGTGTACTCTAAGATGCTTGCACAACGACAAAATCACCTAACAATGCATTTCTCCGAACATATCCCCATCGTTAAGTGAAGCATGACTTTAGCAGCTCTGTTGGCCCCTTACTAAAAATCTCCAATGAACACTTTGTCTTTCTTACTTCACTGAATTCTCTCGATCTCCCACCCCTTCCCCAGTGCCACTCATCTGTCAGCCTCACTGGTAGCACCCATGAGGTAGTTGCTACCAATGAGGCTGACAGATGGGGGCAGGTTTGTGTGGCGCCTTAGAGAAAATGGAGAAAAACAAAGAGGTCCCTAACTCTTACCAGAACATGCTGAAGATCTTGGCATTAAAAGAGATCTTCGAGGGTCATTGAATTCAAAGACCCATCTATTCCTGAAGTTCAGGGCCAACATTTTGGGCAAGAAATCTTTCAGCTTACTCATGAAGTCTCCTAGAGCATAGGCAAGTCATGGACCAGCTGTTCTTGGCAATGTATCTCATATTTCAGGACTTACCTATAGCCAGAGTTTGTTATTCGAAAGTCTTTTCCTCTTTGGGAGGTCTAGGTTCTAATGGACTATCCCAGAAGGAATATAATCTATCCCTATTCCACTTCAAGTGTTTGCAGACAGTACCCCCAATCCCTTAAATCTTTTCTTCAAGTGAAATATACCCAATTCCTTCAAAGATTCCTACTGAAACGAAGAGAGGTGCTTTGGCAAAAAGCAGACTCTGGAACCAGACAGCCTAGGTTTGCATCTCAGCTTCACCACATATCAGCTGTGTGACCTGAGGTTTTCTGTGGCTCAGTTTTATCTGTAAAATGGAATGATAAGACCGCCTACCTCAAAGGGGTGCAGTTAGTGCTATGAGAATGTTAGCTGCTGTTATTCAGAAGGGCTCTACTCCACAATACCCTCCACTTAGTCAAGGCCTACCCTAAAATGTATCCTCCCTGAATAGTAATCGATAAATATTTATTGGGTGATAGGTTGCAAGGCGCAGAAACGAGCTTAATACTCAAAGCAGTACAGGCCGGTCATCACCTACATCGAAGCAACCAGAAAGTATCTTTATCCCCATCTAGATTATGTCTGGGTCCTTCCAGACTCCTACGATTAAATTGTATGCATGTGAACAACTGATGAGGTACTTAGATCTCAGTGCTTTGCAGAAAGAAAAGCCGTCTACCATTTTCACCAAATTTCGTAGTACAATTTAAGTATCTCTTGTTATCTCCCCTAGGAGTCTAAAGTGAGCTGGGGAAGGCAGGATTTTGCAAACTGACCGCCAGCATTCCCTCACCTAGTGGACCCCTGCAGGAGCCCCAGGTACTCACGCTGCGGTAGCGGCACCTGGAGCCTTAGCGGCGGGGGTGACGCGAAGAGCCGCCGGGAGCGAGTGCAGGGAGGGCAGGTTAAGAGAGTGTGGGTCCAGTAGCCTCACCGTGACTCAGCGCTTCGCGGCCGGCGGCCTAGAGGAGGCGGGAGGCGGGAGTCTACGGGTCTCGGAGGCCCTGGGGCTCCGCCCTCGGGAATGTCACTCCACTCTCGCTCCGCCCTACGCCTCTCCCAGGCCAGCTTGGCGGCCCTTTGGCCTCCCTGCCTCTCGTGCCGGGAAGAGATGCTCACTCGGGTAATTTAGGCGGCACTTGCTGTGCTCCAGGAGGAAATGTGTGGCCCGGGCAGGTGCTCTGATCGGCGCTCCGGTCGGTCTTGTGGGAAATCTGTTTTTAACTGTAGTCTCCCTGTCACCCAGCCGGCGGAGCTTGGCGGCACGGATTCCAGTGCTGCCTCCACCGCTGGGAGGCACCACTTGACATGACCTGGGACAGGTGGCTCAGTCTCTCTGTGCCTCTGGTTCCTCCTCTATAAAATGAGGATGGTGATGATAATAGTGCCAGCCTTATCGGGCTGAAATGAGAATTAAATGAGCCTGTCACATTCTAAGCACTACAGAATCGTTTGTTCCATAGATAAGTTGCCTGCTGTTTGTCAGTTAGAATTGCGAGAAAAGGAGTGCGGGAGTGGGGACGGGCAGCCATACGTCTTTATTCCTGCCTGAAGAGAAGGCACACTCTAGTGGGGAGATAATTGGTTAAGAGTTTGTATGGTGTTGGAACACAGTGGGCAGGCGTTGGAGAGTTTTTCCAGAAGAATGAGGAGCTGGCACAAGCCAGTGAGGGGATCTAGTTGATTACTAGGATTATTAACTAGTGGTACAGGCATAGCTGCAGTTTCTATTCTCTAAACACCAGAAGGCTCATTGCCTGGTTTTGAGAAAGGAAAGACAGTGGTGTCTCTAAAATAAGGTTGGAAAACTTTGTCTGTGAAGGACCAGATAGTAAATACTTTGACTTTGCAGGCCATGTACATTCTCCAGTTTGCCTTTGTAGCAAGAAAGCAGCCATAGATAACATGTAAATAAATGAATGTGGCTGTAGTTCAATAAAACTTTAATTATGAATACTGAAATATAAATTCATAAAATTCATACAATTTTGAGTTCATATAATTTTTACTTGTCATGAAATATTATCCTTCTTTTGATCTTAAATGTAAAACCACTTAAAATGTAAAAACCATTCTTAGCCCTCTGGCTATACAAAAATAGGTAGTGGGCTACCTACTCATTTTGGCTGCAGGCCTAGTATGCAGATCCCTGCTCTAAAAGAACAGGTTAGTAGAGGAACGAACACTTTTCTCTGGGCTTTTAAAATATCAGTGGGGCTTAAACCCGTCCTCATCACCTTACTTAGGCAGTTCAAGGCTAGCTGAGATAATACACATGAACATTAAAGGTGCTATGGAATAACAAAGTATTGTTTCTTATCGTCATTGTAACTAGTTCTGCAACTGTCTCCTCTACCTCTGCAGCTGTAATAGGTGTACTAGGAGTGAACGTTTCTCCTCTTTGTCTCTCAGAAGCCAGTTACAGGTAAAAGCTAAGTCCAAGGTTGTACATGGTTAGAGCAATGCAGGAATTCCATTTACAGGCCCCTGCAGAAAAAAGAAAAGAAAAGAAAAAAGAACAAGTCTGAAAAGGTAGAAGACTTAAAATGAGGAGAAACAAAGGTGAGAGAGGGAAGAATTCTTACAAATGAACAAAGGGCGTATAATGTTTCACTGTAACAGGGTCCTGTTTTGAGATGAGAAATGTGACCCTGTATATTAAGCTTTGAGCACTTTTCACACTGTCATTGACATCCAGATCAAGATGTGGAGTAGGTGGCTAAATATATGAGTGTGTAGATGGACTGTTGATCACCTTTGGAATCTTGGGAAGCATAAAGAAAACTCATGCTGATATGACAATGAACAAAGCCTTCCCTAAATGATTCCAAATAACACCATTATAATCTTTAAAGACAACCACATTATTTAGGTACCTTGACTCTTTTCTTTTTTATTCACGAATTCCATTTTCCTCCTCTGTAAAACTTATTGAATTTCTTTTCAAAGATACATATTATAGAAGTACATGGGGCCAGGCGCGGTGGCTCACGCCTGTAATCCCAGCACTTTGGGAGGCCGAGGCAGGCAGATCACCTGAGGTCGGGAGTTCGAGACCAGCCTGACCAAAATGGAGAAACCCTGTCTCTACTAAAAGTACAAAATTAGCCAGGCGTGGGGGCGCATGCCTCTAATCCCAGCTACTCGGGAGACTGAGGCAGGAGAATTGCTTGAACCCAGGAGACGGAGGTTGCCGTGAGCCGAGGTCGTGCCATTGCACTCCAGCCTGGGCAACAAGAGTGAAACTCAGTCTCAAAAATTAAAAAAAAAAAAAAAAAAGTACATGGACATCTGAAACACTTCCTTATTTTTGTTTCTTTCTTCTTCAAGCCATCAACTCAAAAATTCTTTCTTGTAGATTTTGTTAATTTGCCCTTCAGGGCAGTGTAGCTGCTATTCATTAGATGACAAATGTCTCTGAAATATTCCATATTATAAAGACTCAGACTCACTGAACCCAGGAAATCAATTGGCTCCAAGTCAAGGACTGATTATTTTATAAATGCTAGTTTACGAAGGCCATAAATACACTGGGTGGTTAAAGACATCCAAAGATATCCAGAAAAGATGAGCACATGTGACTCCCATATCCACCCTCATGAGAGCATTCTGCACAGACACGGTCTGTTCCATCGACCAGTGCTCTGACCAAGAAGCTACATGTGATCAGCTGTTGCATGAAACTCATAATTGTGTTTTTCTCTATCTTTCCCTTGGGTTTTTGGCAGTTCTCCGAAAAAAAAATAGCTTATGACCCTTTCCTTTGAGCCACAGAACTTTCTAGAATCCATCACAAGCAAAATACTCTCAGGCCTGAAAGGCCAATTCATCTCTGAACCAGGAAACTGGAGAAATTTAGATGAATGATTCCCCTGATACTTACCTCAATTACCCTGATAACCTTTCTCAGTTTTCAGCTTTTGTAAAGTTTTGTCTTCTGGCTGAATGGAGGCCGCTTTCTAGATCACAGTATTGGAGTAAAAATTAAAAAATAATTTGAATAACTAACAACCTCTAGTTAATGTTATGTACATTAACTAGTGTTTATGGATTAAGTGTACTGATGTCCGCAACTTACTTTGAATGCACCAAAAAATAACAATAGCAGCAATAATAATAGGAATGACAACAAAGTGAATTAATGGATGAATAGAGAGATGGATAAACGGATTGATATATGACAAAGCAAATACAGCAAAATGTCAATTGTAGAATCCAGATGGTGGTGTATTGGTGCTTTAACTTTTTTTAACTTTTCTATATTTTGAAATGTTTCATGATACAATCTTAGGAAAAAAATAATTTGAGTCACAGTGGGAATCAGAACTAGAAGGATTCCAAAATGTTATACCCCTTTGTCTACTTTCTTTGCTTCCAACTCTAGCACCTTGTACACAGTAAATGAAGTGACTCTCTGTTGAATGGAGCTGTTAAACTAAATTCCAAGCTGCAAGATCACTTCCAAAGCTGGCAGGATGCTTCCAGAGTATGAGTTGGTGATTTATTTCTGTGAAGGCCAGATAGTAAGTATTTGAGACTTTGTGAGCATACAGTCTCTGTCTCAACTATTCAACTCTGCCGTTGTAGACTGAAAGCAGACATAGACAACACTTGACAGTTTGCCAAGTAGAGGATACCATCAATGCAAAGGCCGTGGGGCAGGAATAGTGGCTGTGTTCCAATAAATTTTATTCACAAAAACTCATGGGGCTCATAGTTCGCCAACTCCATGTAGACCACAAATACTTACCTCCGACTAGAAAAACAGGAGTAAGATTGACAAAATGCCAACAGTCTATGTAAAGGTTTCATGGGTGACAGGACAGGACATGGCTGATAACAAAAGGAAACAACAAACATTTTTGTGTCTACCTCCACCTCCTACTCACCCATTTCCTTTCATTAAAAACAGGGCAGTTTGTTCCGGCACTGAACCTGAGGTTTGATATGCAAGCACCCTTAGGAGAGGTGACATGTTAATCTTCAATTCTAGTAAGTGTGAATAATTCACATCTGATCCCAACTTACAAGCAGATTATTTTAGCACCAGAAGGAATACATGCAGGAGGTAATGGAGTGACGTCCCCAAAGAAGAGATACCCATGAACAAAGTTCAAACTGCAGAGATAAGCTGTTGGAGCCCTTGTGGTCTTACTCTTTAGTGAGGAGAGACAAATAATAAAGGTAATAAATAATTAAATTATGTATTATGCTATAAGGTGATGAGTCCTGTAGAAGAAAGAAAACACAGAGCAGAGTAAGGGAGATTGGAGTGCTGGGTGGAGGGTGAGGCTGTGATATTAAACAGGGTGGTCTGCGTAGGGCTATTAGGAAGATGCCATTAGAAGCAGAACCTGGAAATGAGGACACGAGCCAGTCAGATATCTGGGACAGTTTGCCAAGCAGAGGATACTGCCAATGCAATGGCCCTGGAGCAGATGTTGCTCAGAATATTGGAGGAGTAGAAAAGATGCCAGTTTCAGGAGTGGTAAGATGAAGTAGAATAATCATGTGATGATGTTAGAGACAGTCCTAGGGGACCAGAACAGGGGGGACAAGCGAAGAGTTCAGACTGGAGAAGTGCTAAGATGTGACTTACATTTAAAGAATCACTCTGGCCACTCAGTGGAGAATAGACTGCAGGGGCAAGAGTGGAAGAAGGAGAACAGTCAGGAGACTAGTACAATATTCCCCCTGGGGGTGGTGGCAACTCAGACCAGTAGGTGGCAGTAGAGGTATTGAAAAGTGGCCAAACGGGGGTACATTTGCGGCTAGTGCTAACCTTATTTCATGAAGGATTGAACGTTTGGTGCAAGAGAAGGGTAAAAATTAAGGATGACTCCATATTCTTTAGCCAGAGCAACTGGAGGGGGAGAGTTCCTATTAGCTGAGAAGAGGAAGACTGTAGGAAAAACTAGTTTTGGGGGTGGGGGGGTGGGTGTGAATCAGGAGGTCAGCTTTGGACAAGTTTTGACATATATATCAGATATCCCAAGTACAGATGGACAAGTTGACAGTCAAACATAAGTTTGGAATTCAGGGAAGAGGTCCTGGCTGTCATAAGCATATAGATGGTGTTTAAAGCCATGAGTCAAGTGAATTTTCTAAAGTGAGAGAAAAATACAGGTCAGCCACAAGCCAGAAGGACTCTGATTATCTCATTTTCTTTCTTCCTCTCTCTCTCTCTCTCTCTCTCTCTCTCTCTCTCTCTCTCCCTCTCTCTCTCTCTCTCTCCTTCCCCCTTTCTCTCTCTCTCTCTCTGACAATGGATTCTACCAGGTTCTTTTTTATTTTAAAAATGTAAGCACAAGTAAACAGGCTTGTTCACATCATGAAGTCAAATTATCCCATGCCATGTCCCTTTAGCTGTGGCCTGCTAAAGGCTTGCATGAACAAGCTTAGGAGAAAATTCCTAAAATTCTAACTGAGTAAAGATGACAATGCAGAGTATAATTTGAGTAAATGAAGTCATATTATCGTAATAGCAGATTGCCAAAAGTTAGGATGTAACTAAACTCATGGAAAATACAGAGCCAAAGAAACAGGAGAAGTAGCAGAGGAAGTGAATGAATAGAATAAAGTAAATAAATCTGTGACATTTTGCCTTAGAGGAAACCACTCCTCCCAGCTGTCCTTGGGTGTTTTATGCCCCCAAGAAGGGATGGAAATCCCAAGAGATTGTGCCCAGGTGTTTCCACAGTTATACCGACTGTATTAGTCCATTTTCATACTGCTATGAAGAAATACTCAAGACTGGGTAATTTATAAAGGAAAAGAGGTTTAATGGACTCACAGTTCCATATGACTGGGGAGGCCTCACAATCATGGTGGAAGGTGAAAGAGGAACAAAGGCATGTCTTACCTGGTGGCAAGCAAGAGTGCGTGTGCAGGGGAACTGCCCTTTATAAAACCATCAGATCTGGTGAGACTTATTCACTGTCATGAGGACAGCACGGTAAAAACATCCACTCCCGTGATTCAATTACCTCCCACTAGGTCCCTCCCACAACATGTGGGGATTATGGGAACTACAATTCAAGATGAGATTTGGGTGAGGACACAGCCAAACCATATCACCAACTCCTCCTTCCCCTACCCTAAGTTTACTTTTTATTCTAGAATCGAACTTTTGCCATATTACCATATATAAGTTGTGAAGTAAATACAAATCGCCATGTGGAAAAGGAAATTAACTAGCAGAGTGTAGAATTAATTTATTTAGCCAGGTTGTTGTGCCACTCTTGCCCTGCTTCACCCTTAATTTTTTGAATGACTACCTACTATATTCCTAAAGAATGGAGAGCTATTTGGAATCCATCAGTGACTTTAATTTGCTATTAGAATGTAAGTTACACTCTTTTGAATTCTTCTGAAGGACTCCTTTCCCTTCCCAAAATTCTAGTTTCCAAACTGAAATATTAAAAAATATTTCTGCAAGTTATTTTTCCCATACTCTACTGTAATTAAACCACTATTTGTGGTTCCCCCCCCCCCCACACAGACACATAAGCCCCTTGAAGATGTGGGCTGCCTCTCTTCTGTTTGCTCTTGTGTCTCCAACCCCTAACGGAATGCTCAGCACATGGCAGGTTCTCAAATAAGACTTGACTGAACGAATTAATAGAAATGATGCTAATTCCATGTACACTCAAAAGAATACCTCTTTGAAAGCCAGTAGCTTCACTCTCTTCTGCCAACCCAAGACTTCTTCACATCATAGATACTTACAAATAAGTTACAGTAAGCAACAATTTATAAGTAAACACAGTGTGTCAATGCATGCCAAAAGGATGATTACTTTTCTTGGCTATCCATAGCAGGACATAAAATATGTCCTTAGATTTATTACAGATGGCCAGCCGGTATGCACCAGAGAAAATAGTGGAATGGGGGAAGCCAAAAGTTGTGAGTCTGTCATAATGATGTCAAGTGACACACTTTTTCATTGCGATCTAGGTGTACCATACCTTAGCAAAAACAATCTATTTTCCATTTCTGGATTTCTTAATAACTTAAACTATATAAATAAGCTCCTTTTCCATCATATGAACTGTTCTTACATATTCTCTGGCCTTCCTTTGTCCAAATGTTGAGTTGAAGTTTTCATTGCATATTCTCTGTGCACTTTGCATTACCTAATGGTTTCCTGGCTCATGTGAGAGAAGTCAGCGTCAGCAGTCGGGTTTTGCCGAGATATTTTCTTGTCCTTTCCAGCATAGAGCTCTACAAACAAAGGCAGGGTTATCACATGTACCCGAGAGCTGCCTGGGAAAAGTGGGAGCTATAGTTATCAAAATTGGAAACTTTATGAAGTATGCTTTTGTCTCCGTTTTTGTTGCGTTCAATCAGATCAACAAGTGTTGGCTAAGTGTTGAGCGTGGTTTCCTGTGGGATTGTGTAAGGCTCTGTAGGACAATAAACGTGTTGGGGGCACTGAGTAATGTAGCCATTTCTGACCCGGCAGCCAGGAAAATGTGAAACAATTTGCTTCTGGAAACAGGACAGCCGGGGCCGTGTTCCTGCAACAGCAGACCAAGCACCGCGGCGGACCCAGGCAAGCACGGAACAAGCTGAGACGGTGCGTTTAAGCGGCAGGTGGCTACTCAGTGTCGCATACTATGCGGAAAATAGGTTTGGTTCCCGGTGTTGTGGGGCCTGAAGTTACAAACTTTGGGAAGCTCACTTTAAGAAAAATAGTACAACATTTTTAATATGAAATTGCCAGGGCTTTCTCTGGGACTTTAGATGGGACCAGGTAATTTGGAGGCCAACGGCTGAAACTGCTATAATTTCACTGTAAATTCACTCCTTGCTCAAAATCTCAGTTAGGGAAGCTCTCAGGTTGTTTATGTATCACCACCAGTTCTACCTAGCTTTGTGTGTATTCTCTGCTAATTTTCTCCATCCGCTTCTTTAGGTATTGCCTTTCCATAGCCTTTCATATTGGCCTCATAACTGCTTCCAAAGAGACATAGAAATGTTCCTTATACCTTCTTTAACTGTGTTTTTATGATGTTACTTTAGCTACAAATATTTGCTCTTAGGTTCCTGAGGTCTCCCTAAATCAAGTGCTTTGTGTATTTTAGATGGAGATAGACAGGTGGGAGGGAGGTGAACCATGCAGTTGTACTCATATCCATATAATTTTGAAAGATTTTGTGGGCCACAATGATTTCATTGGATTTGAAAAGGAGTGCAACTTTGTGGTCCATGTAAGTGCTTCTCAAGCTTTCCTGTGCACGTGGATCACCTGGGGATCTTGCTAAAATGAAGATTTGGCTGCGCGAGGTCTCGGGTGGGAACTGAGAGTCTGCATGTCTAATGATCGCCCGGATGATGCAAGTGCACGGACCACACTTTGAGTCACATCCAAGTATTTATTTGTAGGAAATATGGTGGCACAAATACACAGTCAATAAGGGTATGGTTCAACCTCATTTTATGGTAACTCGTCTCAGGATGGAAAGTCTGCGACAAACCTACTATGTATGGACTGGTGTTTGTTGACATGGCAATACATGAGGAGGTCTTCCTGCCTCCCATTTTCTCCTATACCCAGGAGCTGGGGACAGAGGGATGAGAAGTAAAATTTTATCATTAAGGATCATTATTATTTCACTGTCTTTAGTTTTTTAACTTTTTATGGTCCTTTTTAAAACTTTGCCTATGGAGTGATCAGAAGGGACATAAGCTTTTAGAATATCTACTAGGGTGTTGGGCATTAGGCTGCCATTTTCTCTTGACTACTTGTAACCCTTCGAAGTGGTTATTGTTTCACTGCCTTTACAGATGGGGAAGCTGAGGTTTAGCTGGGTTAAGTAACATGACAGATTCCATAGAGACAGAGCAGGGATTCGAACCCAGCTCGGTGCTTTCACTTGCACTAACCGGCATCATGAAAGCAGTGTTACAT
This sequence comes from Homo sapiens, assembly GCF_000001405.40. Classification (NCBI taxonomy): domain Eukaryota; kingdom Metazoa; phylum Chordata; class Mammalia; order Primates; family Hominidae; genus Homo; species Homo sapiens. The sequence goes on from NC_000023.11 coordinate 15,502,276, forward strand.
GTTTAATTCAGCATGAGATGCTAGCTCATGGATTTATTACTTTTTGCTTTTCTCCTAAGGAAGTTGCCCAGAGAGAGTGCCCTAAGCAGAGGAGAGGGAGCAGAAAGAAAGAGGTTACTGAAAAGAAGAAAAGACTTAGAAAAGCTCTATGGGGCACTGAAGATTAATCTCACACCTAAAGCAAAACTTAGCTCCAAAAAGACTAGCATTAAGATTCTTGCCTTCTTTGTGAGAAAATGATCTTCCCAAAGTGTCTGGTTTTTATACACTTATTTTGGATCAATTAAGGTATGATGCTCCAAGATGCTGAGAATTTGACTGTCAATGTTAAAAGATTTCTGTCCATATCATGCCAAGATCAACTTTAACTTTCCCTCTCCTGCATAACATCATGTGAAATAAGGATCTGTCAGGTTCTGTGAAGCCAGTATTTGTCTTTGGCCAGCATCCTAAGACTTTTTGAACCACTTTACTTGATCCTCAGTCAAACTTTTTGTTCTTGTTTAAACCTACCATCACATTTTGTTCAGTTATTTAGCACGAAGATAAGCGGGCCTGGCATTTGGACAAATATTTGAAGATCAAGTTTGTCACAGGGCCCTCCAGTTTCCCTTCCAGATCCCACCCCACTTGGAGCGTCTTCCCTTTCTTTCCCACCCTTCCTGCTCTACTGCCCTCCCACCACATGTATTATTTTAACATCTTGACACCTACAAAATCTTTAGCTATATGGCATGTAAAGTAAGAGAGGATAACTAAACCAAGTCAAAGGGTAAGGAATTGCTATCCTTATCTCTGAATTTTAAAAGATAAATCTTTAAAGACACCACCCTGAGCCAGTCAGGGAATACACTTCCTGGTTGAGGGAACTATCCAATGGCCACTTAACTAGATAACCCTGTCTCCCTTGGTATCCTGTTTCCTGCTCCCCTTCTGTACCACTGAGAATTTATTCCAACTTTTGAGGTTGTATGTTCTTACCTATTTTCAGAATGTGGTTTCAAATTTTGCTATTTAACACTGCCTTTCAGCAGGAGATTCCTATCGAAAGATTATAGGTAACATCTTTCTGATATTTCCAATAAAATGTCTCTTGCACTGGTCTGTTAAGACTCAGATTTATGGGTAGTTTCACCAAACTATGTCCCTTAGCAAAGCTGTAGTATGTTTGGCTGAACACACAGATATCTCCTACTCTGTTTACTGCCATCATGGAGTGGATGGTGTACAGGTATGACACCTGAAGCTGGCTCCCAGGGCCATGCCTCTTAGGTCACTGGTTAACAGTACTGGCTAAGTCACTTAGGCTGCTGGGGCTCAGTGTTACATCTGTAAAATGACTTCTAGGTTTCTTATAAGATTTGACATCCTATGACTGCCTTCCTGTATTTAGGTTAGAGCAGTCTCTGGTTTAGGAGGGTCACACAGCAGGCATGTCCTTCTCTAGCATTAGTAGCGTGGTCACGAATATGGGATGTGGAGTTAGACTGCCGGGATTCAAATCTAGCTCCACCCACTAGCAGTGTGACCTGGGCAATTTATTTATCTATTGCAGCTCCATAAGCTATAAGCAGGGAATGATGTTACAACTTACTCTATAGGGTGAATGTGTCACAACCTATCCCATGGGCTGGGAGTATCACAAAATATCCCATAGGGTGGGGGTGTTCTGGCCTACCCCATAAGGTGGAGGTGTCATGAGCTACCCCATAGAGCAGTTGTGACCAGTAAACTCTAAACAGCCTGGCACATAGTGAGCCCTCCTTAAGCATTGGCTAGGATCATTATCATAAAATCACTCTCATCCTTCAAAGTCTAATTTCAATGTGCTCCCTTCTAAAATACCTTACTTGGCTACCTTAAGGAAAAAACAACTTTTCCTTCCTTGGACCTTTCATAGCAAAGTGAATAGACTCTACTCTAGCACCTACATTTTTTTCCCCATCTTTTCTTTTTTAAAACATAGTTGGTACCCACAATGTGCCAAATACTTTCACCATAAGGTTTCTCATTTAAGTCCCGTAAAGTAAGAGAGTTGTTACCTATCTCAATTTACAGATCAGAAAACTGAAGGTTAGTGCAGGGAAGGGGCTTGGCCAGGGTGACACAGTTTACAAATGACAGTTCTGTAACCTCCTCCATGCCTTCCGAGTCTGCCACCCCACAGCAATCTTTCATATTAATTAGTTATGCAGCCCATCTCTCAAACTTGTTCATTGTCACTCAGGGCCACGGACAGCTGATCTTTATTTCTGGAACCAGTCACTCAATGTTGGACACACTGTAGGCTCAAAATCAAGCATGCCAAATAGAACTGCCGACTTGAACTTCTTACTCTCATGACATCATTTCCTTATAAATCCTAAAAAACTATAGTGATTATAAGTCATGTTAATTCAACACACACCTTTTATGTATGTAAGAGGTTAACGAATGGCTGCTGGCTTCCTTATAGGAAATACTATATTGATTTCTGCCAGGTTTTTGTGTCTCCTCTGTGCCTTAATCACTTTCTAGTTTCATCTGTTTATGGAAATAGGCAGCCTGGGCTATTTGGTAAGCAAATTGATAGGTCTATTCTATGTGGGTGGTAATATGAGAGTCCACCCAGATCCCACTAGCTCTTCTATGGAAATAGATTTCTTGTTAATACTGACTGGGTTTAGGATCTCATTTTACTATAAAAGGTTTTTTGTTTCACCTTCCCAACTGAATTTTCCCTAAATAAGCATAAGAAGAGCAGGGTTTGCTAGTTGTTGGACAGGCATTTGACTTAACAGTAAGCCCTGTTTATTTATTGTCACAATACGAGGGGGGAAGATATTGCATTTCTAAAAATTAATCATCAGCAACTATCCTTCTATATCAAGAGAGACCACAGAAATGTTTTCAAATTAGAATTTAGGCCATGTAGAGGAGAAAGGAGAAGTATAAGGAAGGGACAGAAGTAAATAGAAGGAGAAAGGCAAGCCCAAGCCTGAGCAGAAACCACATGGTTTATCTTAGAAGAAACTGATCTGGAAATGAAAAAAGCTTGAGTCATCAAGGTGGGGTCCTTCAAGACTGTTAGGAAGCCTCAGTAGCCCAGCTTAGGGAGTGGAGCTTTGAAGGACTGTTCCTCTTGGATGGGTACCTCAAAAACGTGTGGCTTCAGGTGTTTGTTACACGAGAACAACATATTACGGACTCAAGTGCACAGTATGTGAACCCATCTTTGAGAAAATAAGCATATGTACATAAATATTTGAAAAGAAAAACATCTAGAGATGTGCTGTGTTTTTCTTTTCCCTGTCTGTATCTCTTGGCTTTATAGAATAAACATATATTGCATATGAATCTTAAAATGAAAGCAAAAAATGTATAAAGGGCAGGATTTTGAAATGAACAATTATGTTGAAATTTCACAAGTTATATTTCATCAGATGCAACAACGCTTGTAAACCCTTGGAGGTTTACTGGAGAAGGTGCTTGAGGGCTCAATACCTTCCTTTTTACTCAATGTTCTTCCTTTCAATACACAGAGGCAACTTTGTGAATTTGTCAGTGGTCTCTGTGACTCATCTTATTAATTTTTTATATAAAATTCCAAAAATTCTCACCTTTAGTGTGATGCACATAAAAGTTTTATTTTTCTTTTCTTCTTCTTTCTTTATTATTATTAATTTTTTTTGGAAGACAGGGTCTCACTCTATCGCCCAGGCTGGAGTGCAGTGGCGTGATCCTCCTGCCTCAGCCTCCCTAGTAGCTGGGACTACAGGTGCATGCCACCATGTCTGCTAATTTGTCAAAAAAATTTTCTAGAGACAGGATCTCACTATGTTTCCCAGGCTGGTCTCAAACTTCTGACCTCAAGCGATTCTCCCTCCTCAGCCTCCTAATGTGCAATATGCTGGGGTTACAGGCATGAGACACTGTGCCCTGCCTAGGTGTGAAAGTTCTATAGACAGAAAAATATGTATACCAGCACATAGTACTGGGAAAGACTGAATAGCACCTTGGACATTGGGATTTTTACATTTTTAATACAGTGTTGTTAATGTCACAAATCAATTCAGCATCTAAAAAAATTAAAAAGTAAATTTTCTATTCAACTAATCAGATCTATTTAATTAGCACTCTGCTTTGAGGAATGATGTTTCAGCTGTGGATATAAAAAATTGACAAGAGTTTTCACAGTTTTCTCCTTCTGCTTCATTAGTAAAATACGGAAATATAAAAGGCAAAAGTACCCTACAACCATGTCCAATGTGATATTGCCTCCCCAAAGGAGGCTTTCACTCAAAAAAAGTAGACCCTCATTGTTTCCATAAGTCTCCGAGCAAATTCTCTTCCGGCCACAGACTTTGGATGTAGAAAATAAGCTTATCTGGGCAGGTGGATATGCAGAGTTTGCAATGGAAGCAAAGATAAAAGGAAGGCATGCTACTCTTACCTCCATAGGCTCTACTCTACCCTGATCTCTGCCCTGTCTTTGATCACTGGGCAAAGAAACCAGTGACCATGGCAAATAGTACCCATTGTACTCAGAAGAAACCCATTATACTTTTGTGAAAGAATTATCCTTTTTAAATAGCTAAAACAATATCCCAGGGAAAAAGTAACCAAGACTTTATTATATTGAATGGATAAGATTTCCACTACTTCTGTCTAAAAATCAAATAATGCCCTTGGAGGACATTTTAGGAATTAATAAATAATCTTTTGTTCTACATAGTAAATAATAAAAGCTGGTTTTCTTAATTCCACTTTGAGAGTTGTGTGGTCTATGTTAGGAGGAAAGCTGGCTGGAGCCAACCATGGTTAATTCAATGCCAGGCTGTATTTCTTAGTCTCCCTTTCATTTCACTCTTCTGCCATAGTGGGTCCATCATACTCCCAGGCCAGTGAGAAGTGCCCTCTAGTGATTGGATGGGTTCGCTTGGCGCCCGCCTCCATGCAGACAGAGCAATGCCTGTGTGGGTGCTTCCTGATCAAGACTGATGAGTGGGATGCAAATATCTTCTTTTTAATGCATGACCCTGGCATAGCCAGAGGGAATATGAGTGATGGTGCCTCAAAGCAGTAACTTTTTGCTTAGAGCTTGAGAGTCAAAGTTAAGGACCCACATGTATACTTCGGCTCTAGCGAGTCTAAGGTGAGTAAAGCCTTCAGATTATCAATAAAGAAAGATTTTAACTATTGGGCATGTGAATTCAAATAACGATGCAATTTCACAAAGCAAAGAAGAACATAAGAAAGTTTGTTTCTCTGGCCTACTGCTCAACATTGCTACTTTTCATGATCAGACCTGATATTAGACTGAGGGTTGAAGTAACTGTCTTAGTAGAATTAGAAAATTAATGCATTTATTTTTCAGAAATACCTTAAGTTTTAATGTTTTACATGATTTTGGGATAAAAAGGAAGAGTCTTTTTACTTTGTAAATGTACTCATTTTTTCAGTTCTTTTAAATCTCTTTTGATAGCATCTGTTAGTGCACCCTCATACATTTTCCTCATTTTATCTTATCTTAGGCATTTACTTTGATTTTAAATTCTCATAGATATTGAAAATTATACCTGTGTAATTTATGTTAAAGATCTGGCCATGATCAGGGGCTGCAGGTGTTATTTACAATAATGTCAGTGTCTCATAGTGGTTTGGGTAATTTGGTCAAATTACAGGCCGTTACTTCATAAATTGTGAGCTGTCTGGAGTTAAATTTTCTGAAGTTTTATTATATCCAATTCAATTCAACCAACACATATAGAATGTTTAAAAAGTAAGGAGCATTTTGATAAGGTGGTCTGGAGAATGGGGCAAAGATGATGAATTTATTATCCACAGTGGGAGGAGTCAAAAGTATAAAGTGCTTTTTAAAAATCAACATATTTATAAAACCCAAAGCAAAGGCAGCAGAAAAACTGTAGCTATTGTGTAATTTATTCTATAATCCTACATCAGTCTCATTTATTAAAATCAGCATTTATATTATCCCTTAATAGGAAATCGTTGAGGAAAAGATATGAAGGTTAAAGAGAACTTACCTAGATGCTGCAAATACTCATTTTAATTATTTATTTTGTTTAGGATGATAATATGGATACAAAATCTATTCTAGAAGAACTTCTTCTCAAAAGATCACAGCAAAAGAAGAAAATGTCACCAAATAATTACAAAGAACGGCTTTTTGTTTTGACCAAAACAAACCTTTCCTACTATGAATATGACAAAATGGTGAGACATCATGTGTTCCATTATTTTTATACTATTTATTATTTTTCCTAAGTCTCCACAAAGTACTTGATCATAATGAAAGAATATCAGGTTTCTTAACTTACACTGTGAAGATCCTCTTCTATCCACTTATCACATGACCTTTTCTTAATGAAAGTATAATGAATTCAAGATAAAGGATTTTAAAACATTAGTTAACTTTACTAAGGCAAATTATAACTTTAGAACAGTGGTTCTCAACTGAGGGCATTTTTGCTCCCCAGGTGACATTGGGAAAAGACTGGAGATATTTTGGGTTGTTCCAACTGGGGGATAGGAACAGTAAGTGTTAAAGACATCTAGTGAGTAGAGGCCAAGAATGCAGCTAACCATCCTGCAGTGCACAGGACAGTCCTCACAACAAAGAATTACCCAGCCTTAAATGGCAATAGTGCCTTAAAACAATGCTAGAAATAAGACTATTCCTGTACAGTTGAGAATTCTACTATAGTAAAAACACTGAAATACTGTCATAAGACTGAGCCAAAATGAAGATGCTTTGCAGAAGTTAAATCTTGATTTTCCTGAGTATATTAACCACATGGTAGGTGATTTGAAACACATTTCAAGATAATCAAACAAGATTATTAACCACTGGAATATATGTGTTTGTGTCCAGACTCAAGGAATAGATTATGTTGTCATTGGATTTTGACTATTACGGGGTAATAGGAAGTGACTCTCCATTGCCCACCCCCCACCCCAATCTCCCTCTCAGGCATAACTTGGGCTTTATGCCTTTCCTTGTGCACCATGATGTATTGCAGGAAGTATCTTACATTTTGTTTTTTAATTCAGAAAAGGGGCAGCAGAAAAGGATCCATTGAAATTAAGAAAATCAGATGTGTGGAGAAAGTAAATCTCGAGGAGCAGACGCCTGTAGAGAGACAGTACCCATTTCAGGTAAAGGGAAGAACGACATTGCATTGGGTGGATAGTTCTTCCTTCAATTTTTCTATCGTGAACTCAATATATCTAGGAAAAATAATGATATTTCAAAATAATCTAAACAAGGCTTGGAATATTCCCACATGGGAGTTGGGCATTTTGCTAAAATTCTGTCCACCAATCTGCCTTCCCTGGAGGGAAGGGAAGGGAAGCAAGACAGGAGCGTAAGTCGCAGTGACCTGACCTGCCTCAGGTCTGATCATCTCTTTTAACAAACATTGCTGAGTATCTCCGATGTGGTACACAGTAGTAGGCATACTATGGGGAACAAAACACTGCCCCTACCCCAAGGCATTTACAGGGAAGTGGCAAAATAGACTAATACACAGACCATTACAAAGCAGTGAGGGTGAGAGTTAAGGTGGAGGTCAGCAGAATGCATCCATGGAGTCCCAGGATGTGGAAGTTTCATTCCTCACTCCAAGAGGCTAGAGAGATATTCTATTGGAGGTGACACTCAAGTTGAGAAGGACAAGTAAAATTTAACCCAGCAAATATGAGAAGGACAGTGGTACAAAGGAAGCAGCAGGTGTCAAGGCACTGATGAGTGAAACAGTATGACACATTTAGAGAGCACTAAGTAGTCCCTATGAATAAAGAAGCCCATGTGACAGTGAAAGAGATAGCCTGGAGAGGTGACCATGCTAAGGAGTTTTCATTTTACCCTGAAGTATTTTAAACAATGGTATGGTATGTAGTGTATGCTGGTAGTACCTTTTGGAAGTGGCCTAATCTAAGTCATGCCCTACTTTTCTTATAGCATAAAATCTTACATTTCTGATCCAAAGGTAGATGGATTGTCTTTCAGATGGCCTGACTACCCAGTGCTAGTATTAGGAACCTGTGGCCAAAAATGAAATACAATAATCCAGTTGATTAACAACCCATACTTCCCATTTGGAAAAAATATTACCAGGCCAGGCACAGTGGTTCATGACTGTAATCCCAGCACTTTGGGAGGCCAAGGAGGGAGGATCACTTAAGGCTGGGAGTTCAAGACTAGCCTGGGCAACATAGCGAGACCTCATCTCTACATAAACATTGTTTTCATTAAAAAAATTACCCAATTGGGGGAAACCAGGGGAGGGCATGCTCATGGAAGATGCTGCAAACTCACCTCATAGAGGCATAGTGCTCAAAAGATCACAGGCTTTGGAGCCCCCAGAGAGTTCCTAGTTCCACCACTTATACTTGTGCAACTGTAAACACATACTCAACTTCTATTTCTCACAGAGTTGAAATAAGATTAAAATACTGAAGTAGCTAGGAAAGAGCCCAGCAACTAGTAAGTGTTTAACAAATGCTGTGTATATTTACCAACAAGAGTTGAATAAACTAGAGAAGGATCTGGAGAAGATATTGTAATCTTCAAACGTTTAAACATTTGTCTTAAGAAACAGAAAAGTATATATTCTGGAGATTCCTGGGGTGCCACATGATGAAATAGATGAAAGTAACAGGGAAACATATTTTTACTCAATGTAAGTATGAACTGTATAATGATCAGAATATATGGATATTGGCAGAGATGACATAGCAGAGTAAAGAACATTCCATCCCTGAAGGTATTTTTAAAGATAGAGCAGTTAAACATTTTCCAGTGGGCTGTAAGGAAATCATGCACTGGGTAGGCAAATGGACCAGAACAATACTAAGACACGTGTAATGTCTAACATATTAATGTCCATAGTCCAGGGTGTCCCTGATGAGAACTCAGTGTTCACCACTACTATGAGGTACATCATCGCTGTAATTTTCCAAAGTATAGGAGTGTCTGGGATAAAACAAATTGATAACTGGAGGATTTTTTAAGAAAATTTTTTTCATCTAATTCCAGAGCTGATGTATACTGTATAAGCAAACTCAAGGTTTCTTTTGGATGACAAAAAATTTGCAGGTGCACCAAAGTGAAGTATGGTGCAATTATATATAAACACACCAAATATTTTCCTTTCCAGATTGTCTATAAAGATGGGCTTCTCTATGTCTATGCATCAAATGAAGAGAGCCGAAGTCAGTGGTTGAAAGCATTACAAAAAGGTAATTCAAAAAAAGAAATGTTGAAAGAGAAAGGTCAAAAAAAGCCATAAAAGAGAGTCGTTTTTTGAGGCTTGGTGGAGGAAAGACATGGCAGTAAAAAGACTCAATGCCAAGAGACAATCTACTGATTTTCCTACCAACCTCAGGGAATGTGTCAGACTCATCCTCATTTTTGCTTTCTCATTGTTACATACAGGAAGCCTGTGGATTGGATTCCCTGGCCCACACAAAGCCAGTATTGTGCCTTCCCAGCAGCTTAGGGGAAGCCAGGCCACCTGCTCTCCACTCAGTATGCTTGCCTTTACCAGGGGAAAGTCTAGGTCATCATGGGGCTATGTCAAGTCCTGTAGCTACCACACTTTTGATGTTTATAGAAAGTTACATCTAATACTTATACTGAGCATTTACCATTTGCCAGCTACTTTATCAAATGCTTGTAAAACATTTTTTTAGGTAACCCTCTTGACAACTCTATTGAAAGGGGTAATATTATTCTCCATTTTTCAGACAAGTAAAGTTTTTAAAACATGGCCACTGTCATAGATACAGTAACGAGGGACTCAGAACTCAATTACCTAAACCTGATTTTTTAACCAATACATTGTAAATGCTAGGCAAAACTGAAGATTTAATGAAGCTTTTATTCAGTGATGTTTAGGCCGCCCTGGTAACAACTTTTGGTAGAAGGGAGAGAATCATTGTTAATGATTTGGCACTATAGTATTTCCCTCTGTGATATTTTCAAGATGGGTAAAGGTGTGAAGACAATATTTAACTCAAATGAATGGCTCCATTTGTGAAATTTCAGGTATTATGCTCCTAGATGGAGGAAGATTTTATTTTATTTTATTTTATTTTACTTAAGTTTTAGGTTATGGTTCTTTCTTAGTACACCTCAAATTACACACAGTTACTCCACTTTGATGCAAATACACCCTTCTCACACATAGGGCTTAATTTTTCCTTTGCATAAAAAGGTTTAGCAACCCATTCTGCGGGTAGCAAGTGGTCCACTGGGGGACAGAAGCTTCCCTCTACCCACCACCAGCTCATTGAAATGAGAAAGACAACCCCTCTAGAGTTAGACACACCTGCAGCAAAGTGCTGCTTTGCTGTGTCACCTAATAAAATCATCTACCATCTCTGGGTTTAAGTTAATCCTGACCTGTCAAATAGGAGATCACATTTCTTTTCTCCTAGAGCAGTCACGAGCCACAGATGAGACACTCATAAATATATTAAAATATCTTATGCACAAACATGAGTCACTGTGGTTACTGTAGGGCTTCTAGGAGGAGCTCTAAGATTCTGCTTCCCATTTAGTCTCCTTTGGTGGAATTTCCTGAGCGGTAGGTGCTATGTCCTATGTACAGCTCTTGGTCATGCCCTGCTAGATCTCATGTGTCTGAGCAGCTCATGTGAAGACATACGAAATGTAAAGGAAGAGCAGAGAAAGAAGCAAAAACACATCTCCTAGCCCCTCATAAAACTGCAGAGAGTCCCCATCACTACAGCTGCCATATGCACAATAAGTGGTTTGTCTCTATGCACAGTAAGTGGTTTGTATCAGTTAGTGATGTTTTGGGCTGCAGGTAAAAAGACATCAAACAGTTGCTGAAACAAATCCACTTTTGTTCTTCTCTCACAGTAACAAATGCAAAGATAGGCAGTCAGTCAAGGGCTAGTGCAGCAACTCAGTGAAGTCAGTAGGGATGCAGGCTCCTCCTAGCTTTCTGCTCTGTTATCCTTAGAAGCTGCAGGAGAGATTCCAAGCCTTCCCAGAAGCCTCCCTGCAAACTTGTGCTTATGTCACATCATCCAGAACTATATCTGATGGCCATTGATGTGTACAAAGGAGGCAAGAAGACAGTATCTTTTTTTTCCAGTCTCTGTGCTGGAAGATAGTGAGAAAGAAGGTGCATGGGATTTGCTGTCAAGTTGGCCAACCAACCTGCTGCAGGAAAACAAAGAGGTTCTCCTGCTCAAATATTCTCCCCTACAAAGTTTCATTGTGCTATAATGGCTCCTCCTGCCTTTTGTGTCTATTATTTGGCTCAAGCATTATAAACTGAGGTAGACATTTAAGATAGAATTTTCCAGATGTTAACCTACACTTGGAAGGTTTGGGCTGATTCAGTGGTAGCATAGGAGTGTGTGTCAATTATCATGGTTCTGAATTCAGCTAACCAGATGTGGAAAAAATGTGCTCTTCCTTCCAAAAATTAAAACAGAAGGGGGTTTTGCAGAGGAGTTGGCACCTGTACATCATAATGTAGTAGAAAAAGCCTGAGGCTGAGTCTCAGGTCTGCTATTTATTAAGCTTGTGAAGTTGAGCAATTGTACTACCTCTCTGCACTTCAGTTTACCTAACTCTGTGAGAGGTGTAATAACAATAGCTACCCCTCAGGTTCTTGAATTGATTAAATTAGAGGACATATGTAAAGGAAAATACATAAATGTAAAGTCCTATGGATATATGAATATATGAGTTCCTCTTATTGTCGTTATTAGGTGGTGAGACTGTTGCAATGTAGACTTTTGGATTTGGTTGGAAAAAGAATTAGTTACCCAGGAAACCAAATCCATGTAGTAAGGAAATAATAGGAATCCCAACATGTGGAGGCCAGAAGCTTAGAGAGCAGGAAGGCAAGTAATGTGCCCAAGAGATTGCAATGGCCATTTGGAACCAAAATCAGAAACTTACGTTTTATAATTTTAACTCTTTTTGCCTTTTGTGATTTCTGTCATAATTTCCCTTTAATTCTCATTAGTAAAGTTTTTTAATGCCAGCATTTTCAGCTAAACTGAGCTAAGTTAAATTAAGGGAATGATATCACTAAAGCCCACTGTTTATTGAACACCTACTTACTCTGGGCCAAACACTGCTGGGTGCTTTACATACATTATCTAACAGCCTCCCAATGACCCAGCAAAGTAATTATTATCTCCATACGCTTCCTTGAGTCAGGACTGTAAGGATAAGCATAACTCTCCTGGGATCAACATAAGGAAATCTCAAGATGAACATAAGGTCAAGAGAGAAAGAGTTAAAGGCACATATAGAACCAGCCCTTCTCACCTAGATACTCTTCTTAAAATATACTAAGATCTTGTAGGTTTCTCTGTTGTATTTCAAAAGAGGCTAATTTGTTATAGATTACAGTTTCATTTATTTGAATTATACATTGCCCTATTCCCGTGGCTTTTTAAAATATGCACATATTCCTAGGAAAGTAGCCCCATAAACCATTCATTCCTTAGTATAAACATGTCAAAGTCACAGAAGTCAAGGAAGGGATGAGAAGCAGTTCTAAATTAAGGGAAACTAAGTGCCATGTTTGATTTTGAATTGGATCCTTGATCAGAAAAAAAGTGAGTGATTATAAAGGCCATTATTGGAATAATTAGAAAAATTTTAAAGATGAAATATATTTTAAATAATAAATGCAGCCATAAAAAAGAATGAGTTCATGTCCTTTGCAGGGACATGGATGAAGCTGGAAGCCATCATTCTCAGCAAACTAACACAGGAACAGAAAACCAATCACCGCATGTTCTCACTGATAAGTGACAGTTGAACAATGAGAACACATGGACACAGGGAGGGGAACATCACACACCAGGGCCTGTTGGGGGATGAGGGGCAAGGGGTGGGAGAGCATTAGGACAGATACCTAATGCATGGGGGGCTTAAAACCTAGATGATGGGTTGATGGGTGCAGCAAACCACCATGGCACATGTATCCCTATGTAACAAACCTGCACATTCTGCACATGTATCCCAGAACTTAAAGTAAAATAAAAATTAAAAAATTTTAAAAATTAATAATAATAATAATATTGTATCAGTGTTAAATTTCCTGAGTTTGATAATCGTATTACAGTTATATAAGGGAACATCCTTGTTAATATAAGCTATGTGCTGAAGCATTTATGGATGACATTATTTAGGTCATACCATCTACTACTTCCTCATAAATTATTAAGCACAATATAATAATGATTTTAAAATTTAAAGAATAATACATATGTACAGAGAGAAAGAGATACAGCAGATGTGGCAATCAGTTAATAATTGGTGAATCTAGGTAAAAGGCATATGGATGCTCATTGTATTAATCTTATTCTTGCAACTTTTCTGTACATTTGAAAATTTTCACAATAAAAAGTAGATGGAAGTGTATGTTTATTCAGGCCTTTTTTTTAGAACCTTTTGCTAAAATTTAGCCCCACCCTTCCCCTTCTGCCACAAGAAAACACCATGTGTTGTAACCCACTCACTTTCTTTACAGATATATCTCTAAAATCCTAACATCAAGCTGATCTGTATATGCATTTTACTAGTTATTTTTTCTTCAAAAATGATATGTAATTGTGTTGTTCTCAACATACTCATGGTTAGACTTTTCTTTTTTCTTTTTGGCTTATTAACTGTTGAGTGAAAGACCTATATCCTTCCGGAACCATTTGCTCTTACCTTGGTTGCTGGCCAAATGGGGTTTTTATTGTTCTGTGATAACAGCACTTACTGAATGTTTCTCCTCTTGGATCAACGTTTGCTAACGTCTTGTTTTCTTCCTGTCTGCTCCTCAGAGATAAGGGGTAACCCCCACCTGCTGGTCAAGTACCATAGTGGGTTCTTCGTGGACGGGAAGTTCCTGTGTTGCCAGCAGAGCTGTAAAGCAGCCCCAGGATGTACCCTCTGGGAAGCATGTAATGTGTGATTCCTCTGTTGGACTGGACGTTGGGTGGATAGTGCTCCATTAGGCTAAACCTGCCAGAGGCCAGAAGAGCTTGCCAGAAAACAAGATGTGCCAGATTGGTTGGCATCATGAAAATTCAGCCTTGCAGATGCTATGTGACAAATGAAATCTCATTCTAGGGTCAATTGAGTCATGGCCATTAAGATAATAACAATATTAACATCTGCCATTCTTTCATTTCATGAGAAACATTTTAAAAATTTGAATCATTAATCAAGCAATGAGCTGTTATTTCCTCCCATAATTTTTCTTGGTTCAAGATAAACTCCAAAAAGGTAGAATATGTTAGATATGTCATCATAGTTCAAACAGCTAGGTTTCCAGTTTGGTAAGAAAACCAGCTCGCTCTTCGTATAAATAACGAAAATCACAAACTGAAAAAACAACATTATTAAAAAAAAAAAAGATATAACTTAAGTAACACTTTTCATCACCATGTATACTAAAATGATGGTCAAATTTTAAAATATATATTTAAAGCAGTTCGCCATTCTCTATATGTGTGTTAATTTCTTAATGACATGAGAGAAGGGGCTGCTTTACGTGAAATCAGATTCTATCCAGAGTTGTACTCCCAGGGAAACAAGAGGGACTTATATGTATTTAAAGTTTATAATTATTTAACATAAAGTTGTTGATAAATACAAAATAGGATAACTTATTTTGGTAACAGTTTTACCAGCCTGGACAAAATATGCCTGGATTACAATGGCTTTAAAGAATTGAATGAGATCAGCTACAAAATAGAACTTCATGAAATGGAAAAGATACAGGCACATAAAATATTTTTTAAATTCACTTCATGACAGTATTGATACCCAACAATCATGTTAATGTTAATACTGGTCATTTTACCCCCAAAAAATCAATTAATAAATATTCATTGTGTTTTCCATCTTAATTAGACTATACAGTGAATATTTATTAATCTCAACTAGATCACATTGCTCTATATACTCATGAATTATAGTTATTTAATGAACTATACAGATTGGTTGCACATGGGTCTTCGCTCCACTGTAAGGGACTGAGGAGTAATGTCTCCTTATGGTATTAATCATTTTCCCCAGTGGTTTTGTCTATGGTCTATTTGGTCTATTATCATTACCTAGCAGGTCAGATTCCAGCTTTGACAATGCCCTAACTTTCTGGAAGGAGCAGGAAAAAGGCCAGAGAGAGCACTGCCTTGGGATTGCCTTCCTAGGCTCTGTCTGGATGACACTCACCATGTGTTCTGGGTGCCACAGGTGCTGTGCCTCTGAGGAAAACTACAGAGTGTAGAGGTGTTGCAGCTCCTGAGCAGCTGTAATACTGTCTATCTGTCCAAGTATAATTTATTCCCTTGGCTTCTTCTGCTGAGCTACTGGGAAGTCCATGGGCATAACAACTAAAAGAGAAAAAGTTAGGTGTCTTTATTTCTTTTTGTCCAAGATGCCTTGATCCATCCTCTTTCCAGGATACATGGCCTACATAGGAGTTGGGCCTTATATAGGAAAGCTACAGAATCACTCCAGATGTTGTGTCTGGATTCACTTAATCTGGAGTATTGCTCACACAAGCTGGTTCATTCTTTTAATTCATAACATTGAGTGTTTCTCTTTGTTTTGTTTAAAGTTCCTTCTGATATTACTTTGTTTTAATGTTCAGATGCTAATCTGCATACTGCAGTCAATGAAGAGAAACACAGAGTTCCCACCTTCCCAGACAGAGTGGTAAGTCAACATTTTAAAAATGTTTTTCATGGTCAGGATATATTAAATAAACCAAGAGTTGCCAGATTCAAGACTAGAAAATGTGGAATTCATTTAGACTTCTCAGCAAAGAGAGAAAAACCATGAGCTCTAGATAATAGCTATGGGTGGTATTGAATAGCGGATTCAAATATAGAACCATTGTAATATCTCATATTTTTGCATTTCATTGTTGTGTCTTTTCCTAGCCAGTAAGCCCATAAATAGTCACCAAAAAAAAAAAAAGAAAAAATGGGTGCATGCGGGAGATGTCCTTAAGATGGCATCACACATAACAGGCAGCTGTTATTAGCTGTCATTCTTTCCTTACCATCAACATGGCCAAGACTGCTTTGTGGAAGTATCCTGGTGTTGAAATGAAACTCTATAGGACAAAAGCAGAAAACAACATAATTCTTTCCCTCCATTATCCCTTCAAAGCTATTCAGTGGGCTTTCTTCCCTGCTTCCAAATAAAGTCTTTGCCAAATTCCATAGTTTTGCAGTCATTCTCAAATGATAAAAATGTCCCCATTACTTGTAATCATAAGAACAGCCTCTGAATTGTTCCATCCAATGTTATTATCACATGACTGCAAACATCATTCCAAGTTAAACATCTGTCACCTAGCTTGGGCCTGCATCACCTGGCAGCATGCTTTTGGGGAGGGATTTTGGGGGGGCTGAGA
Source organism: Homo sapiens (assembly GCF_000001405.40). Taxonomy (NCBI): domain Eukaryota; kingdom Metazoa; phylum Chordata; class Mammalia; order Primates; family Hominidae; genus Homo; species Homo sapiens. The sequence continues at coordinate 15,518,700 of NC_000023.11, forward strand.
TTCATGGCCCTTTCAGAGTTAGTTCCAAGGAAGATGAGGTCTAATTAAAAAAAGACACACATAGCTGTTTCTATCATGATTTGGTGGTGGTGGTATCGGAGTGAGTTTTCCAGCACTGATTCTTTATCTCATGGGAGACTTTTAGGAATTTCCTACTGAAGGGCAGATCCATATGTAGTTTTATGACAGGGGAGAGATCTTGATCCTCAGTTCTTGGATTTTCAGCCCTCAATCTTTCAAGATGGCTGTCAGCCAACTTTTTCCCAAGAGTGGAGTTGGCCTATAAGAAAACAAACAAAACCTTGATTGCTCTGGTTAATTAAGCTGTATGTAGCTCTCTCTCGAAGTACAGGCTACTGCTGTCTTTTTGCTCTACTCTCTTGGGTTCATAGCCACAGCCTTCTGTTTTTAGGGTTCCCAGGCAGGTGTGAGCCTCCTCAAATGCCAGGATACACAAAAAATGGCTTCCCATTGGTTCTCTGGAAGTTCACCTGAAAGCAAGGGGACATCTCCGCCCATCTATTGGATCTATGGTGTCTTGGGTACTTATTTTCAGCTACACACATTCGCACACACTTCTCTCTTTCTAAGTAAAAGCCACATAATTTTCATGAATCAACATGAAAGACAAAAATAATCCATTATTGTAGTAGACTGAATAATGTCCCCCAAATTTCATATCCATGTAGAACCTCAGAATGTGACCTTATTGGAACTAGGATCTTTGCAGATGTAATTAGTTAAAGATCAAGATGAAATCACACGAAAGATGAGAGTGGGCCATAAATCCAATGACTAGTAAGATGAGAGGACACAGAGAGATACACAGAGGAGAAGGCCATGTGAAGACCTAGGAAGAGATTGGAGTTATGTTACCACAGGCCAAGGAACACCTGTTTCTTAGTCCATTTGTGCTCTACTAAGGAATACCTGAGGCTGGGTAATTGATAAAGAAAAGAGGTTTATTTAGCTCACCGTTCTGCAGGCTGTACAAGTAGCATAGCACTGGCATCGGCATCTGATGAGGGCCTTAGGCTGCTTCCACTCATGGCAGAAGGGAAGGGGAGCTAGTGTGTGCAGAAATTGTATGGTGAGAGAGAAGAAACAAGAGAGAGGGAAGGGAGATAGCAGGCTCTTTTCAACAACCAGCTCTCATGGGAAATCATAGAGTGAGAACTCATTCACTACCATGAGAATGGCACTAGGCCATTAATGAGGGATTCGCCCCTATGACCCAAATACCTCCCATTAAGCTCTACCTCCAACACTGGAGATCACACATCAACATAAAATTTGGAGGGGTCGAATATCCAAACCATAGCAACTTGGAACCACCAGAAGCTGGAAGAGGCAAGGAAAGATTTTATCCTAGAGGCTTCAGAATAAGTATGGCAATGCTGAAATGTTGATTTTGACTTCTAGCCTCTAGAACTGTGAAACAATAAATTTTTGTGGTTCTAATCCACCAAACTTGTAGCAATTTGTCATGGTAGCCCTAGGAAACAATTATAATCGTTAGGAGTTTTACTTTGTTATTAGCAACATTGCTGTTTGGGTTTGAAAATATGTTTCAGTCCTGAAGCTTGAAAAGTATGGCCCTCTAAAACACCTAGGAGAAACGCCCAGATTAGGCAAATCTATAGAAACAAAGGGTGATCAGTGGTTGCCTGGGACCAGAGTAGGGATGAGAATTGACTGCAAATAGGTATGAAGGATCTTATTGGAGTGATGGGAAGACTGGGCTGTGGTGATAGTTATACAAGTTGATAAATTTACAAAAGTCACTGAATTCTGCACTTTAAAAAGGATGAACTACCAATAAAGTTTGTTTTGACAAGTCTAAGAGCAGAAGATAATTAAGAGCCAGAAACCATTGCATCTAGTCTCCAGCAGGGAACTTTTTGGCCAATATATTGAAAATTATCAGCTAGGCAAATCAGTGGCTAAGGGTTCATAAGCCTGTTTTGATTATAAGCTTCCCAAATGAACCAGGGATCAGAGGGTATCATGTAAAGTATGTTTTTCTTTGTTTTGTTTTTTATCAGAGTATTCAGTAGAGGGCTTATTTTCTGAATGGAGGAAATAAAAATCAGCTCTCTAGTTGTTCTGTTCAAAGAGATTTCCTTAAATGATTTCCATTTAAGGAACTTCCTAGTGCATTTTTCTTTGGACATAACCCACTTCACAGCTCATAAATAACACTGTCCTGCATAATTAAAATTTCCAGAATGTCAAAGCCTTAACTCCAAGTAAATGAAATTTCTGAAAAACTAAAATATAGCATGAAAAAAATATTAAATGCATCTCTTTCTGTCACACACGCACACACAGACACACACACACATATTGTGAATTTTTAACTGAAATATAACATTAACATAGAAAAGCACACAAATCCTAAGTGTTCAGCTTGATGAATTTTCACAAACTGAACAATTCTGTATAATCCACCCTCAGATAAAGAAACACAACATCACAGAACCCCAGGGACACCCTGATGTTCCCTTTCAGTCACTACTACCCTCCAAAAGTAGTTGCTAACCTGATTTATAACATCATAGATTGTTTGCCTGATTTTGACTTTTATATGACTGGAATTATAAAGTGTGTAGTCATTTATTGTGTGTCTTCTTTTCTTCAATTTGTGAGATTCGCTTATTTTTTTAGTATGTGATTATATTTACCGTCATCATTGTATAGAATTCAGTTGTGTGAATATACAACTGTTTTGGTTTCTTATTACTGTTCTAACAAATTACTACACAAATTTAGTGGCTTAAAGCAACATACATTTATTCTCTTATAGTTTGGAAGATCATATGTCTAAAATGGGTCTGCACAGCTGTGTTTCCTCTGGAAGCTTTAGGGAAGATTCTGTTTCCTTGCATTTTCCAGTTCCTAAGGGGTACTTACATTTATTGGTTCCTGGCTCCTTCCCCTGTCTGCAGAACCAGAAGGTTGCAGGACCTCTACTCTCTAACCTCTGCTTCCATCCTCACAGCTCTCTAATCTCTGACCACCTTATCTCCCTTTTATAAAGGCCATTTTGATTACATCAGGCCCACCCCCACAAAATCCAGAATAGTTGCCCCATCTCGAAATCCTTAATTACAATCTGCAAAGTCTCTTTTACCACGTAAGGTATTCACAGGTTCTGGGAATTAGGACATGAACATATTCGGGAGACCATTTTTCAGCCTTCAACAACCACAACATGTTTATTATTTTATCCTCTTGATGGGCATGTAGGCAGTTTCTAGTTTTTATCTAATTAAAATAATTCTGCTATGAACATTCTTTTACAGGTCTTTTGGTTTCCCTGTTGTGTATATATACGTAAAATTTATGAGTCATAGGGTATGACCAGATGCACATCCAGATTTACTAGATTCTGCAAACAAATTTCCAATGTTGTTGTACCACTTCATACTCCAACCAGCAAAATATGAGTTCCAGTTGCTCCATATCCTTGCTCATACCTTTCTTCTTTCCTTGCCTCTTTCCTTCCTCCCTTCCTCCCTCCCTTCCTCCCTCCCTTCTCTCCTTCCTTTCTCTCTCTTTCAAGAGCTGATATACTTAATTGTCAGTTCCCGGTACCTGAATCTGTGCCTCACTGTGATGTATTAAAATTTCTTCCCCTCCAAAGCTGAAGATACCTCGGGCAGTTCCTGTTCTCAAAATGGATGCACCATCTTCAAGTACCACTCTAGCCCAATATGACAACGAATCAAAGAAAAACTATGGCTCCCAGCCACCATCTTCAAGTACCAGTCTAGCGCAATATGACAGCAACTCAAAGAAAATCTATGGCTCCCAGCCAAACTTCAACATGCAGTATATTCCAAGGGAAGACTTCCCTGACTGGTGGCAAGTAAGAAAACTGAAAAGGTAATCCCCAGCTTTCAGACGGGCTGCCCAGCATGTAGAGTAAACACTACCCCGGCTGCCCTGGACCTCAGCCTCAAAGCTGTTGATCCAGGTCTTAGGCTGTCCTCTCAGAAAATGTTCAGTGCTTGAGCCAGAAGTCTGGGGAAGCAGTGGCCCCACTGGGGCTGAGAAGCATAGATTTTCCATTTAGATTATCCAATCTAATGATCTCAGTAATGCCTGATCATTGTATTCCCTTCCCTTTCTCCTCCTTCTCCCCCCAAATATCTCCACATTCCAGAATACAGAATCTTTAAAAATCTATCCTTTATATGAAAGAGCTTAGGATGGGCTTACTTTTGTAATGTGCTTCAGTATCACTAGCCAAATGGCAAATAGCATTTCAAGCAAGGCCATGGCTTGCCTTCTTGGAATGTACAACCTCACCTCTCCTGACCTGATTAGTCTTCTCACAGTTTTTAGCCTAAAGATTCTATCTAAAGCCAGAATTGAAAATTCCTTGAAGGCAACATGTAAATTGTGTATGTATGTATCTCTTGGTATGGCACTGAATTTGCCCTACACTTGATGCCCAATAAATGTTGAATTGAATTGCAAGATGACCATATGGAAAGGGTCAAGTGACTCCCCTTCCTTATTTCCTGTCTCAGACCTCCTTCCTATCATGTTGTCTACTCTCTGCCATCTTCTCACTCAGTTATCAGCATCCCTGCAGGGAAGTCATGTCTGCCTTTCCCCACAATGGATACAGAGCATCTCTCTGACTCACCATGTATCTCTTTTCTTAGTTATTTTTCCCATGTCCTTTTATTCCTTTGTTCTTTCCATCTTCATCATTTTTGCCTAAAGCCAATTACTGAAAGTTTCAATAATACAGGGCCATATGGAATTTGAAATAATGTAAGTGTGTTCTTCTTGATTTTTTTTCAGTATAATAAGCCATGGTCCCTTTCATTCCAAAGTGGAGCTAGAATCCTAGTGTATTAATCTATACCTGGTGCCCAAGGTATGGGGTTACATTTGTGCGCCTGCAGCCCACCATTCTTGTGGAAGGAGAGGATCAGTAAACCCAGTTGCAAGGAGAGTGAAAGTCATGTTAATTGTGTTCCAGGTCCCCTTCCTGACAGAAACTCCAGTGATTCATTGAGAGAGGTGTGAGGTGAAGCTGACTGCCCTGTTTTCAAATAACCAGGAGGAACTGTCGATTCACATGGGGTTGCTGCCATTATTGAGTTTTTGACACTCCTTTAGATTTGCACCTCCTTAGGTTTAGTCCCAACTGTGGATTTTCCCTAGAACTTCAGGAAGCTAGTTATTTTAACAAAGGATTGATTGATCACCTCTTAGCATGAGCAGCATTGCATCTGCAAGTAAATTATAATAATTGCTAAAAGGTCTTCATGGAGCTTGACTTTTTAAAGTGCAGCCATGATTCTTATCTCATATATGGGATAATACTTTTTATCAACTTTCTGTCATTCTTACAATCTTCCCTGAGCTTCTTTTTAATCTACTTTCTGTTTAGTAAGATAATCTATGCCCCCATTAAATCATTCAAATATTACAGAATATTCCATTTACATTCCCCTAAAATGTTTTCTATGCACATGTGGCCATGTGCATACAAAAGCAAGTAAGTTCTCACGATACAGTCTTTGTCATTTGTTCTTTTCACTTGACATCTTCAGCATTTTTCCTATTTGAATACATGAGGATACACCTGACTTTTAAAATTTCATTTTCATTTAATTTTGGTGAAATATACATAACATAAAGTTTACCATCTTAATTATTTTTGAGCATACAGTTCAGTAGTGTTAAGTACATTTACATTGTTGTGCAAATTGCCTGATTATTTTTAATGTCTGTAAGTACCAGTTGTATAGATACTAGGTAAACCTAAGTGATGCACTATTGATGGACATTCTCTAAGTGTTTTTAGAAACAACAAGGCTAAATAAAAGCTATTCTAGTGGGCAAGGCTCTTTGGGAAGGTGGAGAGAGAGGCATTTTAGAGTTTAAGGGCTTTATCTAGGCATTCCTTGAAATAGAGCCAGGGGAGCATTTCCTTGCTAAGGAAACTTGTTTCTATGAACTGTGGTTTTGAAAAAAGTCTGGACTATGAAGGCAAACAGGAAATAGGTTCCACATTCCAGATAAAACAGCCTTTAGACTTTGAGAGGTAGGCACTTCTTCATGCTCTGCTTAATACCCCAAATAAAAGAGATAAAATGATCTATGGCAGAGGATGATGAAAATCCTCCTTATCCATCTGTGTCCAGAAGGAGTAAAAAGATCAGCATTTTCAAGAATTTTAATTGTAGTCACAATAGCTAAGAGGAAAATAAGTTATTTTAAAATATATAAGTGACAGAATGCTTGCATATATATAAGAAAATCAGGGCAAATCCAGTCAAGATGATTTATTAATCTAGATTTTCCATTGTTTAAGATAATTATGAGCCATTATTAACAATTTTCTTTTGTTTAGAAGTGTTGCCAGACTACTGCTTTTATTGGAATGCCTGAAAGAACCAAAATGTGAAAGTAACTCATTAGCTTAAATTTCCCAAACAAGTGAAATGTGTGGGTCAAAATGTCAAATAAAGCTAAAACATATCTGAACAAAATTACTTTTGTCATTTAAAATTTATAAGTAGACATATGTTTATAAACTTATAAAATGTCTCTTTTTTGCAGTAGCAGCAGCAGTGAAGATGTTGCAAGCAGTAACCAAAAAGAAAGAAATGTGAATCACACCACCTCAAAGATTTCATGGTAAATCAAATTCAGATATCTCCTACATCCAGAATATGCTTCCATTTTCAGGAAAACTAACCAAACTTGCAATAATTTTGCAGCTAGGCTTTCTACTTAAGGTAAATATAAACCAAAAAAGTCTATGTAGTTTGCCTCTCTGAACCCTGAATGGATGGCTTTTGGGTTCTAGTTTTTCTTGAACTGACTATTCCTAGCCAGCATCCATGACATACACCAGTAGTAGCACCAACATTAGTATACCTGACCCAGGCATCTCTAGCAGGAAGAAAAGCAACCTAGAGTTGAATAACTCTTCCATAAGAATAGCTATATACACAACCCAATTTTTTTTTAACTTGATACTACAGCCATCTCTGAAGGAGTCTTCATCTATTTCGTGAGCCCACTCTTTGGAAAAAGTCAAAGAAATATAAGTTCTTCTGGGGGCCTCCTGGGGATCTCCTGTATCAAAGAACCATTCTTTCATTAAAACTTGGCATAAGCCCAACTTTTGAGTGACTCTCTCTTTACTGTTGCTGTGTTGATACTTTGCCAGGTGCAGAAGGAGAAACCTAACAATCTAAATGTTATTTAGGTGGATAAAATCAGGGTGGGATTTGATATTGCATGGCTACGCACTTGGATTATTTCTTGGTGCTTTTCTGCACTCACGTTTTTCTCAACTCTTCTTAAGGGAATTCCCTGAGTCAAGTTCATCTGAAGAAGAGGAAAACCTGGATGATTATGAGTGAGTATTGAAAGTCTTCTGGGTTCTTCTAAAATTAGACATAGATACTTCTACTCTCTTCCTCAAAGACATTAAAACAGATGGCTGAGACCGTCTCAGGAGGCTGTATTTACATGGGTAAACTCACGTAATGTTCTGGGTCATTTATCTAGATGACAGGTGACAATGAGCTGGGTTGTTACCAACGAAAATATTTTCCCCAAAACTGGATTATCTAAATTGGATGCAAATACTTATTGGATTTATCGTATGTCCAGCGTCACCTTCATTTCACTTTACCTTTGTAGATGTAGCATATAATGTTTCTGCTCATTATTTCTTTCCTGGAGACCTCTAATTAAGGTGATGTTTGAAAGCTCTTATTAACATTGAGTAATATTTTTGGAGAAGTTATTAATGATGCAGTAATTTTACAGGGTAGCACAAATGAGACCTTGAACATGGCAATATTTATGTCGACAGATCTCTATTCTTAGGATGACCTTGTCATTTTTTTTTTTTTTTTTTGAGACAGAGTTTTGCTCTTGTTGCCCAGGCTGGAGTGCAGTGGCATGATCTCGGCTCATTGCAACCTCCACCTCCTAGGTTCAAGCAATTCTCCTACCTCAGCCTCCCGAGTAGCTAAGATTACAGGCGCCTGCCACCATGCCCAGCTAATTTTTGTATTTTTAGTAGAGACAGGGTTTCGCCATGTTTGCCAGGCTGGTCTTGAACTCCTGACCTCAGGTGATCCACCCGCCTCGGCCTCCCAAAGTGCTGGGATTACAGGCGTGAGCCACCTCACCCAGCCAACCTTTTCATTTAACATCAAAATTGGGATACTTTAGAAAGAGAAAAAGTGCACTATTAAAAATTATACCCGTTAATAATAACTTAATTATACATTTTAAAATAACTTAAAGAGTATAATTAATTGTTTGTAACTCAAAGGATAAATGCTTGAAGGGATGGATACCCCATAATCCATGATGTGATTATTATGCATTGCATGTCTGTATCAAAATATTTCATGTACCCCATAAATATATATACCTGCTATGGTGAGCCGAGATGGCGCCACTGCACTCCAGCCTGGGCGACAGAGCAAGACTCTGTCTCAAAAAAAAAAAAAAAAAAAAAAAACAACACAAACACACACACACACACACACAAATATATATATATATATATATATATATATATATATATACACACACACACACACACATATATATATACCTGCTATGTACTCACAAAAATTAAAATAAAAATTACACCTGGACATTTGACATAAACTGGACTTCTGGGCAAATAAGAACGTGTGGTCACCCCAACTATACTGAGAAGGTTGGCCTAAGTGGCTATTAAGGTTCTTTCCAAAATCTAAGGGTCTATCATTCTACAAATAGGGACAAATAATTGTCTCCTAGATGTAAAGATTAGTGTTAAGAAGAGGTGGGAATAATAGAGCATATTGCATTTCTCAGACACTTGATACCAAATGGCACAGAATTCACTTGAACACTAGGATTATGCATATTTCCAGTTCTGTTTTTGTACAAGTGTTGTATTATTGATTTATTGATTACATGTGAAACGAGAGCTTTTACAAAGTACATGCTACTGTTTTCACTCCTCCTCTCATCTCTAACCCAGCCTGGTCCTAGCCATACCTGTTGCATTGGGGAAGATGTGCTGTACCCTCCACATCTTTGTGGCATGGTCTCTTTATCACCTTCTAGCTCTCTTTCGGCTTTACTTTCTTCCCTAACATCTATTCTCAGGAAAGCATTGATGGAATAATTCATACTAAGACATAAAAGACTGAGAATGACCAACGCATGGTCATTTCCAAAGATAATTGCACTTTAATGAAACACAAAGACTTAAACCAATGGGAGTGAACCTCTAATTGTGGATTGTACTCTTTAGCATTTAAATAAATTAGAAGTCTTTCCCTGATTGGGTAAGCCCAGATATGACCATTTAAACAGTCTCTATTCCCATCTTTTCTGAATGCAAGTGGTGTGTGAGAGACAGACATTGAGGAAATTATCAGGGAAGACTTGTCCTCTTCAAAATCAAAAAGATACCAAAAGGAGCTCGGGATTATAGGGCTATAGGATCTGGGACTCAGTCACCTCACATTGTGCTTAATGCTCCCAGCTTCCTATTCTATCAGTGTCATGGGAGTTTTTGTTTTATGGCCATAACTTCATGAGCAATTCCAGTCAATTCCATTAAAGACAGAAGCACTAAGCCCTGAGATTTAGATAGAAAATCGTGTGTTAAGACTAGGCCTGGCCAGGTACAGTGGCACATGCCTATAATCCCAGCACTTTCAGAGGCTGAGCTAGGCAGATCTCTTGAGCTCAGAAGTTTGAGACCAGCCGGGGCAACATGACAAAACCTCATCTCTACAAAAATACAAAAATTAGCCAGGTGTGGTTGCCCATTCCTGTAGTCCCAACTACTTGGGAGGCTGAGGTGGGAGGATCACTTGAGCCCGGGAGGTCGAGGCTGTAGTGAGCCGAGATCATACCACTGCACTCCAGCCTATGTGACAGAGTGAGACCCTGTCAAAAAACAAAACAAACAAAAAAAAACCTTAGGCCTAGGACTCTGCTGCTCTGTCATTGAATACTGAAATATTATTTAAAACAATAAGAGGCAGGCCTCAGCAAAATTATGACACAGGCAACGTTTGTATGTGTGTGGGAGGTATAATGTATAGGGTACATAGGTTATATCACCTTGCCTCTCCAGGCCTCTCTCCTGATTCTTGATTTTCTTCCTTCTATTCCCCTGTAGGTATATATCCTGTATCACAGCCCCTGAAGGGCCTTTTGATTAGCTAGTATTACCTTAAAATGTTGACTAATAAGAAAAACGATCAGTTAAAATTTCAAGTGTTAGTTATACAGTATCCATAATGGTAGAGTTAAAAGAGACTTTCAAACTTATCAAGATCAACCCTCTCCCTAGTTTTACAGGTAGGGAAGTCCAAGGTCAAACAAGGCCAAGTGGCTTGTTCAAAGTCATACAATTACACATAGGGAAGTTATGCCTAGAACCCAGACCTCCAAGCTGGGTGACCTAAGGCTCTTTCTATTTTATTGAGCTGTCCACCAGCTGACATCCCTTCCCAAAACTCATACAGAGATTATACAAAGAATCACTTCCCATCCATTCCTGCCAAGTTCTGAGATACCTTCTACATTGAATTTCTCCTATAACTCCTCCCTTCTACCCTCACCCCCCTCTTGTACTTATTTCCTCTGCAGATGTTATCTTCTAGCCAGTGGGTCCTCCCACTCACCCAAACCCATGCTACATCCCACCTCATGCCCTGCTTTTACTCATTTCCTAAGTAGGACATTCTGTCTAAAGCCCAAAGGCCACAGACATTATTGCCCTCACATGAGAAACAGCTCTTGGCCTGTTGAGCTCCACATATAAAGTAAAAGCATTTGATGTGAAAATAGATGTTATAATCAGATTATTACAAGGAAATTATATGATTGGAAGACAAGAGCTTTCATCCTTGGCAGCCCTGACTTTCCTCTTGGAATATTCTTCATAGGTCTAATCTCTAGCCCTTACTCAAAATGGTAAAATGTAGGAAAACTTAGAAGTCACCTAGAAGAAAACCAAAGATTCCTAAATGCCAGCCCATTTAAAAATTAGATGTGCAGACTCCACCCCAACATCAGAATTTAGTAGTGGGGACTTAAGCATTTGTATTTCTGAAAAGCTCCTCAAATCATTCTCTGGAGCAGTTAGGCTTGGAAACCCCTGAGGTAAGCCAATGCCTCATTTTACAGATTAGAAAGTTGAGTGTCAAGCTATACAATCTAAAACTTATTGATTCTCACATATAATTTTTTTCCTTTTGCAGCTGGTTTGCTGGTAACATCTCCAGATCACAATCTGAACAGTTACTCAGACAAAAGGTAAATAGTCTTGTCTTTAAAACAGCCTCACAGAATCTCTTTGCATTTTGGGGTCCAGAGGTTGATGCATTTCTCATAGAAACCTTCCTGCTAATTATATAGTCAAGTCATTGTAGTGTTGCTTGTCCAGTCTGTGGGTTGCCCGACTCTTCATGTCTAGCCACTACTTCTGTGTCCATTATGTATTGCTGCATAATAAACCACTCCTAAATTGGGTGGCTTGAAACAGTGGGATTTATGATATCTCATGATTCTGTGAGTCAGCTGGGCCAGCAGTTCTTAGGCAAGTTTTGCTTAGGGGCACTCCTGTGGCTGCATTTGGGTCGTGGATTGACTGGGGGCTTGGGTTTAGCTGAGGCAGTCAACTGGAGTTCCACAGTTCTTCCCCAAGCAGTCTCTCCATGTGCCTCACTTGGGCCTCCTCACAGCATGGTGATCTCAAGGCAGTAGTTGAAGAGGACGAGCCCCACAGTGCAAGCACTTTTCGAGTCTCTGCTTTTGTTGTGTTTGCTAAGGTCCTATTGGTCATAGCAAGTCACATGGCTCAGCCCAGAGTCAGTATGGGAGGGGACTGCTCACAGCATGAATAAGAGAGATGATTTATCGGAGGCCGTCAATGTAGCCATTAACCTCAGCTCTGTCACTGCTCGTTAGCACCTAGACCAGAGTATAGCAGATGTGATACAGAACATGTTTATCTGACTTTATTACTAATTGATATGGAATGCCAGTAGCAAACTCTTTTGATTTCTAAAAATGACACTTTGATATAGTTTAACCTGATAAAAACACTAAACATTACACTTATTTCTTTGAGGGGTGCTAGTGAGAATGTAATGACTTCATTTGGCGTTTTGTCACATTCATAGTTTATAATCTGCTCTTTCTGAACTTTGATCTGCTTAGAATTAGCACAAATCATTGAGAAAGACAACTTGAGTATAGAACTTTATCAACTGATTTATTCTTGATCTTTGGTTTTCTAAAACCTTCCAAAGGCATGATACGGTGATACACGGTTCTAAATTGTATTTCTTAAAGATGAAAACATTAGGCTTGCATAAGCACAACACCGAGAAAAGTAAGTGATAGGGTTAAATATTAATTGGAGAGGAAGAGTTCATACACATACACATACACATAGAGCAGATCTATAAAGAGATTGAGTGAGAAACCTGTGCCTTTTGTGATATATAAAGTCAATCTAAAAGATTTGTTTTCCAACTACCTACCATGCAAAATCATTTTCAAGAATGATGAAAATATTTTCTATTCCTTCTATATTTTCCTTCCTTTTCAGGGAAAAGAAGGAGCATTTATGGTTAGAAATTCGAGCCAAGTGGGAATGTACACAGTGTCCTTATTTAGTAAGGCTGTGAAGTAAGTATGATACGGATTAATTTCTTTTCTCTTTCTGCGTATATTCTTTGAATATGCTGGTCACAATCACATTTTGGGATAAGACATCATCTTTAAACTCTGGAATTTTAAATCAAAGTATTTCTATTGAATGTGACCATTTGTAGTTGCCTCCACCACTCTCACCCCACTGCCCCACCATCCTTGCCCCACTACTTTCAAGAGGCCATTCTCTGGCTAATCCTCTCCTGCCCCACTCCAGGCAGTAACAGAGTGCCCAGAGCACAGCATGCCTCAGTAAATGTTTATTAAGAGACTCTCGGGTGATTCCCTTTCATTCAGGTCTAAGCCTGGAAAGAAAAAAAATAGCAATGGAGCGTCTATACTCTCAGCCCTAGCCACCTGCTGAGCAAAGATGCCTACTCCAGTGTCCAGTTCTTAGTAAGCCCTTCCACTGGGTGCAGAGTTAGCAGAAGGTTGACTCAGTGCTGCTGTGTTCTCTACACAGCTTCCTTCCAGGGCTCTGTCCTCTTTGTGTGACTAAAAGTTCTTGTTTGAAGCCAAACTTCTAGATCCAAATCCTGGCTCTACTATTTCAATAGGGCTTTGTGACATTGAGCAAGTTTCTCAGCCTCTGTGCCTCAACTTCTTCATTTGAAAGGGGAACATAATGATTGTTACGTTCTATGAGTGGGGTGAGTTAATTAATATATTATATCCAGAACAGTGCCTGACACATAGTAAGCACTTAATAAACTAATAGTACTTACTATTATTGTTGTTGTTGTTGCTGGGGAAGGGTAGTTCTACCTGCTCCACTCCCTGTACCCTAACACTTGGGCATAAAAGACACCCCACAGTCATCTCATGCAAATCATCATCAAAATCCTTCTCCAGAGTTTTACAAGCCACTTTCTTATTGGTAGTTAGCTCTTTTTTTTTCCTTCTAATCGTCCTCCAAAGCAAATGGGAAAGCTGTTTTTATTTATACCATATTGCAGATGAGAGGATTGAGGTTCAAAAAGAGCTTATAAAGACCTACCTGGAGCTACTAAGTGACTAATTTGAAGCTGGGCTTCCAATAGCCAAGTCATGTTTCTTTATCTACACCTCTGTGTTTACACTGAACCCCCAGTGTTTTGGAATGAGAATCTGGTCAAATATTGATTCGGATCTTCTTTTAAATTTCTATGTGTGCAACTCTTTTTTAGCAGCTAGATTGAATGATCGTCTGCCTTGGTGCCTTCCCCATGTGCCCTACCCCACAGTGCATATATGTATATTTATAATAATTAAGTAATAAAAACGTTATTTTATTTTGAAATTTTTTACAGAGTGCCTACCTACACTTGAGATAATAGGATGTACCTGAATTGTCCCACAGCACTTTCCAATGCCAGAATCCATGTCCCCAGTGTATCTCATATATTATTTTGCACATGGTAACACCTGGATGCTGGCTAAAGCCAACCCAGTAAGAATCAGGAGAAGACTTTGTTGACTATCAAAAGTTTTGTGGCCTTCTGGCCCTGCAGTTTCAGCCAAACCTGGTATCAGATGTCCTTGTAGTTGAGTTTCTTGACTACAGATTCATTTTTTAAGGTAGCCAGGTAGATAAATCAGCAAATAGATAAAGAATCAAATGAATACAGAAGCCCTCTTTTATGAAACCTCATCAATGGCCTTGAGTGAATTGTATGCTGACACCAAAAGCTGATTAAACATTTGCAGCAAAGAGAAGAACCATTTCTCCTTTTGTACTTGCAATTTTTACTCGGTTGATGTTACAGCAACAATTTTTTAATTTTTTAGCTTTTATTTTAAGTTGATTGGTACATGTGACAGGTTTGTTATATAGGTAAACTCTTGTCATGTGGCTTTCTTGTAGAGATTATTTCATCACCCAACTACTAAGCCTAGTGTTCAATAGTTATTTTTTCTGCTCTTCTCCCTCCTCCCACCCTCCACCCTCAAGTAAGCCTCAGTGTCTACTATTTTCCTCTATGTGTCCATGTGTTGTCATCATTTATCTCCCACTTACAAGTAAAAATATGTGGTATCTGGTTTTCTGTTCCTGTGTTAGTTTGCTATACAGCAACAATTTATTAACTGTTTCTTATATGCCAGGCATAACCATATAGGTAGCTAGCAAGTGATAGAACTAAACTCAAAGCCTGGTTCTTGACCACTATGTCATTGTCTACAATCTAAGACAGGTGTATTATTCCTGATTAGCTTAAATCAACGTGCATCAATTCAGCATTATTGTATAAAAGCAGAGGAAAAGAAAAAAGTGTTTTATGTGGAGAAGGTACAAGTTCACATGAGGAATTAAAGGACATCCTCACCTACTTCATTCTGCATGCCCCAAAAGAGCCTCCTCCCATGTTTTGGGGTGAGGATACCCAACAGCCTAATCACCTTTACCTCTCTCATTTCCACCTCCATTATTATCCTATAAGATAATTTATGTTCAGAATAATGATCCTGAAGAACTACAAGCCTCTCTCGATCATCAAAGAAAGATTCCAGTTTTATACACTTACTAAGGGAGGAGAAGCCTGGAAAGTTGGAATTTTACTGTACATGAAATCTATATGTGCACCAAAAGATACATTGAGTTCAGAGAAGAACTCTCTTCCATAATTACTTTTATAGTTACACCAGATTTCAAGACTGAGAAAAACACCAGATGCCAAGCCTGAGAAAACCTCCCTGACTTCCCTCTCCAAAATTTGCAAATGCACCTAAAATAATTATTTAACCCTTGCTTAATCAAGCTTTATTGTTTATTTTAAATGTTCTAACATTCTTTCTGTTACTAGTGATAAAAAAGGAACTGTCAAACATTACCACGTGCATACAAATGCTGAGAACAAATTATACCTGGCAGAAAACTACTGTTTTGATTCCATTCCAAAGCTTATTCATTATCATCAACACAATTCAGCAGGTAACTTATTTTAGTTTTTCTTTTATGGGCCCTTGTTGTAAAACAGCAATTTTCCTGGATACTACTGATCCTCCTAATATTCTTAATTATATAGGGAACCATGAAAGTAGGAAAAAATCCTCTCAAGTCTTTTGCCTATCATAATTTTTAGCTTACATTCCCAGGAATATAACATGATTCTCTCCTTAATGCCAGAAAGAATGAAATTGAGTAAACTGGGTGACTTAGAAAGAGAAATTCTCTTTATAAAAATATTCGTAGGGTTTTTCTGTGTATAGAAGCAAGAGGATTATAAATTTAAAATATTATAGAAATATATACATATCGTTGGATCATGGACCAGTTGTCTATTATGACAGGGTTTTTTGCATGCTGCCACTAGCACTTACTAATCATTACATATATAAATAGAAATTATATATTATGTATATACATTACATTTTTACAGAGATGAGATCATTCTACACATATTGCTCAGCTTGCTTTCTTTACTCAACATGTCTTAGAAGTCTTTCCACGCAAACACAAAGAGCTTACTTTGGTCTATTTAACAGCTGTGTAGAATTCTATCATAGTTACCCCATAATTTATTCACCTAGCCCTCTGTTGATTAGCAGTTGGATCATGTCCAGTATTTTCACATTATAATGGATGTTTCAGTGCACAATTCTGCATGCATAGCTCTGTCCATCTATATGAGGGGTTCTATAGCCAAATCCCTAGAAATGGAATTTCTGAGACAAAGGCTAAGAATACTTAAAATGTACAGATTGCCAACTGCTTTTCAGAAATGTACAATCCTACTAACAACATTTTCTTTCATCCTCACCAACACTGGGTGCTATTAGTCTTCTAAATTTTTGCCTAATCAACTGGTGGAAATACATCTAGAAATACCCTCTGTTTTCTAGAATAGTGCCACTTAAGAGCAGTGGCTGGATGAATTTCCAACAGTGAGTAAAAATAAGCCATAAGCTCAGCACTTAATTTGTGTTACTTTATATGACTTGATTGCATGCATGTAGGTGAATTGACCTCACTTCTGGCTTTCATTTTGGCTCTTACTGATGTTTTTCCTTTGCCCCAATTTCCTCAATTGTTTATTTTAACCTGTAGTACCTCAGAAGTACCTTTTGTAAAAGGTATTGCACAAAGAGATGCACAGGAAACTTCACAGGATATCAGAAGGAAATATTAAGATGTTTATTTATATTTGGATTTTTATCTCATTCTCTTACATTTTCTGTTTGTGAGTTTATTTTTATAATTCACACCAAATATATATTTTATAGAAATGTACTAATTTTTACATTTTAATTAATTAATTTAGTTGATTAAAGGTAAAGGATTTTAAAAGTTTGGAGACCACTCATATAAAAACCAGACAAATATATAGAAAAAGGAAGGAGGGGAAAAGTACATGTGTGATAGATAGGTCCCTTGACTTGGAGAGCATTCCACATTTAAAGCAAAAAACATATATACATATATTTTAATGGGTTCTTTCAAGCCACTATTAAATTTTATAATTACTTTAACCCAGTTTTACCATAACTAAATATAAACAATTAAAATGGCTTGACCACTTAATGAAACTTAGTAATAGGTTCAGTTTTTAAAAATTCAGATGGCTTATTATTTTTACCCTTCTGTATTGTTTGAATTTTTTGTCAAATGTATGTGCTGTGTGTATACATATTTTAAGCATAAGATTGTAAAGAGATAGCAAAAAAGAAGGGGGAGAATTTTAAAAGATTACATCATGCAATTAATTTCTATGGGATTTTTAAAAATCACATACAGTGTTTTATTCATTTAATTTTCGCTTTGCATTAAGCTAATTAGTCAAGTTAAGCACAACTACAACTGAATGGATTCTCTCTCTGCATTACAACATTCTGAACTCTTTGCTTTTTCAGCCACTTTGGAGAGAGACTAGTTGTGAACCAATGTTACATAATGTGATGGGATATGATATAATGATGTGATGATATGATGCTGATTCCATTGCAGGCATGATCACACGGCTCCGCCACCCTGTGTCAACAAAGGCCAACAAGGTCCCCGACTCTGTGTCCCTGGGAAATGGTATGGATACATACTTGGGTTCTTAAACTCCATTTTCCATCATTTTTTATTTAAATATATGGTTAATTTACTGGCAAAAAAAAAAAAAAAGGAGGAAAGACAGGAAGGAGGCCTCTGTTCAGATTGTATCAGGAAGGATTTTCTTTAAAAAAAAAAAAAATCTGTCCTCTCAACCTAAATCTGTAAGCTTCTAGAATCACCAAGAAGATCATCAATTTGTTTTCTTATCAGACCCCATTATTAGCCTCCAGCACACCATTGTCTGTCCTATCTTTTTCCTGGATTTTGTGCCCACTGAGCAGAGCCAGTATTCAACCTTGTGTGTTAGGACGATCACATCCACTGCGATCACAGTTTAATTTTTTTATTAAAAAAATCTGACAATGTTTTACCAATCTAAGGACATCGAGTACATTTTGATGCTAAGCCTCTCCAAGATGCCTCTGATTGGCAAATTGTTTTTACTCTGAGCCTTCTTGTTAAATAACTGTAGCTACTTCAAGAATAGTGTTACCCTGGTGCCATTATCACGTAGCCACAAGACCACATCACTAAGGGTTTTTTTTTTTAACTTATCAACTTAAAATAAAAAGTCTTGTTTATATTGTCACTGTGAAACTCCCATTGGAGAAGAAATCACTTGGGAAGCTGTTAGCCCCAAAGCTTTCTATGCTCGTCCTAAAGAATGTCCGTCTTGCCTTGTTAGGAATCTGGGAACTGAAAAGAGAAGAGATTACCTTGTTGAAGGAGCTGGGAAGTGGCCAGTTTGGAGTGGTCCAGCTGGGCAAGTGGAAGGGGCAGTATGATGTTGCTGTTAAGATGATCAAGGAGGGCTCCATGTCAGAAGATGAATTCTTTCAGGAGGCCCAGACTATGATGTAAGTTTTTCCCAAGGAATGGCTGTTTAGCCCTCATCATGGGAGGGCATTAGCACTAATAGGCCTGCTGTTAACTTTGCAAGGCCTAGAGCAAAAGTCCACATACTGTATCATAGACATAAATATTTAGAAGTTATAAATTGAACTAACAGACTATTAAATCAAATCAGTCTTATGCTCCTACTTTGACAAATATACCTTCATAACAACCTGAAAGGCCATATTCAAATTGAGAATTCCCAAGACTCTACAAAGAAACCAGCCTCTGGCCTGTGGTCTTCCAAACTCCACCCCTCCTGCTTCTCCCCTCATACCCAACTCCGTCCTGCACTATAAGGGGCCTCAGTAGTTATGTACAGACACAGCATTCAGTACACACAAGCTCCCTCTTTGTCTCCCGCAAACAATTATCTAGTGGCTAATGATCTTGGCTAGGGGTAGTGTGCTTTACCCTTAAGCGGACAGACTCCTTAAGGAAGAGTCAGCACAGGTCCTGAAAGAGGCCTCAGGACTATATGGTTGGGTGATTTCAGAGTCCTGGTGCTCTAAGGGTGGCAGAGAAAGGGACATATAGGGTCGGAGTAGGCATGTCTCCTTGGCCCTGTGGCCTCCTTGCCCTGTGGGGAGGTGCATGGTGGGATGAAGAACAGAGTGGGGCTACCACCCAGAACTAATGCAGTACTGAAAATTAATGCTCTACCAACAATATCCTTTTCCTTCTTGGTACCTTCAATACAGTCTAATACTCTTCCTAATGTGTCTCAGCTCCCAGCACAACAGCCTTCAATTATTGGCAATACATATGTGTTCTCTTTCCCTCTGTGTCTTCTCTCTCTCTCTCTCTTCCCCCTCTCTCTCTTTCTCTCTCCCTCTCTCTCCCTCTTCCTCTCTCTCCTTCTCTCTCTCTCTCCCTCTCTCTCCCTCTCTCAGTTGTATATAATTCTCCCTCTTCTTGTCAACATAGTAAATCAGACTTTGTAGAGTGACCACCATTCAGGTTTGCTGAGGTCTGGGAGGTTTTAGCACTGAAAGTCCTGTGTCCTAGGAAACCTCCCAGCCCCAGGCAAACCAGGACAGTTGGTCACTCTACTTTTAGAGAATCAATCAGTATGGTATGAAAAATGATGTTATAGTAGGTCTCTGGTCAAAAATAGTTGAAATAAAAAAATTCCTAGCCTGCTAGAGATTGAGAGCACTTTTTAAATTTTTACTTAAACAGTTATACTGTACAGTGTTTACAGGCATTTCTCTAAGCACTTTACAAATATTAACTCACTTAATCCCCATAAGAAACCTATGAGGGTTGTACCATCGTTATCTTAGATTTACAGGAAACCGAAGCACAGAAATGTTGAATAACTTGTCCAGAGTCGGCAAGCTAGTAAAAGTCGAAAAGCAGAGATACAAACCCAGGCAGACATTCTAGGGTCCATTTCTTTAGTTATTCTTTTATGAAGACCAAAGGAATTAGGAAAGTCAGAACAATCACTTTTACCATAATTGCAAAATTATTTGGAAGCAGAGATGCTATGTGAATATAGGCCTTTGGCCCTAGCTGGCTTCATGGGCATATGAGATCTGCACAGTTGCAAGGGCCTAGAAGTACCTAGTACCTAGAAGGTACCTAGAAGGGCACAGTACCTAGAAGGGCCCTGTGCTTGGTTTAATGCTCTGCTGTTGTCATCTTGAAGTAATACTTCGTGATTTTTAAACAAGGATTCCTGCATTTTCATTTTGCATTGGTGCCTGCAATTATGTAACTGGTTCTGCCTTCAGTGATTGGACTGTCATAAAACTGGGAAGGGGGCCCCTGATATTCTCCTCTTGTAGGACAGGAAAATCTGGCAGAAACTTTCTGCCAGATTTTTCTCATGGTTACAGGCTCATGATGTAACCTCTGTGTCTTGGTGTAACTTTAAAACATATTTTTGCCATTACCAAGCTGGTATCCATAAAAAAATCACAAGAAGTCATTTAAAAACATCACCTAATCATAAAGAAAAACGTCAAACTGTGCCACAATGGGAAAAAGTCTAATCCCAAATGTAGGGGTCAAGCTGAAGCCTATCATGTGGGGAATATCAGTTAATATGGCGCCCTCACCTTGAGCCACCTGGGCAGTGACTGAATTTGTTCAAAGAATATTTCTTTATTGGGTGATGGACCTTTGTGCCATCACAAGCCTTCCCTCTGAAGGGAGCAGTGTTGAGTACCATGCAGGTCTCCAAAACTGCTAAAAGATGAATACTCCCAAGCTCATCAACTTGAGTGACATGATAAGCATTGTCCCTATAGTTAAACTAAGAAGGAAGAAAATAACTAAAAATTTAATAAATTCTTATTAAAATATTTAAAACTTCACATGTTAAATTTAGATTTCTTTACACATTTGAACATTACAGAATAATCCTGTAAATTGTTAAAATTAGATTAATCATATAAGAACAAGTTAATGAGCTTGTAAAAACTGAGTGTCCCTTCTCAAAAGAAGACATTTATGCGGACAACAAACATATGAAAAAAAGCTCATCATCACTTGTCATTAGAGAAATGCAAATCAAAACGACAGTGAGATACCATTTCACGCCATTTAGAATGGCAATCATTAAAAAGCCAGGAAACAACAGATGCTGGAGAGGATGTGGAGAGAAATAGGAACGCTTTTACACTGTTGGTGGGAGTGTAAATTATTTCAACCACTGTGGAAGACAGTGTGGTGATTCCTCAAGGATCTAGAACCAGAAATATCATTTGACCCAGCAATCCCAGTACTGGGTATATATTCAAAGGATTATAAATCATTCTACTATAAAGACACATGCACACATATGTGTATTGCAGCACTATTCACAATAGCAAAGACTTGGAACCAACTCAAATGCCCATCAATGTTAGACTGGATAAAGAAAATGTGGCACATATACACCATGGAATACTATGCAGCCATAAAAAAGAATGAGTTCATGTCCTTTGCAAGGACATGGATGAAGCTGGAAACCATCATTCTCAGCAAACTAACACAGGAACAGAAAACCGAACACCGCATGTTCTCACTCATAAGTGGAAGTTGAACAATGAGAACACATGGACACAGGGAGGGGAACATCACACACTGGGGCTTGTTGGGGGGTGGGGGATAGGGGAAAGATAGCATTAGGAGAAATACCTAATGAAGATGACGGGTGCAGCAAACCACCATGGCACATGTATATATATGTAACAAACCTGCACGTTCTGCACATGTATCCCAGAACTCAAAGTATAATAAAAAAAAAAATAAAATTTAAAAATCAACTTCTGCGTGGCAACAAAACAAAATAAAAACCCTATGCAAACTAAAAGACAAATGATAAACTGAGCAAAATTATTTGTAATTCATATTATGGACAAAAGACTAATCTCCCCAAAAAGGCTAATACCTCCAAACTCATTAACAACTACACTACTGCACTGTTTGTTTGTACAATGGATCACTCAGAGTCAGCTCAGAATCTAAGAGTAAAGTACATGTCAATCCAAAAATGTGTCCAAATTCACTGAAATACAATGTAGAACAGAAAAGAAAGAGTAATTGGAGTTGCTAAGTACTTTCAAAAGGCTTTATGCTTAACCGTGAAGACAGTAAAGAGAGTAAAGCAGCAGTTCGGGAGCCTGTCTGGAGAAGTAAAGGTGATATGGCAGCACACTGCTAGAGACTCCGCTAGACATTTAGCTTAACCTATGCATCTCACAAATGGAAAAAAAAAAAAAAAGATAGGTGAGAAAAGATATCATGAGAAAGGTAATTAAGGTAGAAGAATCACACTTTACAAGAAGGTTTGCTTGATTTCTTTTAAGCTCTAGGCTAGTACAAAATTTAAGATTGATATTACTTAAATTAATAAGAAACACTAAAGGACTCTTCAATTCGCAAGATTAAACACTTCCATCTGGAACATCTGATTACTAAATAATAGCCCATAGCTACATTACGCTCCATTTTCTTCTACTTAACTTTATCATTTTAAAAAGGGTGCTGGGAAGAGGTACGGTAAAACCATCTGCCATAATAAAATGAAAATTATCTCATTAAAAAAAAATCTGAGTGTCCATGCCATCATGACCTACCAGAAGTGCTACATCATATGGTTAGTATTTTATAAATTTGTTATTCAAAAATAATGAAAACAATAATGTAAAATAATTTTTTAAAAAAGAAAAAAAATCAAACCTCATCTGACTTCATTTAGCCTACATTCTTCGTATTCTAATATACTTTTTTAGAATGAAATATTTAGATGTGAAAGTTAATAAAAGAGAAATGATTGTTCTTAGGGTGTGGCTTCCTCTAAATAAGTCATGGACGTTCCCAGGATGCCATGAGACTCAACAGGGTTTCCAGTGCAACAGACCATTGCTACCCTGATTCTCTGTAGGAAAGTTGAATACAGCATTCACAAACTGCTAAATTGCTGCTGAAGTCACCAATGTCTGATATGAGGCAGAAATTTTTTTTGCCTCCAAAGATAATTGTGCTTGAAATATAAGATCCTAAACTTTTCCCTCTCTTTCTCTGTTCAAGTGAAAGAGGGTGGGGGTGGGAATTAAAACAAACAGAAATCTGAGAGCAACTCTTTTTCAGTACATGTAGAAAATGGAGTGTGGAGCATTGAACTTTGAAAATCTGTTATTTCCAGGAAACTCAGCCATCCCAAGCTGGTTAAATTCTATGGAGTGTGTTCAAAGGAATACCCCATATACATAGTGACTGAATATATAAGCAATGGCTGCTTGCTGAATTACCTGAGGAGTCACGGAAAAGGACTTGAACCTTCCCAGCTCTTAGAAATGTGCTACGATGTCTGTGAAGGCATGGCCTTCTTGGAGAGTCACCAATTCATACACCGGGACTTGGTAAGCAAAGCCATTGGAATTTCAAAGAAAAGAAAGCAGTCCACGGCTCCCACTTCTGGAGATGGGGTCACTGGTAGGGAAGGCAAGAAGGGCACCATCACTTCTACTTTGCTCACTTGTGACTTGTTTAAGCAAATGACATTTTTACAAAAATCAATGTAAAAATATTTGAAGTATGGAAAGAACAGTGAGAATAAAATAAGCTGTTAAGGTCTACATAGCTGTGTTGTGGCAAGAAGGAGAACAGATGGAAAGGAAAGACTTCTGCCAATTTAGTGTCTCTCAAAACCATTAAACCCAAATTGACCTTCATTTCAGGAAGGGCTTAGTGCTAAAGCAGCCATTTGATACAATAACTGAACATGAAAAAAAAAAAAGGAAATAGAATTTGTGTGTCTTTGGATCAGAATGAGAGTGGGGAATGCTGTGTTTGGTATTCACTGGGATTTATCTTTAGAGATTTTCTTGCGCTCAACAGTAGACCTGCATTCACACTAGGCCAGTGTGTTCCCTAAGTCACAGGTGCAGCGTTTATGCCTTCAAAGCATCTGTGAATGCACGGTATCTGGTGGTGGAAAGGGAGATTCTAGAAATTTCTCATCTTTCCTTGATAAGCTAAGGTTCTGTGTTTAAAGTGTAATACCTTTTCATGTTGTTTGACAAGGATGGATGCTTGGTTGAAAGTACTCATGGGAGAACATTTTTATTTTGAAAAATTGAAAATTGCAAAGGAAAAAAAAGACAACTTTAGAGCACTTGGGGGTTGTGCTAGGTAATCTTAGATTTTGCTGAGAATTCTACTCAAAAGGAGGAAAATGTCAGGAGATTCTTGGTCACTTTCACTACTTGGTGATTTTGTTTTTCCTTTAAAGGCTGCTCGTAACTGCTTGGTGGACAGAGATCTCTGTGTGAAAGTATCTGACTTTGGAATGACAAGGTAAGCCAATTCCGAAAGGGCAACCAGTGAAAGGGGGATTTCCATTCACATTTGAACACCATCATAATTGAAGGCTTTGTGGGGATATAGAAGGTGCTCTGAATTGGGGGCTTAGAAACCTAAGTCCCTCCCATGGGATTGTTCTTCAGAAATTATCTGACGTCACTTTTAGTTCTTTCAACAATCTGATACTTTCTAAACTTCTAAATAAATTCCATGAAAGATCCTAAATTTAAATACAACATGTTACAGCCACATTATTGGATTGTTTTACTTTCTTTTAAATTTTTTTATTTTTAATTTTTGTGGGTACATAGTAGGTATACATATTTATGGGGTACATGTGATGTTTTGATACAGGCATGCAATGTGAAATAATCGCATCATGGAGAATGGGGTATCCATCCCCTCAAGCATTTTGGAGTACTACTCAGCCATTTAAAAAGAATGGATAAATATTTATAATTTTTTAACTCAATCAAGGATCTGCTAGCTCTTTTTGTCTGTCATTAAAAAAAAAACCTGATGTTCAAATGGGTAGAGCATTCACACTAGGAAAATTTTTGTTGTCACATCATTAGATTTTCTGCATCACAAAGTAAGGCATAAAACTAGACTCTGAGATTCTCTTGATGGGCATTCTACCACCACTTAATGATGTGGAACAATTATTTTGATTACGATCGTTTTTTTAAAGTCTTCTTTTACCTTAATCCTGTATCCTAATACTATTTAAGCCTCAGAGCAAATTTTCATAGTTTTGCAAAGAAAACGAAGACATACACATTAACCTTTCTATTCAACATTTATTGAGTGCCTACTGAATACCTCAGTCCTGCAGGAGATACTGATATGAATAGGATAGTCCCTGCTCTCAAAATGACCACAGTTTAGTCTAGAGGGCAAGTAGATATCCCTGACATTGAGACAAAATATAACTATAAAGTTGTGCTGACTCAATATGTAATTCTGAAGGTGAATAATGCAGTTTAAAAGAGATCTGAAGAGTTGACCAAGGCCAGGTTAATATTTAGCAAACATTGCCCTAAAATGCCATAGGAGGATCTGTTTTTTTAATGTCTTCTCCAAAATTCAGTGTTAGGGGATGCTTTTTGACCCTTGTGGCACATACCGTGGAAGCTATGGTAATTCCTCTGGGAGCCCTAAATATTGGCAAGATGTCCTTTTAGCTGTGTACTAGCTACCGTCACTCCAACCACCATACACTGAGTCCCCTACACTGACCCTCCAAACATGTAGCTTTCTCAAGAGCAAGAAAAAAAAAATCTGCTGACAGGTTCTTAAAGCAGGGAGAAGCTCCCAGGTCAAGGGAACTGATCCCCACCTTTACTCTAAAAGCAAGAATATTGGCTGTTATGCCAGCATCCAGGGAACATGCTTTCACGTTCTCTGTAGCTTTGGAAAAGGGAGACTTTTCCAAAAAAAGATCCAAAGAAAAAAGAGATCTTGCTCTGAGTAAGAGATCCTGGAAGCCATGTACCAGCCCTGTTGGTTATGAAGCTCTGTGGCCACATCAATTAGATGCCTGTGACTTCATTTGCTCCTACTAGCTTGAAGGAAGGTTTAAGCCATGAGCATCCCCAAACCAGGAGTGCCAGGGTAGTGTCTGGGTATCTGGTAGTGTCTGGGGAGCTGAGGGGTTCTGGGGAGAAAAGTATGGAATGTACTGTATGTAATCCTATGAAAGTGTAGTTTATTAATATTATTGTTAATATTTAGAAGGATGATCTTCCCAGCCAGCTATTTTAAATTACAGTGAGATCTCTAAAACATTTGGTGTGTAAATTATATCCAAAATTCCAATTGCCATAACTCCTGTTGTTCTATTTTCTCTAATTAAGAGTCATTATGTGTTTGTTTTTGTTGTGGTTTTTGTGGGCAAATATATGATGTTCTCTTTTATTAATACTATAAATAATATGTACTTATTATAAGAAAAATAGCATTAGTGTAGAAAGTAAAAAGTAGAATTGTTAGCAGCAGTGAATCCGTAAAGGTCTGCAGCAACTCAATTCTTGCCTCCTCAAAGGAAAGGATTCATCTGAGGGGCATAAGGCAGAGAGAGAGACTGAGGCAAGTTTTTGAGCAGGAGTGAGAGTTTATTAAAAAGTTTTAGAGCAGGAAGGAAAGGAAGTAAAGCACACTTGGAAGAGGGCCAAGAGGGCAACTTGAGAGATCCAACTGCCCTACTTGGCCCTTGACTTAGGGTTTCATACATTGGCATAATTCCAAAGTTTGCATCTTTTCTCCCCTGATTCTTCCCTTGGGGTGGGCTGTCTGCATGAGCAGTAGCCTGCCAGCACTTGGGAGGGGCCGCACGCACAGTGTGTTTACTTAGGTTGTGCGCATGCTCATTTGAGGCATTTTTCTTTTACCAGTCGAGTATTCTTAGAGGAAGGTCATATACCAGTTAAACTCCATTATTTTGCCTCTTATTGCGCATGTTTGACCCCAGTTGCCCAACTCCTGAGATCATATCAGGAAGCTGTTGATCATCAGCTTCAAGTATTTTCTATCTATTGGGAGACTGCCGTTCCCTGGCACCAGCTGCGACCAATTATTATTTTAGAGAGACGGTTAACAACTGCCTGACTATTACCTGACGGTCACCTAATATTCCTGGGTTGGGGGTGGGGGATCTCTCCTGCCCTGCTCATGTCTGCCTAGCTACCTATTCTGACAGAATCTGTCCCTCATTTTCAGTGCTAGGAGTAACCACTGCTCAGATGTTTGGTGGGTATCCTTTCAGACCTCATTCTTAAGTGTATCCAATCATATACACAAATATGCACATTTACTACTTGTTCCCACACACAAAAAATGGAATCACATTATACACACTTTCTTTTGCACATAACCATATACCATGAGCACCTTTTTATTTTGGTGAAGAGTTATCTCATTTTTGAATGGCTATGTGCTATTCTATTGTGTGAGTGTGCCATAATATATTTAATTACTCCTCAACATTGGGAACATTGAGGTTGCTTTCATTTTATCATTATTACAAACAAAGAGTTTAGTGAACATTCTTCAACATGTATTTTGGTCTTGATATCTCCATAGGATATTTTTGTTCATCATTATTCATAACAGCAGAAGATTAGTAGCAATTTACCTGGTTAAATAAATTATGTTTAATTCCTTCCATAAGAAGAAATAATAAGAGGGAATGGTATTCAGCCACTAAACATGATGCTGCAGTAGAAATGTAACCGTATGGGGAAATGCTCATGATATACCATTAAAGGAAAAATAAAAGCAAATCTCAATATAACAGAAACCCTATTTTGTTCAACTTATATATGTGGGAAATAAGATCAGAAAGTACAAAGAAAAATGTATTTTGAGTGATAGAATTACAGGTTATCTTTAGGGTGGGTTTCTGAGTAATTTTATCTTTACTTTTTTGTGTTTTTCTATATTTACCAAACATTTTGCATTGAGGTTTTGCTGTATTCAGTTAGATATTATCTTTTAAATGCTTACAAACCATAAGCAGCCTCCAGCTAAGCCCACACATTGAAAGGAAACAAAAGTTCCAGAAAACTGAGGCAATCGACTGAGACTCTGGGTGGCTTCCGTGTCCTTCATCAGCCTGTACCACCACGGCTTAAGGTCTGTGTTGATGTGTTTTCCCTGGCAGGTATGTTCTTGATGACCAGTATGTCAGTTCAGTCGGAACAAAGTTTCCAGTCAAGTGGTCAGCTCCAGAGGTGTTTCATTACTTCAAATACAGCAGCAAGTCAGACGTATGGGCATTTGGTAAGGATGTGGCCACATACGACCTGGCCCTGTTTCATAAGCTTACTTCCACAACAGGAAACCACAAGAGTAGCAATGTCCATTTTAAAAGGGCCCTTGAACACTTACGAAGTTACACATATAGCCTGAGAGAAGCAAGCTGTTGAAGAAGGTGATTTATTTTCTTGGGTTTGGTATTAGGATGTCTTCTACACATCTTGTAATTTACATCCTGCTAGCACTTTCTCATAAAATCAAAAGGGATAAATCTACTCAGAGGTTGAGGTGGAAGGATTGTTTGAGCCCAGGAGTTCAAGTCCAGCTGGGGCAACACAGTTAAGACCCTGTCTTTAGAAACATCAAAGGGGATGAAAGTTTTTCCAGTGAAGATTTCAAATAATTTTTTAAAAGGAGTCATTGAAAGCTGAATCTGAGTTTTTGCTGAGCCCCAAACGTTGAAAAGACATCAATTTTCTGCATGAAAATAATGGGATAGCCATTCCCTTCTGCGCTGACCAATTCTTAGTGTAAACACCACACATGACTTGGTACTTTCTTTGACTCGTGCCTAGTTTCAAGTAGTCTCCTCTCTGTTAAAATTTATATTTTAGATTGGGATTGGCAAACCACAGCCCAGGACCAGGTCAGTTGGTTTTTGTAAATAAAGTTTTATTGGAACACAGTCATGCCCATTCATTTATGTATTATCTATGGCTCATTTTGTGCTACAACAGCAGAGTAGAGTAGTTGCCACAGATACTGCATGTCCCAAAAAGTCTAAAATGCTATGTGGCCCTTTATAGGATAAGTTTGCTGACTCTTATTTTACTAAAATATCTATATTAAAATTTAGTAAAGGTCATTAGAAAAGGGAAACAATTCTTAAATTGTGACTACATTTTATGATATTTTTTCTATGTTGTGAGAATATCAAGGCTATTTTCAATCACTGTCGGATGGACCCAGGATAAGTAATCCAAATGTGACTGAGACCTATTTCATGCCTTAGTTCATAAGTGTAATTTGATTTACTGCTTGTCACCTACAAGACTGCCTTTGAAAAGGGGAAAATTTAGTTATTTATTTCTCTATGTGACACAATTTTTAAAACTAACTATTCCCTTTGTAAAAGTGGCATTGTTCGTTGTTAAAAAAAAAGATAATCAAATACACACAGAAAAAGAAAAAAAATCACAAAGATAGCATTTTGGTGAATACTTGATGCCATGTTGTACTGATTAACTTTTGTACCTTGTTGTCAAAATTAGTTTTGAGGCTGAGTGCGGTGGCTCATGCCTGTAATCCCAGCACTTCGAGAGGCTGAGGCGGGCAGATCACTTGAGGCCAGGAGTTCAAGACCAGCCCAGCCAACATGGCAAAAACTCGTCTCTACTAAAAACACAAAAATTAGCCAGGCATGGTGGTGCGCGCCTGTAACCCCAGCTACTCGAGAGGCTGAGGCACGAGAATCGCTTAAACCTGGGAGGCAGAGTTTACAGTGAGCTGAGATTGTGCCACTGCACTCCAGCCTTGGCGACACAGCAAGAGGCTGTCTTAAAAAAAAAAAATTAGTTTTGATAATCATGCATCAATTATAAGTGATAGCAAAAAATCAATGCCCTAATTTAATAATTACAGCTTGTTTTTGACCAAAAAATAGTATTACCCAGCTTGATTATTTACCGTATGCCATAGAAGTTGGCCCCAGATATTTTCCAGCTGTTTATAAACACTAAATTCATTCTTAAACAATATATCCCAGTGAGGATACCCAAAATGAATCAGGGCCTCTGATAGCAATTCCCAAAGAAGAACCCCACAGATATTTTGAAATAAGTGTGTAGCCTTCCAAAGAGAAAGTTATGAGGAAACTGCATTCTTTTGGATTGTTGTTTTAGACTGTGTGATTTAAAAGAAAAAAGCAGCCATAAAATTTATAAGGTTGCTTTATTATAAATATTTGAAACTGGCTGACTGTTGAAATTTTCTGACCTTGGCCAGCACAGCACAACTGCCACCATTTAGAGAGCACTTGAAACATCTCAGTGCTCTTTTAAGTGCTTTACGTGTTTTATCCTATTTAATCCTCACAGCAAGTCCATGAGGTGCAAATACCCCATTTTATAGACGGAGAACCTGAGGCTGAGAGGGGTTGAGAAACTTATCCCACCTGTAAGTGACAGAAGTCAACTTCAAAGGCCATGTCTAACTGATCCCAAATGCCATCCTCCTGACCACCATGACCAGAACCGAGATTTCTTAACCTGGGGACTGCAATTTCCTGGATGAGTTTTGGGGGACTGTGAACATCCTGAAACTGAACACAAAAATGCTGTGTATTCACTTTCCCAAAGGCGGCCAGTGGCTTTCATCAGATTCCCAAAAGGGTGCCTGGCCCATATGAGATTAGGAACCACTGCAGCAATAGAAAGGAGAATGTTGTCAATGATTTTATCTTGAAATTTCCACTGAAGTGTAATCTGATTGTGCAATGAAATTGTTGCATGCAGCTGCCAAAGCCGAGAGACGGAATGGGTGAGGACATCAACCACTCATTCATAAGGGTTGGGGCAGGGGCTCACTACACAGGTAGTTGTCACTGTGAGGCTGACAACTCACACTTCACAGGACTAGCGCAAGAATTGTGTCTTGGCCCCAAGAGGTTCCTCTGTGGCTGCCCTTGCCATTCACCCACTTTCCAGCAAGCACAGATGTACAGGTATCAGGGAACATGGGGAAGAAACCCCAGGCTCCAGAAGCAATGGCACAGGCTCACCTTCCAAGCTCTGCTCATTTCGCTGGGACTCATTTCCCAGGGATCCCTCACTCTGACCCATAGCCTTCCTGACCTGTTGTGTGAAACTCACTCCACAAACCCTGTACTTTCTGATAACAGCTCTCTTCCTTTTTTATCTGGGCCACCTCTTGGTGTGGTGCAGGGATCCTGATGTGGGAGGTGTTCAGCCTGGGGAAGCAGCCCTATGACTTGTATGACAACTCCCAGGTGGTTCTGAAGGTCTCCCAGGGCCACAGGCTTTACCGGCCCCACCTGGCATCGGACACCATCTACCAGATCATGTACAGCTGCTGGCACGAGGCAAGTGTATTCTCTGGGTGGGCTGGAAGGGGTCTCAGGCACATCCGGGGTGATTACTGCATCACCACTGGGACAAAGCTTTTTTGAGGGAAAGCAACTGGTACAGAGCAGGAGAGAATGGTCCTCAGCCCCTGCCCTAAAATGTTTGTAATCTAAAACATGCGGGTGCCAAACAATTTACTGAACAACTTACATACAGCAGTGTTCTAAGAACACTATAAATATTAACTTACTTATGCATCAGGAAACACACTGAGGTAAGTACTATCATTGCTGAAACTAACAGAAGAGTAAACAAGGACTCAGAAAGGTTAAGTGACTTGTCCAAGGTCACATAGCTAGTAAGAAGTAGACTAGCTAGTGCCAGCGTCCCTGTTCTTAACTGCAACACTATGGAGCTCCTCGAGTAGAAAATAAGTAGCAGAAAACATCTAACCACACGTAGAGAACACATAATGGACACTATCCCATCTTCTCTCCCCCTGCCTCCCAAACACTGAATAAAAGCATTCCATGCAGGTAGAAGATAAGGGTATCTTATGGGGAAGACATGGAGCTGAAGCTTCAGGGGATTAATTTGCAAAGCATCCACTAAGTTCATAGAACTAATGGAGGTTGTTAAGGAAGTATGAGGCTCCATTTGTGCCCTCACTGAACTCAAAGTCTTTACACACACACACACACACACACACACACACACACACACACACACACAAATAGGACTGAAAACACCAAGCAGTTTATAATTATGTGCCCAAATTAGAAAGACAAGGTTTTTGCCATAACTTTCAATGGCAAAAAACGTGATTACTTTTGCACCAACCTAATACAAGAAGCGCTCAGAGGAAAGAGAAACCAGCTTCCTGAGAGAAAGCAGCTTCTTGAATGCATTGGTACCTGAGCTGAAGCAGGAAATCTCTACAAAATTTCCTAAGTATGTGAGTGGAGACATTGTAAAAGGGTGTCCAGGTGAGAACAGCACAAGCAAAGGTGTGGAGGCAGGAACGAGCATGGCACGCTAGGCTGGTGCTATCGTTGGAAGGGCTGGAGATAAGTTTGGAAGAGTAGGTCTGGTTCAGGTTCTGCAAAGTGAATAACAAGGAGACAAGTGAGAGTTTTGGTTTTTGTAGGCGATGAGGAGCCACTGAAGACTTTTGAGCAGTAACATGATAAAAGGAGGCTTTTGAGAACATTATTCTAAGAGCCCATGTTCATAATCATTATATGGTACTTCCTCAATGGCAAAGGGCCTAATGCTGCATTCATTTATTCACTAGTAAAAGGCAAATTGGTGTAATGGTTAAGCCTGTGGGTTCTGGCATCAGAATACCTGGGTTGAATCCTGTCGTGATCACTTACTAGTTATATGACCTTGTACAAACCTCCTATTATTATCTCTGTGCTTCACTGTAATGTAATGCTTACCTCATAGAATTTTTGGGTGGATTGAATGAATTAGCATTATAAAGGCCTTAGGACAATGCCTGGTACACAGTGCTGTTTTTCTGTTATTAATATTGTGTGTGTGTGTGTATATATATATATATTTTTTTTTTTTTACAAAGCATCTATGCACCAGGCAGTACGCTTGGTGCTAAGAATAAATTGACGCACACAACTTAAATAGTTTCTAAACTCTTGTACCGGAGCCTAGAGTCCCACTTTGGAAGAGTTGCTGATTGCATCACATAACAATATTTTTCGTTTAGCCTTAAATTATCACCTGGAATATGAGCACTCTGTAATTTCCCACCCTATGGCATTTGGAACAGTATATAAGGTTTCCACACCTTTTTCTACCCCAAATGTTGACTATGGGAACTATGGATATGGACAGAGATATGCAGACTACAGTGGCCAACAGAGCACTTATGGCAAGGCATCTCGAGGGGGTGGCAATCACCAAAACAATTACCAGCCATACTAAAGGAGAACATTGGAGAAAACAGGATGAGATGTTAAAGTAACCCATCTTGCAGGATGACATAGAAGATTGGTCTTCTGTTGATCTAAGATGATTATTTTGTAAAAGACTTTCTAGTGTACAAGACACAGTGTCCAACTGTATATGGCTGCCAATTAGTTTTCTTTGTTTTTACTTTGTCCTTTGCTATCTGTGTTATGACTCAATATGGATTTGTTTATACACATTTTATTTGTATGATTTCATGTTAAACTTCAAATAAATGCTTCCTTATGTGATTGCTTTTCTGTATCAGGTACTACATAGCTCTGTAAAAATTTAAAGTAAGCAATAATTAAGGCACAGTTGATTTTGTAGAGAGTATTGGTCCATAGGGAGAAACTGTGGTCCTTTATAAATAGCCAGCCAGGGTCACCCTCTTCCCCGATTTGTAGATGTATTCTATGCTCTTAAGGTTTCATCTTCTCCCTGTTAACTGAGGTTTCTACCACACTTTTGAATAATGTTCTTTCCCCTCTGGTTATCTGAAGATTGTCCTGAGAGGAAGACATAAGTGTTGTGATTAGTAGAAACTTTCTAGTAGACCATGTTTCTTCTGGATTGTAATAAAATTGTTAGTAGCTCCTTTTGCTTTGTTCCTGTCTCTAGAAAGCCATCTTTGAATCGTTAATTACTTTGGCTTTAATCAGTGGTCACCTAGAAAAAGCTTTGTAATCATAACACCATGACTTTAATTCTTGATAAAAATTCAGATGCACACAGGAAGGAGCACTGTAAAACTGGTAGGAGCTATGGTTTAAGAGCATTGAAAGTAGTTATAACTCAAGGATTTTGGCAGAAAGGTATGAGTTTGGTCAAAAGTTAGATTAAAATTTGAAATAGCGGCAAAATAAGATTTAGTTGTATTTTGTTTTCTCACAGCCACCACAAGACTGAACAAAATATTTTCTGTTTGGGCATTCTGAGGAAGCTGTATTACAGTTAACTGTTAATGCTGTGTGAGTTTAGAAAAAGTCTTGATAGTAAATCTAACTTTTAACACAGTTAGTGCATGAACTGAGTAGTTAAACATTTCCGTATTCAGACAGGAATAGTGGAAAAGGTATCTTAGGTGCGTTACTCAATCCAAATGTGACTGAATCATTACAGTGGACCCTCATGGTGCATTGAAAAGAAACTGTTTTATATCCAGGTTTCAGAGGACCTGGATAAATAAAAGCTTTGGATTTTGCATTCAGTGTAGTTAGTTGGATTTTGGGACCTTTGCCTCAATGTTAGCTACTGGGATTGGCATATGTGTTCACAGGCAGAGTAGTTGATCTCACACAACGAGTGCTCTCACAAAACTGGTGTAAGTTTCTTATGCTGATGAGCCCCCGCTTTTTTTTAATTTGGTGCCTACAACTTTGTTACAATGATTGTACTTGCTGGGCTATCAAGTTACAATGCTCTTGGTCTTTTTTGCTGCTGTTTCGCTATTTGTCCTTACACCTAGGCCAAGTACCAATGTTAGCTGTTGGAAGGGATTCTGTTTATTCATTCAACATGCAACTATCTAACTTTAGGGAATGGAAGGAAGTTCATTTTTAAGTTGTGTGTTGTCAGTAGGTGCAGTGTCTAGGGTAGCGAATCCTGTAAGTTCAAATTTATGATTAGGTGACAAATTGACATTGAGATTGTCCTTTTCCCTGATTAAAAAATGAATAAAGGCTTTTTAAAGAAACAAACAAACAAAAATATTGTGTCTAAGATTATCAGGCAGCACTAGAGGGTCAGACTGGGTCTGGGTAGAGTTGGTCACAGCCAGGCTGACTTACTGCTGTCACCTGTCAGATGAAGAAGAGCAGACAAGGGTTTTTCAGTTGAAGCCCAGAACCTCCCTGGCCCTCCCTACTCTAGCTCCTGGGAATATGACTGCACCATAGGATGGACAGGGGCCCTGAGTCGGGAGGAACTGCCTTCTTCTCATGGTTGGTTCATAAAAGCATGTGAATTGTGGCAGAATCTGTGAAGAGGGGTTTGCACTGAGACGACAATATCCAGTTAAAACATTGCACCTAATGAGCAGAGCTTATAGATTTGGGTTTTCCCTCCTTTTTTAGATTTTATTTTG
Source organism: Homo sapiens (assembly GCF_000001405.40). NCBI lineage: Eukaryota > Metazoa > Chordata > Mammalia > Primates > Hominidae > Homo > Homo sapiens. The sequence continues at coordinate 15,554,035 of NC_000023.11, forward strand.
TGACTTTCTCAATTCATAAAGAGATTGAAAGAACATTCACAATTTTCATTAGATTTTGATTCATCCTTCTGGTATTTCTGTATGCAAAAACAAGCATATGTATAGATGTGTGTTTTCTTGCTTCCCTTTCTCTCTTACAAAGAAAAAGTAGCATATGAACTTCTCCTCTCCATAGGCGTTGCCTCACTAGCAATGTAAGAGGGTACCTATTTTCTTATAACCTCACCAATGGAGTGCATTGTCAAGCTTTTGAAGAATTCTTGCCAATCTGATAAGTGAAAGCTTGATGGCATCTTAGTGCAGCTTTAATATATATATCTTTCATTATGAGGTTGAGCCTCTTTTCACGTTTTTAAGGGTCATTTTGTGTCTTTCTGAACTGTCATGTCTTTTTTCTTTTTTCTGTCAGGTTTTAAAGATCTCTTTACAAATTAGGGAGAGTAATACTTTAAGTTATCAGCTTTATTTGATTGAGGGTGGGTGGGTTTTTTTTTCTTTTTTTGACCATGCAGAAATTTTTCTTAATATAGCTGAATATATCAATATTTGTTTTCATTGCTTCTGGAAATTGTCATAGATAGGCTTTCTCATGCCCAAATTATAATGACTTTTGCCAGGATTTTCCTCTAGTACTTTTAAGATTGCATTATTTTCCATTTATGTTTCTGATATAGTTTGTGTTTGTTATGGTATATGGTATTAAATATGGCTCCAAATATATAATTTTATGTGACTATTCTGTTGTTGGCAGCCCTATTTATTAAAAGACCATCTTATCATCAGGAATGAGATACCACCTTAATGGTGGTGAAATGCCACCCTAATATTATACTAAATTTCCATATGTACTTGAATCTATTTGGAGACTTCCTCTTCTGTTCTTTGGTCTCTTTGTTCATGTGCTAGCACCACACTGCTCTGATTCTGTAGAGACTTTATGATATGTTTGAATACTAGGTAGGCTAGCACCCCTCATTGCTCACCTTACTGTATAATTTCTTAGCCATTTTTACATATTTTTTAATTCTATAAACCAAAGAATCAATTTGTTTAGCTTGAAACAAACTCATTCATATTTTTGAGGAGATTGTATTTAGTTTGTATTTTAAGTTGGGAAATTTGACATCTTTATGATACTGACTTGTCCTAGTCTAGAACGAGGGAAGCTTTTTTTTTTTTTTTTTTTTTTTTTAAGACAGAGTCTTGCTCTATCACTCAGGCTGGAATGCAGTGGTATGATCTAGGCCTACTGCAACCTCCACCTTCCAGGCTTAAGTGATTTTCATGTCCCACCCTCCCGAGTAGCTTGGACTACAGTTGTGCACAACCACAGCTGGCTAATTTTTGTATTTTTAGTAGAGACAGGGTTTCGCCATGTTGTTCAGGATGGTCTCGAACTCCTGGCCTCAAGTGATCCACTCACCTCAGCCTCCCAGAGTGCTGGGATTACAGGCGTGAGCCACTGCGCCTGGCCAGGGATGCTTTTTTATATAGTCAAGTCTACATTTGCATTTTTCAGCAGTGTTTTAAAGTCGTCCCCATTTTAGAGGGGCACACTTTTTTAGTGTTTTATTTTGGTGGCGTTGCTATTATAAATGGGGTTTTCTCTTACATGATAACTTCTAAGTGGTTACTGTAGGTATATGTGAAGGCTATTGATTTTGTATGTTAATTTTATATCCTGCTCTCCTAGTGAATTCCTTTATTCTTTAAGTCTGTTCTAACATTGATACTCTCAGATTTTCCAGGTATACACTAAAATGCTTGCAAATAAAGAGACTTTTTCTTTTCCAGTTATTGGGGCTCTAATTGTTCTTGCTTTCCAATTGCATTGGTTAACACCTTCAACATAATGTTAAGAGTGATTATTATAGTGAGCGTCCTTGCCTTATTTCTGACCTCAATTGAAATGTCTGTTGTGTTTCCACATTTTAAAAGTTGCTAGCTTTAGGACTTAGATGTAAATATTTTATATATTTTATCATTGATCATAACTCTCATCATCTAAAACATTGGGTTTCTTGTTGTTTTTGTTTAGCTTCCAGAAAAGCGTCCCACATTTCAGCAACTCCTGTCTTCCATTGAACCACTTCGGGAAAAAGACAAGCATTGAAGAAGAAATTAGGAGTGCTGATAAGAATGAATATAGATGCTGGCCAGCATTTTCATTCATTTTAAGGAAAGTAGCAAGGCATAATGTAATTTAGCTAGTTTTTAATAGTGTTCTCTGTATTGTCTATTATTTAGAAATGAACAAGGCAGGAAACAAAAGATTCCCTTGAAATTTAGATCAAATTAGTAATTTTGTTTATGCTGCTCCTGATATAACACTTTCCAGCCTATAGCAGAAGCACATTTTCAGACTGCAATATAGAGACTGTGTTCATGTGTAAAGACTGAGCAGAACTGAAAAATTACTTATTGGATATTCATTCTTTTCTTTATATTGTCATTGTCACAACAATTAAATATACTACCAAGTACAGAAATGTGGACATTTGTCTTAATATTTCAATGTTTTCAAACTTCAGTAGGCATGATAATCAAATGCAGAGTTTATGAAAAGATTCCTAGAAACTACCTCCATAAAACCTGGCGGAGGAGGTCTGAGTGCAGCCTGTGAATTTGTATTTTTAGCAAACTCCCAGATGTTACTGAAGCAGTTGTTCTGAACTGCCCTAGGGGACCTCATTATATGGTGGGGTATCATTAGGTGGTCCATTACCCAATCCAAATGGCACAATTCTCGTCTAATATCCAGATTAGTACAATGACTCTTTATGTCATGTATAAAACTAAAGTTAAATAATATTAAATAATACATTAAATATGTTCACATAAAGCAAATTTTTTAAGATGCTGAGGTACAATTTCTAGAATTAATTACATTGTTGCTTTCTAATCATCTTTTTTTTTTATATAAGTAGACAGTTTATTTGGGTCAAGTTTAAGGATTATAACCTGGGAGCAAAGACTCAAGTTGCCTGGAATCTACACTTTGATTAGCAGCAGTTGCAAGAGGAGTTGTAAAGACAAAAACAAAGGGACAGAGAGTGGGCTGATACAGAGTTGTTTGTCAGAAATTTTTATTTATTTAAAGAAATAACATTGGTTATTGATTAGATATATATCATTATGGTTTAGGGTATGAGATATAGTGTCCAATGTGGTATTATTAGTTTAATATATATCTACTTGTGGCAATAGTGAACAGTTTCAAGAGATGAATACATAATTTAAAGGGGGAGAACGACATAACTGCACGTTCATTTCAATGTCTGAGTTTGATAACCAAAAGTACTTTCATTTTTTAGATAAAAATTTTCTATTTCCCAAATCTCAAGACCTGGATACAAAATGTAGAGCTGCAGATTTAAGGCCTGAATGGCTGGAGTAGCAGGTGTTACCTGAACATTTGTGAACATTTTACCAAGAGAAAAAAGGGGAAAGTGGAGATTCTCATGTCTACATGTGTACTCAATGAACACATGTTACTCTGATTAGGTTTGTGGGCCCCATGGTCTCCGAATCAGTTTCAGGTCTGAAGATAACAAGAGTCATTGAGGGAAATAAAACGATTGATTGTTGCCCAGTGAAGTTGGTAGAAATTAGGATGAACTATGTATGACATGGTGCTGTAAATTCTTCTACTTGTGGACTAATTTTGGTGACCATCTGTCTAATCATCTTAAATCCTTGAGTTTGGGGATCTGGGGCTTCTGGCTAGTTTGATAACTGAAGTTTCTATTTCAGTCTGCTATCTTAACACAAAAATACAGAAGTACTATTTTAGCTTCTCATGCCTATTACTAAATAGTATTTCACCTTTAAAACAGTACCTGCGGATGCCCTTCTTCACGGCCTGCTACCGAACCCACAGGTTTTAACCTCTTTCTGAGTATTCCATTGTCTTTTCTATAATGTCAAGAAGGGAGAGACAGATTCTGTAGAGGGCACCATTACAATGAAGAGACACCCCAATTAAACCCTGCTGCTATTTTCCAGAGATCAGTCAATAATCTCTCAGAGACACTTATATCCTCTCTCATCCCACTCTGTCCTTCAGCCACCAGCTAGTTTCAATGCTCCCTCTTGCTTATTTGTTTCTTGACATTTCATTAATAATTCCTTCATTTCAACACAGAATTGACACTCGTTAACAGTCTTCTATTTTTTACAGAGGTACACAAATCTCAATTTATAATTAAATGTAACTCAAAATAATCACTAGGGCATTTGTATATTTTATTTTTGTGGGTTTTTTTTGTAGTGTTGACTGTATGCTAGGTTCTTTCCTACCCAAGAGAAAAGAAAGAACAGGTGACCCAAACCCTCTTTCTCAATGGACCCACAGTCCGATGGGGGTGCCAGCCTTTCCTGCACCAAAGACTGTTTCCCCACTCAGAGGATGAGCTCATGCACAAGCTGGGTCTTTCTGGTCTCCCTCTCGAAGATTTTTTTCCTTTCTTCTTCTTATTTTTGTATATTTACCTTTTAAAAATAATCCTCTTTATAACAAAATACACGCTTGTTGCAAAAATTGTTTACTATGAAAAGAGGCCAAAGCCCTGCTTAGAAGCCTAGCTGCAAAAATCAAGTCAGGCAGCAATTTAAGGTACCACTAGAGGTTTATCAGAAAACAAGTCCAGTGATGCTAGGAGGAGCCAAGTAAAAGAACACTATTCATAGTATTTCAAACGTGCACAATGATTTTTTAATGCTGTATAACTGTGTTTAGTGGTGATATGCAGAATTTATTGTTGTTATCTTAAACCAAGTGTCTGCCTACACTCTTTTGGCAGTGAAGAAAAAGGAAGACTATGTGGTAAGAAACTTTCCCAAAGGGCAGGCTGCAGAGCAAGTTCAGATAAATCACTTGCTAGGTAAAATCCAACAGATGCTCCCTCGTCTTGCTGAGCATTTTCTGACCTACCAGAAGTCAAACACAAAGTCAAGAGGGTCTGGCAAAACTCACCTCATATCTACTTGAGTTTATTAAGATTCCAACACAGTAGATTTAGCAAGTTGAGTTTCTCAGTTTTTATTCTATCTTGAGAGTGGGTTTATGAGGAGGAGAGATTGGACCTAAGGCCCCATCTTTACCTAAATGTGGAGGGAGGAGGCTCTCAAATTAGGAAGAATAGTTCATTGAGAGACACCAGAGAAGAGGAAGCTAGCACCTGCCATTTCTGGCCTGATCACTATGTTTCTCTGGTCTGTGAGCTCCACAATGGACCTTTTGCATTTGCAGTTTCATTTAATCCTTGCTTCCGTATAGCCCAGGGTTTGGCAAAGTTTGTCTGTAAATGGCTTTGTGGGCCATGCCGTCTCTACTTCAACTACTCAGCTCTGCTCTGTAGCATGAAAGCAGCCCTAGACAATATGAAAATGAATGGGTGTGGCTGGGTTCCAATAAAACTTTATTATGGACACTGAAATTTGAATTTCATATCATTTTCATTTATCATGAAATCTTATTCTAATTTTTTTCAACCACTTAAAAATGTAAAAATCACTCTTAGTTCACAGGCCAGACAAAAACAGGTGGTGGGGTGGCCGGGCACAATGACTCAGGCCTGTAATCCCAGCACTTTGGGAGGCCGAGTCAGGCAGATCACCTGAGGTCAGGAGTTTGAGACCAGCCTGGCCAAATGGTGAAACTGCATCTCTACTAAAAAATACAAAAAATTAGCTGGGTGTGGTGGCTCACACTTGTAGTCCCAGCTACTCGGGAGGCTGAGGCAGGATAATCACTTGAACCCAGGGTGCAGAGGTTGCAGTGAGCCAAGATCGCGCCACTGCACTCCAGCCTGGGCGACCGAGCAAGACTCCGTCTCAAAACAGAACAGAATAAAACAAAACAAAACAAAACAAAAAAATGTGGTGGGCAGGATTTGGCCCATGGGCCATTGTTTGCCAGCTTCCATCCTAGGCCCAGGCACCGGTCCCTCTTTGTAGAGTCTCCATCCTTTCAGAGGATGCTGCTACACAGGAGAAGGACCACAAGCGTTACCTGGTGGGCACAGTGAGGACTGTTCTGGAGAAAACCCCAAAATTAAGTTACGGAAATAAGCAGGTTTTTCTTTCTGTGTTACAGTTGGACACTATGTCACATGCACATGGGTCCTTTGCCATGTCTGGGGAGGCTCTTTTGAAGGTGTTAGATGATGAAATTGGTTCCTGCAGAAATTATTCTTGCACTGTGCTGAACCAAGTTTATGAACTTCATAAAGATCTTGTGGCAACTACAAAGGATGTTTAGATAGCAGTAGCTTGACAGAAGATTTTCATGATATATTAGAGAAGATGGGACATATGCAAGATAAAAGAAAAAACTGTCTATGAAATGGTTGCTTAGCCAAGGAGTAAATTATATTGTATGTTGCCCCAAGCTGTGGGCCCAGTGAATGGCAGGATGGTGCAGATGGTGATGCGAAATGTTGATTGTATCTCGTAAAATAACAAAGAACTCTATCTCTGCTACCTGGGTATCAGATAATTAAGACATCAAAGAGCCTCAAATGACCCTTATTTTGAGGTTATTTTACAGATTATGAAAGTCATCTTCCCTTCACTTGGCTAACTGATCCACAATTACCATAGAGAATTTATGAAGTACAAAGTCATTGTAACATTATGCTGGTCACCACATAGAATGAGTTAATGCATAGAGTTTAGATATGTTAATCTATTTAATCTAGTTTTAACCAGTCTTCAGGTATCTAAGAAATGCTGTGCTCACACTGGGGTAGTGACTGTGAGAAATATAAAAGCAGCATCAGGTTTGGTTCCTAACCTGATGGTGTATACACTCTGTACACAACTTTTTTGGGACTAGTTTTACAATTACTTTGTACAATAAAGCAATCTGAGAATTTGCAATACATCACGAGACATTTGGAAGGCCAGGAGCCCCAGACACTCAGATGATAACTTTGTTCATAGAACTGAAAAGCAGACAAAACGTAAAGAAGCCCCAGCACATAAGTAAGCACAAGGAGTGTGTAAATCTAGCATTTATTGAGTGTCTGCTTTGTGCTCAGCACTGCTCAAACACTGTGAGCAAATACAAAAGATTTAAGAGACTGGGTACCCACTTCAGAGGGTGAACATACAGTTGGAATTTCCATTCACTCCACAGTTAGAGAACAGTAGAAATGAGTTTCTATCAGGCATGCTCTGGGAGTTCACGGAGGCCCCTGGCTCTAGTTTTGTGTTGTCAGGGAGATGTTGATCAAGCACCTTGGAAGTGAAAAAGCAATGTCCTCTACCTGTTCCCTGGATTCTTCTCTCTTTAGACCTGTCACCTTGAAGAAAGCATGATCGATTCCAAACATCACTGTAGGCAAATCACCATAGTACTTGAACTGAGTTACTGTGAAGAAAGCATGTCATCCTTGACAATGGATTAAATGAAAGTGAGCTAATGCATGCCATTCTCAATCCTTGCAGCTACACCAGTTCCCAGGCACTGTCCTTACAAGTGATCCATCCATATTCCATACAAGATCCAACACTTGCTCCAATGATATATCCTTGTTTTCAACTTCAGAAATTCAACAGACATTTACATTTAGATTATCCCTGAACAGCCTGTGAGACCAAATACACACTTTCCCTAATATACTCTAATACAAAATCCTTATTAAGAAACAGAACAGAAGTCAAATCCAGAGACAGAAATAAATACTGAAAGCAATGTCAATGAAGATGCTCTCTCCTTGGCCATGTTGTCTTTGGACAATTTTTTTTCTGAACAGAGTCATAGTTTTGACATTTAATGATATCTTTATCATCTTATATTTTCTATACCATGAAATTAACATTTACATACAACAAAATCACCTCAAGAGGAAAAACATAGATTTTTCTAAAAGGAGGTCTGAACATCATCAGTGTTTTGGAATCCTGGATTATTTTCTCCTTTGCTAATATCGATGGAGGCATAAGGATTTTCTCCACTTCTTGCTTTATTTTTCCTGTTAAATAGAGCAAGGTTGCCTTAATATACTTATGTTAAAATCAATCGGACTGATGAAAATCAAAAAGTTTCAGGGGAATCTGTGTTAAGGAGGCTGGGAGGGAGGAACAGGAAGTTTCATAAACTGTTGATGTGAGTATAAATTGGTACAGCCGCTATTGAGGGCAATTTGGCAATATTTATCAAAATTAGCAATTGCACGTATGCTTTCACCCAGCTTTCCCACTGCTAGGATTCATCTTAAGGGTATATTGGCATACTCAGGAAATTACCTATATTAAGCCATCACTTTTTTTAAGTAAACACAAATGTTTGGAAACAACATAAAAGTTCATCAATAGATGACTGTTTATCAAAATTACAATCCATTCGTGAAATGGGAAATTATACTGCCAGAAAAAAGGAGAAGTTTTTTGTGCAACTAATGTGTAATGATCTCTAAAACACATTAAGTGGGCTGGGTGTGGTGGATCACACCTATATAAATAAAAATTTAAAAAAACCATTAAGTGGAAAACAAAATATGCAGAACATTGTTTATAGCCTGCTAACATTTGTATACTAAGAAATGAGATATACATATGCACATACACACAAATATACACACTAAAAAAGTATATATTTGTATACTAAAAAGGAGATATATATATATATATATATATATATATATGTCTGAGAAAAAAGAAAAAAGACTGTGTGTGTGTGTGTGTGTGTGTGTGTGTGTGTGTGTGTGTATCTCCAAGGAACTGATAATTTTGTTTGGCTTTGGGAAGATAACTTGGAGGCAAAAGGTAATAAGGAAGACTCTTCATGTTCACCTTTGTATTTTTTAATTTTAACCATATGAATGTATTACACATTGAATGCCTAATATTTTAGATGGAGCTATTTTGGAGAAACGAAAAATCTCTATAGTGAAGAAAATTGAGCAAAATAGACTAGCAAATATAGAGATTCAATCAAGAATATGTTTAAACAAGCTGAGGTGTGCATAGAGTTTTGTTAGGTGCTATAAAATATTAACCTTCATTCCATAAGCCCAGCAAGAGTCAATTTCTTAAGGACAGAAGAAAAACATCTAGTAGCAAAGCAAGACTAGAAATCAGGTCTCTGGTAATTTAAATCCTCAATGAACTTTGATCTTCAGTTCAGGAACAAATTAGAACGTGCCTAACCATGAACTAAGAGAATGACATAGAGTCTGAGCTACCCGGTGAGAAATAAAGCTGAGTAAAGAGTAGCAGTTTGGGCAGGGCACGGTGGCTCACGCCTGTAATCCCAGCACTGGAGGGCGAGGCAGGCGGATTGCTTGAACTCAGGAGTTCAAGAAAAGCTTGGGCAACATGACAAAACCCTGTCTCCACAAAAAATACAAAAATTAGCTGGGTGTGGTGGCACACCCCTGTAGTCCCAGCTACTCAGGAAGCTGAGGTGGGACGATCACTTGAGCCTGGGAAATCGAGGTTGCAGTGAACTATGGTTGCACCACTGCACTCCAGCCTGGGTGACAGAGCAAGACTCTGTCTCAAACAAACAAACAAACAAACAAACAAAAAACCAAGAGTAGCAGTTTCAAAGAAATCTCACAGCCCATTCTTGAACAATTTCACGGTTCAAACCCATCAGCAATCCAGTCTCCAGCAATCCAGTCCCCACTTTTAGACTGAAAAGGATTCAGCAGTGAGAGCAGTGAAAACCATTCCCTGAGCCCACCCATACCTGCTGAGTTTGCAGTGCCTCTTTGTAGGAGGGAAATGACACTGTGGCTGGGATGGAGTTTACTAGGGCATGCTAATAAATCCCAGGCCAGATACTTACTGTGTGGGCTTACTAGGAAGATGAACTGCTGATCTATTAAATTTCTAGGGAATGCATCAGAGTATTTAGTTGCAAAATTGTCCAACTAAGTAATTGGTCTATACAATCTACCACTTACTGAAAATTTTCCAGTTACTGTTCTCTAAATCTTTCTATTTTTGGATAGTTAAGTCTAGGAAAGGCCACTTACTTCTTCCGATCTCTGATCCCAGTGAAGATCAGGATGACAATGCCAACCACTATCACTCCCATCACAACTCCAAAAACAATCAGCCATATGGAAACAGGGGGCTGGTTAGGAGGTCCAAGTGTTGGCTGTATCCCCAGAAACTCTAGGCTGTTGTCATTCAGACGGAAAGCATCATTGATACGGCTCCGGGACATCCTATTTGCAAAAGCAAAAAACAGCAAAGGGGACACTTAGACAAAATAAAATTGTGTGTAGTTATTTACTGTTTATATCATTGTTCCTGAAAGGATATAATAGAGCTTATCATAAGAATATACACCTAGCCAGGCATGGTGGCGCATGTCTGTAGTCCCAGCTACTTGGGAGGCTGAGGCAGGAGAATCGCTTGAACCCGGGAGGCAGAGGTTGCAGTGAGCCGAGATTGTGCCACTGCCCTCTAGCCTAGGTGACAGAGCAAGACTCTGTTTCAAAAAAAAAAAAAAGGAATATACACCTAAAATCATAAGAGCAAAGTAAATAGGTCTAATTAAAGATATAAGTCTTTGACAATTATGCATCTTTCATGCCTTGCAACCTAGATTAGGTTCATCAACAGCTCCATTGGAAAATTGAGTTGTAAGTGTGGAAATGTATAAATGGTTGGCATTTATTCATTTGTGACTGCTGTGTTTAAGGGCAAAGTTATCATATTTGGCAAGAATTTCCCTTCTGTCAGAGTACATCTACAATGACTTTATATCAAATAATGGAAACGGATAATTGGATACACCTCTTCTATTATACAAATGAATCAGGTCCTATGACCAAGTCTCTATAGTAGTATTTTCCAAATAAAAGGTATTGGCATTTGGAGGTAGCACTGGGGAGGCACATAAGAAAGGGACCTTTGCCAGTTTCTTCAGCACTGGGATGGGAAATGGCTTACTTTTATGGAGGCAAAAGGATAAAGATTGTTTAAAGAAAAAAAAAAACAATGATATGGAGAACATTCTGGATCAAAGACCAAAGTGTCTGGCATCTCATCTTCCTACCCTTGGGTATAGCCCAGGTCAGGAGGTCAGAGTCCACCAGAGAGAGAGAGAGAGATCAACGCAGAATTAGTCAGGTAACCCCTGGCAACCTCAGCCAGAAAAGATCTGAAAAGAGTCATCCTGGAAACAGAGAGTCTGAGGTCCCCTGTAGCTTGCAGCTGAGTATCCAGGAAGGCTGAGCTTTTTCATAAAGATCTCAGCCAGAAGTTTTTCCCAAGACAGACACAAGTCTTCTGGAGGAAGTGAGTGAGTCTCTGGGCACAGTTGGGTCATACACTCCAACCAAGCCAGATTTTCTAGGCACACCCTGCCCAGCAGGTCTTAGATCTGCTTCCGAAGTTAAACAGGACTCTGACGCAGCTCGAGAGGGCCACCTAGTGAGCTGCCCAGAAGCAGTAGGTATATTAAGCCTTTTTATAATGACAGGAAACCATCTGCAAGGTCAATCCATTCTTCGCTCCTGCTGTCTGTTGTGGGAAACAATTGAGGCAAATTGGACAAACTGTTTCTTCTAAACATTCATTGCAAGTCCCTCACCTAGCATAGAGGCCAAGCAATATGTAAGGAATCCTGTACTTGCCTACCTTGTTTCAGGATTTGGGCAGTTAAATGAATCCTACATCAAAGTCCTGAGAGCAAATGATGGCAATACCTGTCCACGTCCCTTCTGCACTTACTATTTTCCATGAGTTCTAGCCAGACTTTCTTCAACCAGCACCTGCTCCCCTTTACCAGAGAGCATTCTCAGACCACAAGATCTGCCCTGCCTGCAGGGCTGAAATGCTGGGGAATTAATGCCACCTGGAAGCAGTTCTCAGCCAATAACTGATGGGAGGTGGTAAATAAATACCCCAGCTTCCTCAGCCCTCTGATGGGACAATTCAGGTGCACATTCTACACAGTCTCTCCACATTTCCCAGCAGGACTGAGCTCTAGTTGCCCATAGTGGTAACTTGCTTGATAACATGTAATCTATAGTTTTTCTTCCCTTTTGTAAGAGCCTACATCTGGCGGAACTCAAATCAAGATTATTCCCCTGCTGTGGGATCCTTCTGGAATTACGTGGAGTTTGTAGCATGAGGTAACACATGTAAATGACTCAGAATAATGCTTGGCACACAGGAAGAACACACAAAATACTGGTTATTGTTGTTGTATTTGGTAACCCCCTCACCCTTAGATGAAAGTAAAATGTCACCTGATGGCCTTTTCAACTTCAGTTCTAGGAATGATATCAGACACATTTTTAGGTGCAGTGACAAAGAAATTAAAGGAGATTCTTGGTTTCAAATTAGCCACTCGCACATCCTCCTCCCTGTAGAGAAACAAAACAAACATCTTCACTTGTGGCACAGAGGACACAATCAAGAGAATGAAGACTTCCCCTGCTGGTGAAAAGGAGATTAGAGAGAGAATCACAGGATAGAGAGACATGGGGGAGGGCAAACAATGAGAGGATGTAATTGTCAAAAAAAACATTAATGCTGCCCAAAGCACATGAAATCAACTACATAAAAATTGTGATATCAAGTTTTGGCACTATTTGTTCTGCCTTTATATAAAACCCACATCTTTTTCAATTATAGAAAATTTCCAAACTGAAAACAGCAGGAGAATCAACAAGGAATAATCGGTGGCCCAGGATTGTGGCAAACAATGTGGTGGGCAGAAATGGCTGAGTACCACACACGGATTTACACCCACAACCTGGTCCTACCCAGCAGAAAACGTCGTGTTGCACCCATGGATGAAGGTAATGAGTGGGGTCTACCATATGATGTGACAGGACTGTGCTCTCACAGCTGTCAAGCGATCCTAGCACAAAATAAGGTAGATCATGTGGCTCATAGCCCTTGAGTGACTACTCATCTAACTCAGAATAAAAGCCAAAGTCCTTAGAATGGCCTTCAAGGCCCACATGACCTTTTGTCTCTCCCTCCTTCCTCTATGCCCTAACATCGTCCTGGCCATGTCTCCACTTGTCTTCTAATCTGCTCCAGCCACACTGGCCTCCTTGCTGTTCCTTTAACAGGCTGAGGATATTCCTTCCTCAGGGTCTGCACCTGCTGTTTCCCCCAGCTGAGACACTTTCCCCATTGTCTGCATTGCTGGCTCTCGCTCTCGCTCTCTCGCTCTCTCGCTCTCTCTCTCCCTCTCTCCTGCTTCATATACTTGTTCAAGTATTAGTGACGTCTTTTCTGACCATTTTGGTTAAAATTGACCTACCCCCTGCCCAACACACACACACACACACCAGCCCTCCCCAGACCCTTTTATATTTTTCTCCTAGCACTTAGTACCTTGTAACTCTATATTTCACTTACATATTACACACATAGACACATACACAACATACATACTAGAATATAGGTCAATGAAGGCAGGAAGTTCTGCCTTTTTTTTCTTTCAGTGCTGAGGGTGTATGAGAGCATTCTGAGAAGAGAGTGACAGCTGTTTAGTAAGAACAATACTCTTGCAATTTACCAGTCAAATAAGGCACGATCAGCCCTCTATGGAGTCACCCAAATTCCACAATACCAAAGAAGTATAAGTTACTAGGAGATTTTTATCAATTTCACTTGAAGAAAAGTTTAGGCAGAGTATCTCCTCAGACTCAAGAGTAAGAGAAATCCTAGTTGGAGTAATTTGAGAACCCAGCAAATCAACTCACCCAAAAAGAATCATCTGATTTTTTACTTTTAAAAAGTACTGCCTCATAGCATATGCAACAGATGATCGGAACAGGTACATTTCATTGTCGTTCCATTCATACTGCAAATTCAGAAGAAAGACACTGCTCAGAGGGACTCGTAAGACACATTTATAATCTGATACTCCTCAAGAATTATTCTTAATATTCCAGAGATTCTTGCTATTCATTAAGTCAGTGACCTTCAATGTAAGTGTGCATCCGTATCACCTGAAGGGTTAGTTACAACACTGAGTGCTGGGTCCACCCCTAGAGCGTCTGATTCAGGAAGCCCGAGATGAAACCCAATAATTTACATCTCTAACAAACTCCCAGGTGGTGGTAATGCTGCTGGTCAGGCAACCATGCTTTAGGAACCATTGGGTTCACGGGTCCTTTTACTTTAGTTTGATGTAAACTGAAATTAACACCTTGAGTGTAGGTTTACCGATGGGAGTCAAACAAAAGTTGTGGGTTTTGTAGCAAAATGTCTGTACCTTGTGGACAAAATCAGTTTTTACTATTTTTATGGTACGTTCTCAGAAATGTACTTATCTATAAGTGTAAAAGAAAAACTTGACATTCAAATGAAAAATAACACTTTGTAAACAGCAAGCTAATCTGTTTGTTCTTGTTTTCCAGTGCTAAACAAATAGCTTATGTTTGCATAGCTTTTAAAGACTTAAAAGAAAGCATTCACTCTTTCCTCCAGTAGCTGGCAGTAGGAATCAATGAATGGCACTAGTTGTATGTTTCTCCTTTCCCTTTAAAAAATTATAATATTTCACAAAAGAATTGTTACATTCACTTCAGCTTGGTTTCACCGAGGTTTAGAGGAGTTCCTTTAATAGTAATAATATTATTAATATTGTTACTAATAACAGTCTGGCTACTATCTCTATAAATATAAAATATAAAAGATTTTAAAGGCTGAGTTCTCAAAATAATGCCATAGATCCATTGGAATTCACCATGAAATAGTTTGAACTGAGCAGATATTCTGACCCTGTTGTGTAGATGCACTAAATATATGATCTCGTTTCATCAAAACAGATTGTTGCTCAGTGAATTGGCCTCAGAACATTACAGAATCAAACCCCCTGAACACTATTTACCAACCCTCACTGCATGGAAAGAGGATGAGTATAAATGTCAAGAAAAAAGATAATTGAAAATATCCTGATCTGCCGAGACTAATTAAAATGTATTAAGCCAAGGAAGAGCTAATAAAAATATGACAGAGAAATAGTCCCACAATCACCCAATGATTATTATGAAATAGGAACTTGAACTCTTAATGATTGGAAAGAAATGCACTTCCATTTTCATTTTTTCTTTCTTGAATGTTCATCTTTTTACTCCTGAGTTATTTATGTTTTGATGTCTTAACTATGAAAATTATACTAAAAGTGTTATTGAATCTTGGACAATGTTTAACTTTTCAGGAAAGGTAAGGGGGTAGAAACACAATCTTTGGATCTATCCAATGCAGACAACAATTTGCTGTAGCATCTTGGACCATTTTATCCAATAGTCCCAGATTGACTTCTAACCCTGCAAAGCCTTCAGGGTGTCATACCCACTCTCAGGCTTTTGAGCCCCATCTACCCGAGACTACTCTTTCCTCTCCTCTTTCCCAATCAAAGCTACCACTTCCTCAGACTGGATCATCTGAGACAGGTGTTAACGACAGAGCAATAGCTAAGTAAATAATTCACATTAAGGTGTAAATAACATAATTTCCTGTAAAATATTTTGTTACCCCCAAAATGCATTTCCCTAAATAAGTGGTTCTCAAACTTTGCTGTGACTAGAATCACCTGGGGAGCTTTAAACACTCTTGATGCCCAACTCTTGACTCCATACCCCAGAACAATTAAATCAGAATCTCTGGAGGTGTATAACCTAGGCATTAATATTTTTTAAACTTCCCATGTGATTCCACTGTGCAGCCAAGTTTGAGAAGCAGTGTTCTAAATTAGAGCTTCCCAGTCTTGATTGTACGTACAAATCACCTGGAGGCTTGCTAAAATGCAGATTCTGATTAAGTGGTCCAGGGCTAGGCTTGAAATTACGCATTTTTAACAAGCTTCCAGGTGATTCAAATGCTGCTGGACCATGGGCCACACTCTGAGTGAAGCCAGGATACAGGTGATTGACTAAAACAAAACAAACTAAAAAAACCTAACTGTACCGCTTCTAAAAACAAACTACCTTTCAAAATATAACCATATTCTCTTTCTAGAATAAAAGTAATGGTGACGAGAGTCAATTGAAAGGATTGGTATCTGATATTTAAGGATTGATACAGATATTTTCTCATTGAAGTTCATAACACCTTCAAGGCAATAAGAAGTAGGAATAGCTTATCCAATAAGGAATAGGTTACTTTAAAAACCCAAAGCCAAAGGCCAGAATCTGGAACTTATAGTTTTGAAAAGAACCACATGGCCTCTCTTCTTTCAGTTCACACTGAAATGGGTTTATTGTGTCCTATTTAAGTGAAGACTGTGCACTCAAAAATAATCAATTCACTGTCCAGAATACTCACTGCTTTATCTCCAAGAGCTGATTTTAGGCTTATCCTCACTTTGATGCTTTGGTCTGCATCTGATTAAAGAGAAATAGCAGACTGCTGGTTACAGACAACAGATTGCCCACATGTGCTTATTTCCTTTTCCTCCAAAGATCCCACTAAAGTGATAGTAAAGGGATCTTTTAAAGGTATCAACAGGCTTTTGGAAAACGAGAAATGATGAGACAGGGGTAACTGCTTTCTCAGGGACAGGAAGCCATGACCTAATTTGTACACAGAGGAGGCACAGACCCACAAAGAGCCAAAAAATCCAAAAGAGGTTTGGAATTCAAGCACAGGTGAGGGTGGGAAAATAATACTGGGCTGAAAAGAAGAGGAATGGAAGTCAGGGTGTGGTTAAAACCACTTTGGAGAACAGTTGATCCTCCTACCCCTTGTGCCCCTGCTTGGACAGTCTGTGGGAGGCTATGCTCCAGAAAAACAAGAGGTAATCCAAGAAAGAAGACATGGAATCTAGGAAGCAGTGGATTCAACCCAGGAGAACAACAAATGTTGGGAAAGGAGAATATAAGACTCCAAGAGGGAAGTCTCTAGGGAAAAAAAATGAGACTGAAAAGAATAGATATGTTGAAATATTTGGGAGAAAAACAAATACAACGTAGATAGCAAATTAGGTAAGCCGAAAAATTCAGGCAAGTAGAAACTTTGAGACAAACAACAAGCCACATAAGAAAGGACACAAAATAATACATTACTTGGCTCTTCAGGCATAGTGATGTAAACATTGATAACTGTTTTACTAAAAATCATTATAAGGCCTTATTGGAAGAGCAAGAAATGGAAGTGGAAGAGTAGACCAAAACGAAGGTTTAAAACTGAGCAATAACAAAATAGCAATATAAGAAAATTATTTAGAAATATGAAAGTGACTGCCAGAAAGAAGAGATAATAGCATTAAAATTGTTTTAAAAAAAGTATTTGTCTTTGGAAAGCAGGATTCGAGTACAGTTGGTTGGAGACAGTTATAATATGTATTTTAAAGATGAGACTAATAAAACAGACTTGAAAGAGTACACACTCTTGTATGTGTATGCACACATGTGCATGCATCTGTGTGTGTTTGTCTGTACAGTTGCTTTCACTATGTCTCATACATAGGTGCTCAACAGTTGTGATTTTTCTCCCATAAAATGGCAGCTGTCACCATAGCAGAGAAAGAAGCAGGTACTATAGAGAAAGAAACATTCTCAGCTGTGTCACAAGTCCTCATGAGACTGGGGCCAAAGGAGACTAGACGAAGTAGACAAGGAATGGGTGTGAAACTTGTCAACTGGGTGTACTCACATGGACTCCAGTCGGTACTCCATCCCACAAAAGAATTCTTGTTCTGGTCTTTCAGCCAGGTAAATAAGGGCTCAAAGTAGTTGAGCAGTGGCCTTACATTCATGTTCTTTGCTCCTACAACATTTTCCAATGCTAGGGTCCAGGGTTCTGATTTTCCAAGCCTCAGCATATTGCTACACAAAAAAAGGGGGTTCAGGGCCTTTTGAGGGGTTCCAGATGTACATATATTTACATCTATGATCTATGGTTTCTTCTCTTTGACTTGGCTAAATTTGCTTCTGGCAGATAAGAAAAGAATGCATATTAACAGATATATTCCACCCTAAACCGCTCTTTCCTTCCAATTACCAGGAAGAGAGGGCTGTAGTTATGATAGGGAGAAAAGAGGTGGCCCACCCAATTGTTGTATGGTCTAGGTTCCTGTCTGACCACAAATTAAATGTTTGGTTTGTAAATGAGGACATTTTGAGGCCATAAAATTTTCTTTTTAGAACAAAGAAATCAAATACAAACCTAGGCATGGAAATGAGTAATACTGAATACTAGGAGAGGTTCAACATTTTGAGGTATTTCTTACAACAGTTTCTGTCCAGCTTCTGTAGAGTTTGAGATGTCACATTTGTGCAGAGGGCCTTCATGTTTAGCTGCTTGACAAAGTGCTTCTTGAAACTGGAATTGGTAAAGGGTCCTTGTGTAATATCTGCACAGGAGACAAAGCAACAAAAAAGCAGTCCCGTGTTTACTTACTGTCTTAGAGTTATAGATTAGGGCATATATTTAAATCTGGAGCCCAAGTAACCAAAGAGATACTGATCAAATCTCTGAAATCTCTTTCTCCAGACATGAACTCTACACTCATCATAACCTATTTGTGTTTTATGTATCTGTTGATAAACATGGCAATATTACTCTGTTAAATGTTAGCTAACATTTGTTTTGTGTTTTACAGATTAATAGCCCTTTCACATAAATGATGCAAATCCATCCTTATAACAGGTCGATAATATTATTTTCATTTTACAAATAAACTGAGCTCCAGCAAATTCAAGGACTGGGGTTACTAGGTGAAGAACATATGTTTTTGGACTTCAAGTTAAAAATTCTCTATCACAATGTACAATAAACTGCCAGTAACAAGAAGACAAAACTACTTTTTATTTCTCCCAATGATACTATTGATTGCTGATGACGGGGACAAGATCTTACACAAGTTTAATTTAACCCAATAAATTGTGTTAGTTTAAATTGAATTGAAATTGATCATCTATACAGACAGTTCCCAACTTACAACGGTTGGACTTTTGATTTTTCGACTTTACAATAGCGCTTTCAGCTGTATATGTTAATGGTAAGTACCCAAAGTTTTTCACTTTCAGCACAGTATTAAATAATTACATGAGATATTGAACACTTTATTATAAAATAAGGTTTGTGTTAGATGATTTTGCCCAACAGTAGGCTAATGTGAGTGTTCTGAGCATGTTTAGGGTAGACTAGGCTATGCTTTGGTGTACCATAGGTTAGGTGTATTCAGCGCATTCTTAAGGTATTTTCAACTTATGATGAGTTTATTGGGATGTAACCCCATTGTAAAGCAAGGAGCATCTGTATTGAGCTTGGTAGTTATGGGTGGAAATAGAAAAATTATAATTATCACTTCATTTATCCCTACTTTTTGTCGTTATTAGCACAGCTGTCCACAAACCCTAGAAGTTAAACAGAAACAAGAAAACTGTAATTTACCGAATGAATGAGTAATCATTAGAAACATGGAACAGAGATGCGGGGTCACAGTA
Organism: Homo sapiens; assembly: GCF_000001405.40. Taxonomy (NCBI): domain Eukaryota; kingdom Metazoa; phylum Chordata; class Mammalia; order Primates; family Hominidae; genus Homo; species Homo sapiens. The sequence goes on from NC_000023.11 coordinate 15,573,420, forward strand.
TGTTTCATCATGGGGCACAGGTTCCACCACCCCAACTATCTCTCGCCTTTGGGGAGAAAAGAAAACAATACATTAGCTGTGGATCACCCATCACAAGCATCACAAGCAGGTGGGCATAACTAGTGCAGTTTCATCAATCAAATTTTTTTTTTTTTTTTTTGAGACAGGGTCTCACTCCGTCACCCAGGCTGTAGTGCAGTGGCACGATCTTGGCTCACTGCAACCTCCGCCTCCCAGGTTCAAGCGATTCTCCCATCTCAGCCTCCCAAGTAGCTTGGTTTATAGGTGTGCACCACCACATCTAACTAATTTGTGTATTTTTAATAGAGACAGGGTTTCACCATGTTGGCCAGGCTGGTCTCGAACTCCTGGCCTCAAGTGATCTGCCCACCTCGGCCTCCCAAAATGCTGGAATTACAGGTGCCACCGTGTCCAGCCAATCAATGGTATTTACATTAGAAATGGTTGTTGGGTGAAATAGAAACAATGTAAAAAAAAATCACCTACAAAAATAAAAAATAAATAAAAATTTTTAAAAAATCAGACAGTAAAGCTCATTATGTAGTTATCTCTTAGTTTTAATTAATTCAGCCAGAATATACCCTTGGAAAATAGCTATGTCTTCAAAAGACTAATTTAATAACATTCATAAAGTGCATTGCATGGCCAAAAATGTACAGTGAAAGCCCTAATAATTCCTCTCAGGCACCACACTTCATGTACTCCTGGCAGAGAGAATTTAATAAAATTGAAATCTTACTTATTCTCCACGCCTACCTAGCTCAAGTGTTCCCTCCTCTGTGAAGCCTGGCCCTGATCCCATCCACCTTCTGGCAGAATTAACCCCTCAATCTCCTTTAGCCTTCTCTAGTTGTGCCTCCTTTGCCATTTATCTCCCCGTTTTGTAGTTATTCAACTATAGTAACTTCCTGCCCTAGAGACTTGAGCTCCTAGAGGGTGGGGCTGTGTCTTGGTCTTCTCTCTAATTCCAGTGTCAAACATGGTGCCTGACACTACAGAAAGAATTAATTTATATTTACTGAACAAAGGAACAATTGATGCATTAATGAATCACTCTAAGGATCTGATTCCATGTGCCTTTAAAATAAGCTAAGAGGGGTCAAAAGATTAATCCAACCAGAAAAAAAGGTAGCAAAATCATGTATTTGGCTTTGATTAAATGGAATACATTTTTCCTTTAAAATTGCAGGATCATTGTAGACATAACTTCAGTAATATTTAAACACTGGCAACAGTTCTTATAGGTGCTGCGTCTTTCCTCCCAAGTACGATTTATGTTAACAGAGAGAATCTTGACAGAAGAAGTGTACTGTTTTAAACCTGTGCATGTGGAACTGCTTGTTACACATGAGTTCTTCACTTCAAAAAGAAAATATAAGAAAAATAAAGAAAGAAATAATTGACCAGGGTCTATGATGGTAAAAAGAAGATAGATTTCTTTCTTGTTTCCATTCTCTCCCTCCCTCTCTCCTTTCTTTTTTTCCTTCTTTTTCTTTTTCTCTTATAATTCCTTCCTCCAAAAACCTATTTATTTCATACTTGCATGTGACAGGCACAGTGTGAGGCACTTGTGACACAGCAATAAGTAACGTAGTGCTGCAACCATGGAAATGGTCACTGTTGCCCAAATGTGTCAGGTTCTCTCTAGCTTGGAATTCTCTGTGTTCCCCTCTACACCCACACCTTTCTCAGGGCTTAAATGCCTCTCCTCATCTGACACCCCCAGTTGGGCTTTGGATCTCCCCTGGACGCTAACGGACCCTGTACCCTCCCATCACAACACTACAAATTGCAGTGGTTTAATTTTCCACATCCTGCCATAAACTAAACGTTTTTTGGGGTTGAGGACCATACCTGAAATTATTAACATTGGATCCCCAGTGCTTTGCCTAAAATGTGGGGTCACCGTTTTGTTTAAAAGGCTGGATAAAAGAATATGTAAAATGAATAAATTGATCACTTTCAACATAATATCATAGTTTAATGAGTAAGCCAATACTTAAGAATATAGAGTATGAAGTAGTGTCACCTGACCCAAGGAAATTTTATCTGAGGAGATGGTATCCAAATGGAGACTAAAATATAAAATATAACAAACTAAAAATACAAAAAGTAGTTAGTTAATGTGTGCCTCTGTGTGTGTGTGTACACGCCAGTCAAATGCTTTTAAATACACAGCAAACTCATTAGAAAACATTTTACTGATTGCATATTCATTGACTTACTTCATCTCCCACCACTTTTTCATCCACTGGTCTTTGGGAATTTCCCCTTTAAAGACCATCCACCTCCACTTCTCTAACATGTAAGTAAATGGCAGAGTCCCAACAATCGTGAGTGCTTGTTTGAGCAGGAAGTTTATTTCTGTTTCTGAAAGTAAAATAGAAAAGGATAAATATTACGATGAAGATGACAGTGGATGTTTTGTGTTAAAGAGAATTTTCCTAACCTCAAAATATTATTCCTCAAGATGTACTTACTATAAGGATACATGAGAAAAATTGACAGTATTCATAATGATATGTATATATTTATTTTCTCAGCTAAGGGATTTGGAGTAGGTTGAAGCCCTGGAACAGAACAGGTAAATAAAACCCAAAGTTACTTCTAATCCTCATTTTCTTCATTAGTTTCAGTTTCCTCCCTTAAATACCTCTTATCAGAGTTCATTAGAGCTATTTCATCCACTTTCCCAGTCACACTGTTTATTCTGGAAAGCTCCATGAAGTCAGTGACTGTTAATGTCTCATTTAAGACTGTATAACTTAGTCCCATGTCTGCTACGTGATGCCTTCTGTGAGTCTTTGTTAAATAAACAAATACTAAACAGATTCAGTGAAAAGCCTGTAAACCAGGGAGGGGAAATGAAACAAAAGAGCCCTCCTGGAGGGCACTATCCACTGGATGGTGAAAAGTACAATGTACTTTAAATGTAAGGATATCTTCCTTACCAAGAATTTAAAATGCTTTAACAAATCATGTTATTTCATTTTATCCTTTATTAGTGACATAAAGAGGCAGTGGAGTTCATCTCTAGTGTATGAAGGAAATGCATTGAAATGTAAGCAGGGGATGTTATCTACTTTTCACATCACTGTGTCTCCAGTGTCTAGAAAAATGTCTTGCACACAGTATGTGCTCGATAAATATGTTTGGAAGAAGAAAGAAAGAGAAAGAGGGAGGGAGGAATGGAAGGAATAAAGGAATTTATTTAACATTATTCACAAATCAGGGGCAGAGTCAAGAAAAAAAGCAGGAGTTTTCCAAACCGGTGGTTTAACCATGTCTAATACTATCTTTTTTATAAAAAAAAACAAAAAAAGCTTTTATTTTAGGTTTAGGGGTATGTGTCCAGGTTTATTATATAGGTAAACTCGTGTCATGGGGTTTGTTGTACAGATTATTTCATCACTGATCTAATATCATCTTAAGAAACATAGTCATCAACCATTTTTACCTGCTGTCAGGGAATATTTAAAAATAATAAAATATCTGTTCATTGACTTGAATTAATGATATTTTAAAATTAGGAAGCAGGTATGGTTACTGTTAACTACCTTTGTTTGTTACTGTCTTCATGGGAGGATGCTGCTACTGGTCTGTAATCCACTAGGACTGTGCTTACAGTAACTATTTCAAACATGATGATAGGCTTTACACTGGCTCACTCCCAGGCCCTTGTGGGATCACCAAGTATCTGGAACCAGAGATCAAGGCAAAGTGAATTGTCTACTCAAGGATGGAGCTCATGACCTTGACCTCATCGACCAAATGCTCCAGACAGAGGAGCTGATCTTTATGTCACAAATAACTAAAAATAGGGGAGAGAATATACAGAAGAGAAGAAGGTATTAGGCTCTATTTGTCCTCCATTTATGAGGAAGAATCAAAAGCCATGGCATCCTCACTGAAGAAATTGGATCTCCTGAACATTTGTCATGTTCCATCAAGTCCAAGGCATCTAAAAGGAAATGGGCTGCCTCAGGCAGAAATGTTGAAGGATAGCACAGATCTAAGGGGATGTTACAGGGGAAATTCACGCTTCAGCAGGATGAACAAAATGTTTCAATCCCTTCTAATCTTGATATTAAACACCTGTTCTTTAAGAATTCCAAAATTTAAAGCTACACTTTGCTTTGCATAATATTATGGAAAAGACTTTAGATTAGGGCTCTTGTTCTGGTTCCGCCACTACATTGCGTTTTGACTTCGGGCTACTTTCCCTCTCTTGTCTTCAGTTTACTCCTCTATAAAATGGTTTTTAGAATATATTCCAACTCTAAAGTTTTGGGAAGTTTTTACCTAGAACCAGAGGGGTCTAGTTAGAATGCTGACACTAATTGGACAAGCCATTTCAGTTCTGTGAGACTGTTTCATCATCTTTAAGAAAAAAACTTCTGTTAGATATTTCACAGGATCCCAAGTCCATTCATTCAGTTACCTCTCTTATTCCCTTTTCAATAATACAAAACCAAAAGTTGACATGTTCTGATATATACTTAAATTTTTTCACCAGTAGTAATTTCCAGTTACCCATAAATACCTCATACCTTATGTGGCAAAAAGTAAATATTTCCTACATAATAAATACCTTTTCCCATATCAGATTAAAGAACCTCCAAAACAAGCCATGAGAAAATGTCCATACCATTGTCTTCTTGAAAATCGGGTGACAGAAGACCAATGGATTTTAAATGCTTAGGTGTGGCTGCAGAAAGTGACATGATTTCCCCAACAGCTTCATGGAATCCTTCATTAGCTCCATTTCTTAGCAGAAAAGGTTGTGCAGCATATGCCATATCATACTGGATATGCCCCATCTCATGATGAGCTGTCAGGAAGTCGTCCATTGTCACCTTTGTGCACATAAGGATCCTGCATGAAAATGGACAAGATGAAAATGAATCTCACTGACTTTCATTTAACCATTACAGTGGAGTTGTATGGGGTTTTGGTAGCATGAATCATCTTTCCAAGATTTATTCACCAGTGAATCTTGAGTACCCACCTCTTATGTCCTAGAGACAATACTAGTTGCTCAATATAAAGCAATGGGCACAGCTGAATCCTGTTCTCTTGCTCATAGACTAACAGGAAGACAGATAAGCAGAGTTCTCCGCTACAAGAACTCTGAGGCAAGTACTCTATAAGTGATCAGTACACACAGCCTTGAGCGTAAAAATGAGTGAATGTAGGCACAGTTCCCTAGAAGCACCAAGAAGGGCATGACTGAGGATACAATGAGCAATTTGGACCTTAATCAATGTGCAGGAGTTTGCCCGGTAGATGACATGGAAGTTGACGTTCTAGTGCTCAATGAGAAAGGCTTAGGGGCAGGGGGGTGGAAATGTGGCATTCAGGACACTGCACGCTGTTTGGTATTGCCAGGATAGAGAAATAGTAGAAGGGGCTGCAAATTGAAACTTGGGAATCATTAGCATGTAAGTTGGGAAATAGATATGATGGGCCATGGAACAGGAATAGAATGCAAGAAAAGAGGACCAAAGATAAACCTTTAGAAGGTCCAAGTACCTAAGGAGTGGGGAGAGGAAGATTATTCAGGGGAGACGGAGAAAGTACAATCAGAGAGGTCAAGGAAATCTGGAAAAGAATGACAATGTGGAAGTCGGTTAAAAAAAAAAAGCATTTGAAAGACAACTTGTAAATCTTGTCTAATGCTGCTATAGCCCAGTGGGATAAGAACTGCATTTGGCAATGAGATGGTGGTCCTTTTTAACTTAGCAAGAGCATTTTCATTCAGATGGGTGTAGGGGTCATACATCAGTAGATTCCTAAATGTATTTCATACCACTTGGATCATGTCACCACCCCCTCCAATATCCTGCGAGGCCTCCTCATTGCTCAAGAATAAACTCAGCCACCTTTTATACACCAATATGACCCTGTAAACCAAAAACTATTTGAGATAGGTCTCAATCAATTCACAAGTTTATTTTGCCAAGGTTAAGAACATGCCCAGAAGAAAAGAACACAGAATTTATAGAAACAGTCTGTGGTTTGTGCCTTTCTCCAAAAATAATTTTGAGGGCTTCAACATTTATAGGAGAAAAGTGAGCTGGAGAGGATAGTGGGAGGGCATGGTAATTCACACATTGCAAGAGAAAGGGGGAAGGTAAGGAAATATTCAGTTATGTATTCATCTCATGCTCAGTAAATCTATTTTCCTTTCACAACCCCAACCTACTTTTCTAATTTGGTTTCTCTCTATTCTCTTTTGAAATAATTATAAAAATAACTACTATATATTTACCGCCTACTGTATGTAAGATTCTGTGCTTGAAAACTTACTTATACTTTCTCATTTTTAAGCCTCACTCTAGTACTGGCATCAGTAAACTATGGCCTGCTGGCCAGCCATTGTTTTTATAAATAAATTTTTATTGGCACACAGCCACATCCATTGGTTTGTGTATTGTCTATGGCTGTTTTCATGTCACAAAGGCAGAGCTGAGTAGTTGTAACAGAGATCTGCAAAGCTTAAACTATTTACTATCTGGCCCTTTACAGAAAAGGACTGTAGATCCAATCCCTACCCTAGTCAATGCTGGTGCGGGCCTGCCAAGACTTTATCCACCATCCCCTAGCTGCCTGAGTCACAGCTGATAAGGGCCTACAGCTGCTCCCTTCACTGCCTTTGGCTAAATGGGGGTTATGCTCCCCCATACTCTGGGGCAGTCCACAGCCAAAGACTGCCTGATATAAAAGGCTAGCCCCCTTGTCTTGAGGTGTGGCCTAGTCTGTGGCTCAAGTTATGCTCCAGAGAGCTTCATGGGATAAGGCTGAGGCCAAGTTTCCAGTAAAGATCACATTCTTACTTACCTCCCTCCTTTGTCCCAGCCTGCTTCCCTCATTCCCCTCTGCCTCAGAGCTCTCCTCAATGAAGCACTTGTAAAACGATCTCCTTTTCAAGCTAGGGAATCCAACCTAAGGCTCTCACAAGCCTGCAACCTGGGAATTACTATTCTACTTTATAAAATAAGGAAACTGAAACCAAAGAAAGTTAAATACCTTGTCCAAGGTTGCATAGTCATTAAGTGACACACCTAGGATTCTGAAGCCTGTGCTCATTCTGCCACATTACACAAACTCTCCTTCACTTATTTCTCATTCTAGCCTAACTTGCCGACTTCAGTATGCAGGTCAGGTCCTGCCTCTCTGTATTTGATCCTGCTGTTCTCACAGCTTGGGTCCTCCTCCCGACTCTGTGTATCTGAATCCTTCTTGTCTTTCCAAACCTAATTCAAATCCCACTTGTAAAGCACGGTCTGATCCTATCTCCTATTGCAAATGTGGTCAGTTTTCTTCCAGTTCTCCATAGAGCATGCCCTGTGTCTCTCTTACGACATGTACCACTTTCTCCCTTCGATCCAAGCGTATTTATTCACCTATTCTGTCTCATTCACAAGAGTGAAACATGGAGGGGAAGATCAATGTGTGATTCATATGTCCATCTTCCAAAAATCTTAGCACCAAATCTTTCCTGATATGGGTGCAACCATCCCCATTACCATACAACGCCAATGGATGCATGATATTTCCAAGAAAGCAGATTGTCCACAGGTTCAAGTTAGAGCCTGCTGGCAATCCTCTTTTCCTGGGAAAACCCAAATGTGCTCTCCTGGACTCCCAGCCTTAGTTCAAGGAGAATTAACTTATCTTTTCTGTGCTCAGAAAAGCAGAGAAAGAATTCAAGTTAAACTTCAGCCTGCCTCTGTTGTCTCCCATTTAGTATCAGTTGTGTAAGTATCAGCCCCACTACCTGAAGTCGCCCTTCCCCAGGTCCCAAGCTGTGGGATGGCAGACTGCTTTCTGAACATTTCCTGGGTCCGTTAGCATGGAATTTTCCCAGAATCCTTGAGTCATATTAGGAAGACCAACAGATACAAAGAACTTCTCGGCCTCCTTGAATATTCTCTGTGCATCCCAGGCCTGGGAAAAGAGAACAGTATTAATTCCAGCATCAAAACAACAGCATTCTTAAATTAAATAAGCCAGGCACCGAAAAACAAATACCACATGTTCTCACTTATGTGTGGAATCTAAAACAATGGAACTGGTAGAAGCAGAGAGTAGAATGGTGGTTACAGAGGCTATGGGGTGGGGGCAACGGGGAGATGATGGTCAAAGCGTACAAAGTCTCAAACAGGATGAATAAGTTGGTTTTATTTTTTTGAGATCTACTGCACAGCATAGTAAATATAGTTAATAATAGAACATTGTACATTTTGAAATTGCTAAGAGAGTAAATTTCAAATGTTCTCACTGCAAAAAAAGTATGTGAAGTAATTGATATGTTAATTAGCTTTATTTATTTTTCATTGTATTCATAAATCATGAAATCACCTTGTACCCCATAAATATATACAATAATAAATGTCAATTTACAATAAAATTTTAAAATGGAAAAAAGTGCTAATGTCATTTTTAAAATAGCAGCATTATTTCTGTTGGATATATACATTGGCATAACCTTTCCAAAAGGTAATTTGATAACACACACGGATAGCATTTGAAATTCTTCTCTTTGTCTCAGTAATGCTGTCTCTAAGGAACTAACCTAAAAAATTATCAGAAATTAGATTCAACAATTACATTGAGAATTATTTTTAATAGAGAAAAAGTTGAAACGAACATCAGAATGGTTAAATAAATAATGATACCTTTGAAAAATAGAATAATGTGCAGCCACCCAAATTATATTTATGAAAAATTTTTTGGTTTATATCCAAAAGACAGGCAATAACAAATGCTGATGAGGGTGTGGAGAAAAGGGAACCCTCCTACACTGTTGGAAGGAATGTAAGTTAGTACAACCACTATGGAAAACAGTTTGGAGGTTCCTCAAAAAAGTAAAAATAGAGCTACCATATGATCCAACAATTCCACTGCTGGGTATATACCCAAAAGAAAGGAAATCAGTATTTTGAAGAGATATCTGCACTCCCATGTTTGTTGCAGCACTATTCACAATAACCAAGATTTGGAAACAACCTAAGTGTCCATCAGTAGATGAATGGATAAAGAAAATGTGGTACACATACAAATTGGAATACTATTCAGCCATAAAAAAACGAAATCCTGCCATTTGCAACAACGTAGATGGAACCGAAGGTCATTATATTAAGTGAAATAAGCCAGGCACAGAAAGACAAACATTACTTGTTCTCACTTATTTATGGCATCTAAAAATCAAAAGAGTTGAACTCATGGACATACAGAGTGGAAGGATGGTTACCAGAGGCTGGAAAGAGTAGTGGGAAGGTGGCAGGGGCAGGTGAGGATGGTTAATTGGTACAAAAAAAACAGAAAGAATGAGGCTGTGTGATTTGTGACTTTGGGCAAATCATTTACCTGAGCCTCAGTTTCCTCACCTATAGCATGGAGCTGTCACAATACCTATCCTGAGTCAGAGATGACAATAGAAGAGACGGGTGTAAAAACCCTTTAGAAAGACTAAAAATCTACATCAAGATGGCCCTATACTGCTGCTCAACTTCAAAGTGGAGCTACAACAGCTACAAGAGTTTAGAGGCCCTTGCAGTTTCACTTTTTATTCTGCAGTGGACTTTTCCCAGGAGTATGTTATGTATGTGAAGATGTTCATTGCATTGCTTCTTACAGATGTAAAACTATTAACAAGCAAAGGTTCAGCAATGCACAAATAGTAAATTATGGTGCAATTATCTGAAGAAATTTTATAAGGCAAATAGAAATATGATTAGATATTCTACTCAGAAACGTAGAATTTTAGTTGAATGAACAAATATACATAATTATAACTATAATACCATTTCATCAACAGAAGGGAACACAGAGAATTTTTTTTTTTGAGACAGAGTCTCACTTTGTCACCCAGGCTGGAGTGCAGTGGCATGATCTCGGCTCACTGCAACCTCTGCCTCCCGAGTTCAAGTGATTCTCCTGCCTCAGCCTCCTAAATAGCTGGGACTACAGGCGCACACCACTATGCCCAGCTAATTTTTTTTTTTTTTTTGTATTTTTAGTAGAGACGGGGTTTCACCATGTTGGCCAGGCTGGTCTCGATCTCCTGACCTCGTGATCCACCCACCTCGGCCTCCCAAAGTGCTGGGATTACAGCTGTGAGCCACCGTGCCCGGCCTGATAATTTTTTAATTTTAATTTTAATTTTAATTTTAAATTCAGGGAGTACATGTGCAGGTTTGTTACAAGGGTATATTGTGTGATACTGACGTTGGGTTTCTATTGGTCCTATCAACCAGATATGAACATAGTACTCAATAGGAAGGTTTGTACTTCTGTGGGATCAGTTGCAATGTCACCTTTGTCATTTCTGATTGTGCTTATTTGGATCTTCTCTCTTTCTCTGTTAATCTAGCTAGAGGTCTTTCCATCTTGTTTATCCTTTTAAAAAACTGACTTTTCATTTTGTTGATCCTTTGTATGATTTTTTAGGTCTCAATTTCATTAATTCTGCCCTGATTTTAGTTATCTCTTTTTTTCTAGCTTTGGAACTAGTTTGTTCTTGTTTTTCTAGTTCCTTTAAGTGTGGTGTTAGATTATTAATTTGATATCTTTCTAGGTTCTTGATGTAGGCATTTAGCACTATAAACATTCCTCTTAACATTGCTTTTGCCACATCCCAGATATGTTGTTGGTATGCTGTGTCTCTGTTTTCATTTGTTTCAAAGAATTTTTTGATATCTGCCTTAATTTCATTGTTTACTCAAAAGTCATTCAGCAATAAGTTGTTCAGTTTCCAGGTTATTTCATGGTTTTGAGAGTTCCTCCTGGTATTGATTTCTATTTTTATTCTACTGTGGTCTGAGAATATGTTTGGCATAATTTTAATTTTTTGAATTTATTAAGACTTGCTTTATGACTGAGCATGTTGCCAGTCTTAGAGTATGTTTCGTATACAGATGAGAAGAATGTATATTCCATAGCTGTTGGGTGGAATATTCTATAGATGTCTCTTAGGTTCAATTGGTCAAGTGTCAAGTTTAAGTCCAGAATTTCCAGAATTTCTTTGTTAGTTTTCTGCCTCAATGATCTGTATAACACTGTCAGTGGGGTGATGAAGTCCCCCACTATTATTTTCTGGATGTCTAAGTCTTTTCCTAGGTCTAAAAGTGCTATGTTTATGAATCTGGATACTCCAATGTTGGGTGCATATATATTTAGGATAATTAAGTCTTCTTGTTAAATTGAACCCTTTATCATTATGTAATGACCCTCTTTGTCCTTTTTTACTGTTGTTGGTTTAAAGTCTGTTTTATCTGATACAAGAATAGCAGCCCCCTGCTCTTTTTTGTTTTCTATTTGCATGATAGATCTTTCTGCATCACTTTACTTTGAGCCCATGGGTGTCATTACACGTGAGATGAATCTCGAAGACAGTAGAAGGTTAGGTTTTGTTTTTCTCTCCAATTTGCCACTCTCTGTCTGTTAGGTGAAGCGTTCCTGTCATGCTGTTGTTAGCTGGTTGCTTTGTAGTCTCGATTGTGTAGTTGCTTTATTGGGTCCATGGGCTATGTACTTACTTGTGTTTTGAGGAACCTAGCACATTTAAATAATTAAACCAAAGTAGTAATAAAGATGTTACTTAAAATTGTTTTAAAGATTCTTGTAATATTTTTAACACTAATAATTTTTTAAATATGCAAAAATCCCCTCATAATATTCTTGTTTTTACTATCCATAGAGATTACTGGCTGGTTACTTAGCAATGACAAACTTTGGAATGAGTGATACCAACCAGTTGACAATTCTACATCTTACCGCTTAATGGAAAACTCAGGTAATCTCCATTTCAAATACCTTTCAATGAGATCAATACTACACCTGCAATTCAAGTTATCTGAGGCCATTGTAAACTGCTTTTCCATGAAACTATAGCTACATAAGAAATAAATTTCAATTAGCTTAAATTTTTTATTTACATGGTTTCACATAAAAATAAAAATAGAAGGATGACATAAAAATAAATGAAGTTGAGAATTTAGATTTAGTTTTTAAGGGCTCTTTTTCCTACCTGGTCCACCATTGCATCAGTAACATCTATGTTTGGTTTCTGTCCAAAGGGAACTGTCAAAGAGTACAGATTTGTCCAAAATCTACCCCACATATCACCTATATTTAAAAAAGAATCTGTTAGTATATGACAACACAGCAGAAATGTAGACATAATTTATTAAATATATGGACCATCATTGACACTGTAAATTAGAAAGAGATTTCTATAATCTACCATCCATGGTACAAAATATTACAAATTAAGCTGTTAGTAATTCCTAGTGTTGGCTTCAAAAGAGATCATATAAGATCATCATTCAGGAACTTCTACTAACTGGTAACTAAATTCCACTTTTATTCCTATATTCGTGTACTTAACTTGGTGACTTTGTAAACATCTCAAACAAATGTTAAGTTGTATTCCAAGGCCAGGGACCATAAAAAAGAAGATGTATCTAGAAAAAGTCAATCCAAGAGCAGGACCAGAATCCTGGTGCCAAAAAAATGGGGCAACAAACTTCATGAAGAGTACTCCTGTAATCCCAGCACTTTGCAGAGCTGAAGCAGGCAGATCACTTGAGATCAGGAGTTCGAGACCAGCCTGGCCAACATGGTGAAGCCCTGTCTCTACTAAAAATACAAAAATTAGCTGGGCATGGCGGCTTGAGCCTGTAATCCCAGCTACTCAGGAGGCTGAAGCAGGAGAATCGCTTGAACCCAGGAGGCAGAGGTTGCGGTGAGCTGAGATCAGCCACTGCACTCCAGCCTAGGCGACAGAGCGAGACTCTGAAAAAAATAAAAGTACTCCCTAAACTTATATTTTAAAACATAAAATTTAGTAGTGATACATGTGAAGTCCTATGCTTAAATTTTAAAGAAAAACCTATCCATCATAAAAACATATATGTGACATCAGGCTAAAGCACAGTCCACATGTAAAAGACCAAAAATGAGCCAACAAACAGTATGACCTGGCTTCTAAAGCATAAATGTGAACTTGAGCTAAATCAATAGAAGTATAGTGTCTAGAACAAAGGTAGTCATGGTACCATGTCTTTCTTTATGTTGGTCAAACCTCATCTGGAGTAACTGTTCATCTCTAAGCATGATAATTGAGGAGGGACATTGACAAAGTACAGCTCATTGAAAGGAGAACAATTATAGAAAAGTGAGGTTTTAAGGAATGGTTGATAATGTATAAGATATTTAACTTGACAAAAGAAAATAGGGTAAACATGACAATAACAATAATAGTCACTAAAATGTATTGCACCAGGTACTATGCTGTATCTTATATGATGGTTCTTTATGAATATCTGGAAGGTCATCTTGTAGAATAGGAATTGACATTCTGGGTAACCTCATAGCATGGAAATAGGGCTAATGAATGGAAGGCATCAGAGGGGTGTTGCTTAAGTTCCACATAAGGTAGAATTGTATTACATTGGTTCCATGTAGCAGTAAATTAGTCTATATTGGAATGAAGAAATTATCCCATCACACCAGACAGGTTTAAGCAGAAACTGAATTACTAAATAATGCTTGCCATTGACATTGTAGGAAGGATTTCCATATTACTTTAGAGTTAAAAGCCTCCACAGGTCCTTTCTCCGCATTCTCTCCTGCTGACAGACACGAGGTATGGCTGTGGAGGAGATTAGCTTCCAGCAACTTAGTTTGACTACAGTAGAAATGCTATATATGCATGGCATGAAATTTTCAAATATTTATATTTTATTTGGCCTCAGCTGCTGCGGTGGGAGAGGGGAAGATGGTCACTTTCATTCATTCTTCACTTATACGATTCCAAGCCAAGCACTTTTCAGCAAGAGTAATTGGTGAAGTCTAGAATGAACTTAGGAAGCTTTCGCTCAAGCTATAACCTTCTGTTACCCCTGACCACCCCCAGCCAACCAAGCTCTGACAATATGATACTAAAATCTCAAATTCCACCTTAAGAGCTTAGCCAATCAACTTGAATACTAAAAATTATTTTCCCCATTTCCACTCTCATTTGAGCCTGTAATTCTTTCTCTAGTTATCTTAAATAACCCCTTTATCATTTGAATTGCAGCCAAAATAATAACTCTTTATGTACAAAAAAAGTAATACAATAGAGAATTGTTTAAAATAGACTTTTGGTTGAAGAAAATGCTTTCAAAATGCGATTTCTACAATGTTACTAACCACTTACAGAATTTTTCAAAAGTTTTATGTTAAGGCTCACTCAAAAAGGCAATTTTATTGTTAGAAATAACAAAGAGCCAAGTACACGAAGAATTCATGGGGCTTCTTACCAAGCAAATGAGCAGGGAGGCATCCAATTGGACTGATATAGGAAGGATAGGCATTCATCAACTTTGCCCTCACATAGGCATGAAGATGTTCATATAATGGTTTAATCTGAAAAGCCCAGGAAGAAAGTTTAAGACAAAGAGTAACCAATTCTAATTTCCATTCCACAACACTAGAAATAGGAGATTCTTTAAACAAGTAGAATTTCCCCAAATTATAATTCTTCTTCTCTCAAATTTCTGGAAAATTTAAAAGTATTCCTTCTTCCTAGAACTTGATGATAACTCCACTGCATAAACCAATAAACATACTTGGGAGAACACAGGTCCCAAAATAAAAGCAGATGCAAAAAATATATATTCATTTTTAAGATTGTTACCTACTTCCTTTGTTTTTACATTGAGGTATAATTTACATACTATAAAAGCCACCCATTTTCAAGTGTGTAGTTCCATGAGTTTCAATAAATTAAAACTACCGGGAAACCATCACCACTATCTAGTTTTTTAATATTTCTATAACCACAAAAGGTTTCTTGTAGTCAGTTCCACTCCTATCTCCGGCTACTTTGAGTATATCAGAGTCTGTTTATTCATTCACTAGTTGAAGGACAGCTGGGTTTTCCAGTTTGGGGCTATTATGAATATTGCTGCTATGAACATTTGTGTATGTCTTTCTATGGATAAGGACACATGTTTTCATTTATTTCATATAGAAACCTAAGAGTCATGGTAAGTGTGTGTTTAACTTTTTAAGAAATCGCCAAACTGTTTTCCAAAGTGACTGCCCCATTTTACATTTCTTCCTGCACTGTAAGAGGGCTCCAGTGTCTCCACATTCTCCCCAATACTTGGTATTGTCCATCTTTTTAATCATAGCTATCCTGGTGGGTGTGGAGTGGATTTTCATCATAGCTTTAATTTGCATTTCCCTAATAACTTTTTATTTGCCTATTTGCCATTTGTGTAATTTCTTTGATGATGTACTTATTCAAGTCTTCTTCCCATTTCCTTTTTGGGGAGTTGTTTGTCTTACTTCCATTTTTGATAGCTCTGCCAAACTATGGCTGTGACAAGGTAACTCACATCAGAAGTTTGAAGGTTCACGTAAAGGGGAGGCATGGGGCCAAAATGAAGGAAAAACATCCATGGGACATTTCTGTTCACAAAACTCTCTCTTCCCTATGAAGACTAGCTTACTCAAAGTAATAGTATCAATTGTCCTGAGGAAGAAAGCAAAGTCCATAGCTCTGCTAACACAGGAAGACAGTGCCAGCCCCAGGTAGCTCAAGAAGATCATTCCTACTTATAATCTAAAGGACCATTTGTTCTTATAATATTTCATTCTTATAGTCTTTCTATTGGTAATTAATGGTCAGTGACTGAAAGAAGGAGGAAAGCAGCGCAATTCTGATCATCTGTAGGGGCTGTCCTATTATTCTCTAAAATCTTTCAAACTCTAATATTCCATAACTTTATGAGGCCTGGGAATGGCTGACCAATGTGTTAAGAATGAGCCAGAATGCCTTTAGTCACTGTCCCTCTTTCCCATACACTGCCCCACAACTGTTTGTGTGTACAGTTCCTTGCTTACCTCTTCAAAGGTATGTTCCACATCTTCAATCAACTGGCCGCGGCTGTAGTCATAGCCATCTACCCCATTTACTTCATAGTCTCCTCTCCAATAATCCCCATAGTCCTCATAATCTGTTTGTTTTTTTTTTTAAAGAGAAAGGGAAGAACATAAGGGAAAGAAAGAGAGAAAGCACAAAATACATAGATTAGCCTTGCTGGGAGGTTAAAAGAAATTTAAAGGCTTATCACATTTTTATTGTGATAAACATCAACTCAAAGGGATGCAAATGAATAATAACATTAAGTAATCTCTGTTTAAGCACTTGCTCTGTGCCAGGAGTTTAAATGTATTATTTTATTTAATAAGCACAAGAACCATACAAGATTGTCATTATTATAACTCCCACTGTGCAGAGTAACAGCCTATGTTTATTTTTAAATAAATTTTATTGTGTATATTTAAGGTGTACAACATGATGTTATGAGATACTTATATAATAAAATGGTTACTATAGTAAAACAAATTAACATATCCATCATCTCACATAGTTAAGCATTATCCCCCCCATGGAAGAGCAGCTAAAATCTACTCATTTTGCAAAAATCCTGAATACAAAACATTATTACTAACTACAGTCCTTATGTTGTACATTAGATCTTTAGACTTGTTCATCCTGCATATCTGCTACTTTGTATCCTTTAACCCACTTCTCCCCATATCCCACCCCGCTCCACCTCACCCCTGGTAATCACTATTACTCTATCTCTGTATATTTGATTTTTTTGTAGAATCCACTTTTGAGTGAGATGATGCCATATTTTTCTTTTTATGTCTGGATTATTTCACTTAGCATAATGTCCTCCAGGTCTATCCATGTTGAGGCAAATGACAGGATCTCCTCTTTTTTAAGGCTGAATAATATCCCATTCCATATACCCACCACGGTTTCTTTATTCATTCATCCCTTGACAAACACTTAGGTTGTTTCCCTATCTTGGCTATTGCGAATAATGCTGCAGTGAACATGGCAGTGTAGATATCTTTATGAAGTGGTAATTTCATCTAATTTAGGTATATACCCAGAAGAGGGATTGCTGGATCATACGGTAATTCTATTTTTAATTTATTTAGGAATCCTCATACTATTTTTCCATAACAGCTTCACCAGTTTATATTCCCACCAACAACCTGTGCTTAGAGTGGTTAAATCACTTGTCCAAGATCACACAGCTGGTAAGCGAAAGAAGCACATTCCTAGTCTCTTAACCCTGGGTGTGTACTCTCTTGATACATCAGTTTGTATCTTTAGCTTTAAAATATGTGACTGGATCTCTAAGTTTTTAAATTCTTCTTTTGTTCATGGCCTTTTATTTTTAGATCAGACCCAACTCATCTTAGACTTTGCCACAGTGAACCTGTGTTTGTTTGCAAATTATATGTATCAATAGCATGTTTCTATGTGCTTCCTTTAGTATCTCACCATCAGAAAACACAAGCTTGTGTCAGGATATTAGCTAATAAAGTTTGTAAACATAATTTAATAATTTTTATTTTTACATTCACATTGGCAATTAATGATCAGGAAGATGAGGAGAGAAATAAATATTTGGATGAAAGGACATGCAGGATATTGTTTTAAAAATGGTGATAAGCTATTGTCTCCAGCTTGCCTAAGGCTTAAGAATACTGAATTTAAGTGGCAGTGAAAGAAATGTTAAAACAACAAATGCGGGAAAAAAATTCTTCCTTACTCAACCTCAGTGGGCAGTAAATCATCAAAGCAAAATGTGAATCATGATTCCATGACTTCAGCTCACTATTCAGGGAAGAGAATAAGTTAAGAGATATGGAAATTCCTTCCTATGTTAAGATTTTTTATGACCACATAATCTGAGATATAATTACAACTGCAGAAAATAATACATTTCCAGCCTAAACTAATCTGATATTTTTTCTTTCTGGGGTATCACCCTAAGGTAGACACACAAATGACCTTTGAAAGTGAACTGTGGGGGCTTTAGACAAAAGGCAGTGACTCTGTCTTTCATCCTGAGAAATGGGATTCCCCCCCTTAATCCCCAGACTCCCTCGGGAACTTTTAGGGGCCTGAGATCTTCCTAGATTACTTATAATTCATAATTCCTGGATAATTTACTTTAGGCCTTGTAGTTGAGTCTCATTCTTGAGCTTCTTGAATTGTAGAATGCCAGTGCACCTTTTCTTTTTCCCCAGTAATTTCTTTTGAAAACAGGTAATCTGAATTGTTGAGGACATGATTGTTAATTGAGGGGTATCCCTGATATCAAAGGGCAGGCTTGGTAATGCAGAAGAAATAGCCCCGTGGCCACACAGAGAGCTTCAGGACCTCTACAGATCAGCAAACTTACGATTTGCTCTTGCCATCTCATTTTTCAAGACCACATACTCTTCATATAATGGCCTCAGCTGCTTGCCGACCTCAGATCTCCAGCTTTCCCAAGCCCAGAGCCTCTCATTGTAGTCTAAACTGTTTGCCATTATTTCATTCAAACCTGTTATCCCAAAGCACACAAAGACAAGAAAAGATGCCTTTGTAAAAATTTTATTTGTAAAGAACTACATGAACTTTAAAGAATTAAAAGTAAGGTTGGCAGACATCAGGTCATAAAGTGGTTAAATAAAATCTCATGATTCATTCATGTCCTTGCCCTTATAGTTCCAAAATATGTCTGCAGAGAAAATAAACCACTGAAATGACTTACTTACTGACTTGATCAAATTAAGTAAATGTGATACAATTTACAAGAAAGTTTTACTAAAAGTTAAAAGAGCATCTATGTGTTGAAACACACATATCTGCAATCATTTTTAAAATCTGAGAGAAAAGTAAATTTCATAATCACTACTAAAAATTAGTAGCCTACCTGGTTCAAGTAATAAGCATTCTTGTGGATTATCTGGGTTACAAACTTTTCCAGTACTGTAGATGGTGCTCATTGTATTTAGAATTGTGTTCAACTGCAAATTAAAGATAATAAACAATGTTAACAATGGAAATTTTGCTGAAGAGAATGCTAATATAAAGATATCCTTTTGACCACATGATTTTTTGATTACTCAAAATACAGCAATTTACTTCTTTGCCATGTATCTTTCTGTATGTGGAGAAGGAATAGCCCAGTTAAGTTTCCCCACTGTCGACTAGCACAAAGTACTATAAGCACATAATAAATATATATGGAGTAATTGAAATAACCAGATCTACCAAAACCCAAAGAAGTTTTCTTATCCACACATACACAGAGAGGTGCATTTTTTGTTTCATTCAGCATTTATTGAACCTGGAATATGTCCTACACTCTGACAATTCTGAAGTGAACAAGTCAAAGACCATAAAGTCATAGGACAGTGAGGCAGCCATGAAATCAATAACTATTAATACATAACAGAATGACAAGTGCTATAACTGTCACCAAAAAGTGATGCGGTAGTATAGGAGCAGGGAGAAATTAATAACTAATAACCAGGAGATTCAAGAATGGGTCCAAAGAGAAGGGAAGATAAGAGCTGTGTCTTGGAGAAGAAGTAGGCACTGGTCATGTAGAGAAGGGAGGTAGAGGGAAGAGTCTAAAAGATGGAAGGAGGTTGGAAAAGACAAGGCATTCTCAGGGGACAGTGAGATGTTGAATGAAACTGGAGCAATGGTGTTCATTAGGGGAAATGAAAGACATGAGAATGGAGAGACAAGCAGGGGCCAGATCACGAGGGACCGTCTATGCCATACCAAAGTTTTTAAACTTTACCCTGCAGATAAAGTGAAGGTGATATAGTGAAGCAGTGCTACTCCAGGTGTAATCCGTGGACCAGTGCAAGTGACAGTTTGTTTCCATTCTGTGATAAGTACAGGAATTAAGAGAATAAAAGTTTATAAACTTTGGAGAACAATTTGATATTTCCATGACATCTAAGCATGTAATCAATGAACTTAAGCAAGTATTGATCTGCAATGTATTGGAAATAAAGGAATAAAGGAGGGAGAAAGGAAAGACGGGAGGGAGGAGAGAAGGAGGGAAGGAAGAAGAGAAGAAAGGAAGGAAGGAAGGAAGGAAATGGTTCTCTCCCTCAGATTGATTTAAGAAGCACTGGATTAAAGGATCTGTTTCTCCTTCTCCTATTTCCCTTTGGTTCTGCCTTGAGAGTCATCCTAAAACATGAAATAGATCCTATGTTTAAAACTTCCACACGATCCCATAGTCCAAAGGAACAAACCTAAATTCCTTACCATGGCACAAAACCCCTCATGGTCTCTCTCCAGCTCTTCTTCAATCTCCACGGCTTCCTCTCCATCAAATCTAAGCAACCTTGAGTCCCTCCTCTTCCCAAACACTTTAAGCTCTTACATGCATTTCAGTGGTTTTCAGTCCTGGCTACACATTAGAATTATCTGGGGATTTTTTAAAAAATAGAATTTCTAGGTTCCACCTAGGCTAGACCAGATTGTCTATATGCGAATGGGCAAGGTTTCTTATAGTGTCCTTGTTGGGGGAAAAAATGGAGAAACATAGAATGGATAAAGTAAAGTGCATTGATAATTAGTTGGATAATTGGACCCAAAGAATGCAGAAAAATAAATGTTAACTTGTAGAAAGATACATTTCACATGGTTTTATCTTTGCCTTTTTGATGCATTTTTATTTTTATATTCACAGATTAGAACATACAAAGTTCCAGAGGACAAGCAACTGAGAAAGAAGACTTTCTTTTTAAATAGCTAAATATTTTAGGTTAAAAATATTTCAATAGGCTATATCAGAGGTCTGCAAACTGTGTTCTGCAGACCAAATCCTGTCTGCTGCCTGTTTTTGTAAAGTTTTATTTGAACACAGCCATACTTGTTCATTTATATATTAGCTACAGCTGATTTCCTGATACAACAGCACAGTTGACTAGTTGCAACACAGACAATACCTAAATACACAAAACCTAAAATATTTACTGTCATCTGTTCCTTTACAGAAAAAAAAGTTTGCTGTTGACATTGTGGACAAGATCATTCTTTGTTGTTGGGGGCCATCCCATGCATTGTGAAATGTTCTGCAGCATCCCTACCCACTAGATGTCAACAGTATCCCCATTTGTGGCAACCAAAAACGTCTCCAGACATTGTCAAATATCCCCGGAGGGCTAAATCACCCCCAGTTGAGAACCACTGACATAAACTAACTGTATTCTTCAGGCTGCCTGATCCTTCAGGAAGGTGACCTAACACTAGGGGGTGTCCATACACACCACAGTGCCAGGGACAATCTCAGTTTAACTCTGTGTTTGAATATAATAATTACCAGTGTCTTTCACTCTCAAAGATTCCAGTTTGAATAATAAATTATATGGACACCTTACCTAGGCATAGAGAGAGATTTTTCTAACATCAGCATTACTATTTTTTCAAATAAAGGCAGCTGCTGTGGGTGATATTAATGTTTAATATTTCCCAAATATTTCAACTCTTGGGATCAATGCTAAAATGTTCACAAACGTACCCGTTTGCTCTTGTCTTCTGAGAGCACTGAAGACCCATTTTGCTGAAGAGCCTGCAGCTGAAGCTTGACTGTGAGATTCTGAATTTCTTGTAGTGGATACATTTGGGCAAGTGTGGACTGTTCCTTTAAAAAGGCAGACCATTTGTCCCCAGCATTATTCTGAAATGACAGAAAAGAAAATTGAAGTTGGAATGGCATTGCTTGAAGAGATAGAACAGAAGATATAGTCCAAATAATATCTGGTGAAACATTTAATATTTCCTGAGTGATTTAGTCCTCTACTCCGCTGAAGGTCAAGGTTTAGGTTAAGAGTGACCAGGCCACTTTTGACCACTCTCTCTCTCTCTGTCTCTCTCTGGCCTATTGCCTGGTTTTCCCAAGGGTCTTGTCCCCAGAACTGGAAATGAATTCTCACAGATAATCCACATTGTGGGGCCCTGGAATTTATAGCCTTAGTGCTGTGACATAGATGAGTTGGCCAAGAATTCAAAGACGAGTGCTCTAAAAAGAGAATCCAGTAGAGCTCAGAGTGGACTTAATGAGAATACAGCCCCCTAATAACAATGGAAACCATAAGAAATGAGAACCGGTTCACAGTAACCTCCTAGCTGCCGTGACTTAGCCCAGGGATTTTGATCTTAAGTTAGGATTCCCAAAAAAGGCTTCCCAGAAAATGGCCATTGGTAGCCATGGTGATTTTCTACCAGCAAAAGAAATCATCAAGCAAGTGATGATGCCAGGACACATTTCCCCCCCTCCTGAATCTTGAACATCAGTTGGAAAGTGGACTTCTCCAAACTACTGTAGTGTAGTCTTTTCTCAACTTACAAATTCATTTCCATTTACCAAAGACCAAAATGAGCAACTACTTGGTATATTGTACTGCCCTAGACCACACAAAAGAGATAACGTTTGAGGAAAGTAAGAATTCTGCTCCTGGACTCAAGTACCTTAGCCTCTCTGAGCCACAGTTGTCTTATCTGCAAAATGAAAGTAATAATAGGACTTACCTCCAAGGACTGTTGTAAGGATTTGAAGAAGTAACAAAAAAATGAAATGCTTACAAGAGTGCCTAACACATCCTAATCATTCAACAAATGTTAGTTATTTTATTATTTATTTATTATTTATTATGTTATGATTTATTTTATATTTTGTTATGTATAGGGGAAAAGTCGTTGTCCTTAGATTGCTTTCCATTTTATCAGACAGATAAGATATGCATTATAAATGTTTCATTAATGAAACATAAGAGTATATAATAATGTATAAATTATGAGTGGGCCAAGCAGTTTCTGTTACAAGAAAGAGGAAATTCATGCAGGTGACCATACTTGGCCAAGCCCTCATGCAGAAGTTGCAACTTAAGACAGACCTGAAAGTAGGTAGGAGTCAGATGAGTAGAGAATACTTTGCAAAATAATTTACCTCATTTGATTTTCTTAACAACACTATGAGGTAGAAAATCACTCTCTCTCCTTTTTTGTACATACAGAAAGCGGCTGAGAGAAATAAACAGTGGAGCTGGCAATCAGCCACCAGCATTTGATCCTGGCCCTGTGGCAGACAGACTCTAAGAATGCTCCCATGATCTCTGCCTTTGGTGGTCACACCCTTGTGTGATCCCCTCCCCATAAGTATGAGCAGACCCGTGATTTACTTTCAACCAATAGCATACAACACAGGTGACAGGATGTCATGTTTACGTTACATAAGATTTTAACTTTAATCTTGATAGAAGACTCTCTCCTTTGCTGACTTGTTGCAGCAAGATGCCACGTTGTGAGCTACCCTATGGAAAAGGCCACATGGCAAATAATTAAAGACGGCCTCTGAGTAATTGCATTGGCTTGGAAGTATATCCATCCCCAGTCAAGCCTCAGAAGAGACCATAGCTCTAGCCAGCACCTTGAATGCAACCATATGAGACTTAGAAGCAGAAGATCCAGCTGAACTGTGCCTGGACTCCTAGCCCACAGATACTGTGGGATATTAAATATGTGTTGTTTTAATCTGCTAAGCTTGTGGTAACTTTTTACACAATAGATAACTAGTACAGCTCCCACAGGTAGAACTTCAGGCATGATTGCACTTTCCAGGCCAAGGAATTTCACTTTTACCCTCTGAGAATTAGGCAGTCACTGAGGGTTTTGACTACGCATGTGACATGATGGAAATGGTGCACAGAAGTGGCAGTAATGAGCCACACAAGAGACAGAGAAAATAATGGCAGTGAAAATGGAAAATAGGCTGTGTGTAGTGGTTCATGCCTGTAATCCCAGCACTTTGGGAGGTTGAGGTGGGAAGATCGCTTGAGCCCAGAAGTTTGAGACAAGCCTGGGCAACAAGGCGAGACCCCATCTCTGCAAATAATACAAAAACTAGCCAGGTGTGGTGGCTCGCACCTGTAGTCCCAGCTACTCAGGAGGCTGAGGTGGGAAGATTGCCTGAGCTTGGGGAAGTCGAGGCGCAGTGAGCCATGATCACGCCACTGCACTCCAGCCTGAATGACAGAATGAGAATCTGTCTCAAAAAAAAAAAAAAAGGAAAGCAATTTCTTTCTTTACTGAACACTCACAACCTCTCAGAAACTGCTTTTTCATTAATCTTCACAACAACCTTGTGAGGGAGTTGTTATTGTCTCAACTTTACAAATAAGGGAAATGAGGCACACAGCAGGTAACTTTCCCTAGGTCACACAGCTAGAAATTAGAAGAACCAGGGCATCAACCTAGTGTTTACTTCCGAAGCTAATGCTCTGAACTATTATCCTATAGGTTGTATTTGACACATTCTAGTCTTCTCTCTAACATGCAGGAGTGGGAAGAAGTGAGCTATGGGAAGAGGAGTTTGGTCTGCAGCACAAACTCATCTATGCAACCCACCTGACTCACTTCTCAATCCCTACCTGGCTTCACCCAATCCAGATGATTTACTGTGAAGCAAAATTTCTGGTAAAACTTTCATACCAAATTATAGGAATAATTTTACTCTCTATCTATAGGAAATAACTCACTACCTCCCAAAGGCCTCAGTCTTAGAACATTGTTTATCATACTACATGTAGGAATTTTGAGGCTATCCAATTTTATTTTAGTTATCACTACCATACTACATGTGTTATAATTATATCACCAAAAAAATCACTTTGTGTTGCCTTGCATTTTGGCCCCTGAGGAGGTATTATTCCTTGCCAAGCTATTCTTTTAATATCATTTACAATTTATTCCGTATCCTTACCCTAGGGCTCCCAAGCCTAAATAAAACAGATAGCTTAGTAGTTATGCAAAGAATCAGTCAGTTCATGCATACCTATCAGATAATTTAGTGGTTGATAGCTATATTTAGACTGAATGATGAATGGAATGAAGCATATATAGCAGCTTACATAGCCCCAGGCTTGAAAGGAACCATTACAGATAAAATTGGTGGCATTCCACACTACCTCTGGGCAAAGGCAGGGGAGAAGCAACTAAAACTGCAACAGTTTCTGTAGCCATACAAGGGAGTTTTGGGAGTAAGGAACACGTTGTTTGAGATAATCACAAGAAATTAAAACAGTCTCTAAATCCCATCCGTAACTGCAATGGATAGCATATTCCCAACTTGAGAGAGATCCTTTGTAATTTCAAGGACTGTAGGCATAAAATCCTAGATTATATTTTAAAACATTCAAAAAGATACTCTGCTCTTTTTGGCCCTAACTATATGCATAAATTAAATACATGATTTATCAGGCCATAGGTCTGGTTGTCTTTACCCAACTTGTGATAATTGTATTTAAACTATTAAAATCCTTTTGTAAGAAGTTGTTTGAGATTTAAAGTATTGACAACTTATTTTCTCTTTTTCTATAGCTCACTATCACCTAAACCAGGCTATATACTTTTAGTAACCTCTAAACCATTTCTTCCCCTGTAGGTGTGAGAGTTCCATGAAGACAGAAAATGAAAAACTGAATGGAATCTTTAGCATCTATCCAGTACCTTGGAGCCCAAATCTCCCAGGAAAACTTTCACCCTTGGCTCCCATATGCTGGCTCAATTTCCAGATAGAGCTGTCAAAACCGCATCAGGTTCAAAGACAAAAGCTGCCTTGGTTACTTTCTAAATATGCCCAGGTACTTGCATATTAAAAAAAAAAGTCTTCCATTTAACAAAATAGGTAATGTAAATTATAAGAATGTGAATTCCATAACTCAAGCTTAGGATTTAAGAAATTATTTTTTCTTTATTTTAGATTGGGGGTTTAATATTTTAACATTTAAAATTTTTAATCTGTATGAACATTTTTATTTTTTCCTAACTTTATCTCATGGGAAAAAAAGTGCTCGCCCCTGAATTTTATTTTATGTGCTGCACAGTGATCTTCCCCGACTTGTACCTGTGTGTAGGTGTTCATGTGTATTAAGGGGCATGGGACAGACTCATTAGAGACAGGGATGAAATTTCCTTGGGTATATACAGAATAGCAGTTTAGAATTACCCTGGTCTGAGTTCACTGTGACTCTATCCCTGGAGACAGGAATAGGTTCAGAAATGGGGCATGCCCAAGACCCTAGGGACCCTGGCAGCAGGGGGGCTGAAGAAGCTCTAGAGACCACGCAAAGAGTAAGTGTGGTAGGCTAGGTGCAGTGGCTCATGCCTGTCATCCCAGCACTTTGGGAGCCTGAGGCAAGAGGATCACTTGAGCCCAGGAGTTCAAGACCAGCCTGGGAGACAAAGTGAGATCTCATCTCTACAAAAAAAAATGTTAAATGATGCGAGAGGATCATTTGAGCCCAGGAGGTCAAGCTGCAATGAATCATGATCATGCCACTCCATTCCAGCCTGGGCAACAGAGCGAGACCCTTCAAAAAAAAAAAAAAGTATGGGCCTCATGCTCTCTCTTCACAGCTTCTGGTAACTCACCAAGAAATAGCTACAACGTGTCCTTGATTTTGTTTTTTGGCGAGGAATTGCTTGATCCTGAAAGTCTTGTAAGAAAACATGATGAGAAATGGTCAACCACACATACCACAATGGCAGAGAAAGGGAGAGAACTTTGGAAACCTGTTTTAACCAAGCTTTTTTTTCCATATCTCTATCTGATGGACTTCTCCACACTTCTACATCAGCAGCTTTATGACACTATACTGATCAAGTTTGGATGCCTTCTATTATTTTGAGGTATATTCTCACAGCTTGACATAAGGATCACCACTTAAGGATACTGTTTTGGGATCTGTGAGAGAAGAAATTCCTAAATCCTTGCACTTGTTAAAGCATCTGGCTTTCCCAGAGCATTCTGATATTTGTCAGAACTGGTTTAATCATAGTTTTTTTGTTGTTTGTTTTTGTTTTTGTTTTGGAGGGCTCTGCCTGGATTCTGTGACCTTTTGGAGTCCCTTGGAGGTCTGTGACAAAGAGGAAAGGAATTCCCAAGTCCAGCCTCACCCAAGCCCTGATTAGCTTAATTACTAGTTCTTTCACTAAGCCTCCAGTTGCATTTTTCAGTTAATATATCATTTGTAGAGAATCTTTAGATATTCCTATTGATATTGTAGGCTAAAGGAAATTATTAACTCAATAACTTATGGCATTTCCATGAAATGCTTTGAAATCCTGACTGTGATGAGAATTATGGTGGTAACTTTATAAAGAATATTCTCTTGTTTCCAAGCATCTGGATTGAGACCAGTGAATTATTTTGTAACAATTTTCTGAATGAACCCCAGGGTCAATTAAGTTTAGTTATCTGGGACTCCAAAATCAGGGATATGGAGGCAAACATCCAATCTCACAACTCAGAGCATTTTTTTTGATTTCCCTTTTCAGTTTCACGGGCAGTAATCTAATCTTTAAGAGGCAACAAATAGCCCAATAGAGCCATGAGAACTCACCATGTTTTGGACATTCTCTTCAGTAATATTGGTGTTATAATTCCAAGAAGCAAGTGAACTTTGATAGAACAGGTCTTCGGCTTCGTGGTTAAACTTGTCCAAAAATGTCTTGGCCTGTTCCTCAATGGTGGACTGAGCAGCAGTTACAGCAACAAGGCTGAGAAGGAGCCAGGAAGAGCTTGACATCGTCCCCTGTGAGCCAAGATCACATCCACTGAATGACTTTCCCTAGACTAAAACCTCCTCATGAGATTTTCTCTCTTATCAGCCTTTGAACTTGGGTTGGGCGCTGAGCAGGAAAGACCAAAAAAAGAAAAAGAAGAAGAACACAGTAAACAATCTGCTGAGCCAATATAAAGTTCATCCTGGAGAGGACAGATATGTAACAGATTTTAGAATAATTTTTTAAAGTGAATCAAATAAGAATACGTTATTCTTTAATCCTAGAGAACCTTACCTCTCCTGTCACTTTATGGCCAAATCAAAACCGGTACTTTTGGTTAATATTTTCCTAGAAAGCTGTTAAAGATACACGGAAAATGTTATAATTTTACAGTGACCAAAGAGGTCTAGAACTAGGGATCATGAAGATAATGTTGGTGTTTGTATGGTTTTCAGACAATTTCATTAATAGGTTATCTCACATTTATTTTTATTTCAAGATCATATTCCCAGAAACTCTCTACTTGGGCAACATTTTCCCTTCCAAATACATGACTTTGCCCTTGTCTTTATGGAATTCATATTTCTGATCAGTTTTTTTTTTTTTTTTTTTTTTGAGACTGAGTCTCGGTCTGTCGCCCAGGCTGGAGCACAGTGGCGCGATCTCGGCTCACTGCAAGCTCTGCCTCCCAGGTTCACGCCATTCTCCTGCCTCAGCCTCCCGAGTAGCTGGGACTACAGGTGCCCACCACCACGCCCAGCTAAGTTTTTGTATTTTTAATAGAGACGGGGTTTCACCGTGTTAGTCAGGACGGTCTCTATCTCCTGACCTTGTGATCTGCCCAACTCGGCCTCCCAAAGTGCTAGGATTACAGGCGTGAGCCACTGTGCCCAGCCATTTCTGATCAGTTTTAATTTCCATGGCCATTTTTTAAAATTATGACTACTCTCCACTCCACAGGTCAACTCTCCTGATCTGCCTTTGCAAAACTTAAAAAAGCTCATTTCCTATTTCTCACACTGGTTCTGTGGCTGACTTCTTTGAGTGCCTCCTTCTCCTTCACTTACCTATTCAAAACTCAGTCAAGGTCACGTGGAAGTAAGAAAGCCTCCACATGGTATGAAATCCAAAGAGTATCTATGTCAACTCCTGATCCTCTGTAGCCATGGGATCACAACAACATAGAATTCAAAGAGATTTTAGTGGTTATCTTGTCAAATTTCAGAAGCGAGCTCAGTGTCCTCATTGCCAGAGTGTATGTATGAGTGCCACAGATCAAAGAGAGGAGCACTTTAAATGGCAGGGTTCAAGGGCCTACCTGACGATGATTGTGAAACTCTGACACAGAGAAAATATTTCTTCACCCAGAAAAACAAGTCTTCCAGGTTCAGGTGACATTGCAATAATCAAGCCTTTAAAAAAATGTCCACTGCTTTTCCTTATTCCAAAGTTGTGTATATTATTGTAGAATAGGAAAAAAACAATTATAAGTAACTATTCAAAGTGCTTTGTGTTATAATATCTCATTTGAGCATCACAAGAAACCTATAGGCAAATATTTTATCACCATTTTATGAATTATGAAACTAAGTTTAAGTAAATTGCTATATCTCACTCAGCTAACAAATGATGGAATCAGAACATGGATCTATGTATTCTGATTCTAGAGTATAGGCTCTTAACTAACTTGTAGTCAACAGTCTAAAAGCAATAGTGGAGGCATAGATAAAATGTGACAGAGGGCCTTGTGCCTCAGTGAAGATGACAGATTTAGTTACACTGCATCAAAAAGAGGTGGACTCTTACTTCCCTTGATGTGAATCAAAATATACTCTCCTTTTAAAAAAATAAAGCAGCTCACAAATATAAGTAATAATAATAAAGAATTTTAAATGAAAGTGAGATGAGGGTAAAAAAAAAAAATCAGTGCAGAAATTTCAGAAAAGCTCCTCCCACATTCCAGGAAACCTAGATCCACTCACTCCTTGCACACAATAGGAGAAAAAACAGGCAAGAAAGAGGACAGCACACGAGTATCTGAAGAAAAGGTTGAAATGTTACTGTAATAAAAGCGGAAATAAATTTCTACACAGGTAAGTTCCTAAATGAAACACGTGGGTTTAGTGGAAAAAATGGGAGTAGTCCAAATTCAATTCGCTGAGGCAGAAAATACGATTAACTTGATCAAACTGAAATGGAGAAAGCAAGATATAAAATCTGAAAGCTAAGAATAAATGAACAAGGAGCCTGGGACAGCAGTGAGGCAGGCAGGAAAATGCTAGAAGCCAAGAAACTTTGAGAAGCAAGGGAAAAGGGAGAATAGTCTACAGTGATTCTGTAGAAAAACTAGCCCAGAATGGCCAACTGCAAGCACTGACTGAATTATTGGAATTTTTGTTCACACTTTTTTGAGAAGATATCAATGTTCTGATAGTTCCCCAGAAGCGTTCTCTCTGAGCGCATTCCGAGAATGGAAAGAATTCACTGAAGACTCAGGAGATGAGACCCAGAAAAACAATTGGTCTAAAGGAATGTATTGTCTTTGAGAAAAATTGGAGAATCAGAAAAAATTAGAAGACCAAAGATGCAGGAAAGATGTTCTATGTTTCAAAAAGATTGGAGGAGGGGGTGGATTTCATAATGGTAAAGGGAAGTTTGACCTTAACACCTAGTAAAGCTATAAAGTAAATTTTTTTTTTTTTGAGACGGAGTCTCGCTTTGTCACCCAGGCTGGAGTGCAGCGGCGCGATCTCCGCTCACTGCAAGCTCCGCCTCCCAGGTTCACGCCATTCTCCTGCCTCGGCCTCCCGAGTAGCTGGGACTACAGGCGCCCGCCACCATGCGCAGCTAATATTTTTGTATTTTTAATAGAGACGGGGTTTCACTGTGTTAGCCAGGATGGTCTCGATCTTCTGACCTCGTGATCTGCCCGCCTCGGCCTCCCAAAGTGCTGGGATTACAGGCATGAGCCACCGCACCCGGCCTAAAGTAAAATTTTTAGAATGTGATTTGCACTTGGAAAAATATATCTCTGGTCCATTAGGAATTCACTAGGAATAAGTCAGATGCTGCCTGCCCTATCTCCTCTCTGATAGAATACAATAGTAAAAAAATATATCCAAAGACGTAGTGTATCTTCCTTTTCAATAAGGGATTTAACAGAATGTAAAATGCTATGACTAGACCCAAATGTCCCCTGAAACAATTACACAGTACAGGATTAGGCAGTCCTCTGGTAAACAACAATTCATGTCCAAAACAACAAGAATCTTGCTTCAATCATTGTTTATTGAATACCTACTATATGCCAAACACTATTCTAGATTTTGAATGTAAGCTAATAAATATTGTATTATATGAGGTGACAATAGAAGGAAGACAAAAATAGTGATAAATGTCATGACTTATAATAAGCAAGAAATGGAGGATAGAGAATTATGGGGTGGGGAGAGGGATTTTCTATAAGGAGGGCCTCTCTGAGAAGGTGACGTTTGAGCAAAGACCGGAAAGAAGTGATGAAAGTTGTGCGGATCTCTGGGTGAAGAAGTTTTCCTAGGGAGAGGGAGCAGCAAGTGTAAAGGATGTAGGCAGATTTCAAGAACATCAGAGGTCTTTGTGACTGGAGCTCAGTGTGCAGGGGAAAGTGGCAGGAGGTGAAGTCAAGGAAGAAGCTAGGGTCACACCAGGGAGGTCTTAAAGACAATTAACTGTGAGACTTCAGCTTTACTCTCAGCAACATGGGAAGACACTGGAAGGCTTCAAGCAGAGAAGTGATCTAGTAGAAGCTTTAGCAGGGTCACTTTGGCTGCTGCTTAGAGAATGGACACTAAAGGGGTAAGGATGGAAGCAGGGAGGCTAGTTAATGAGCTACTGCAGCAGCCCAGTCAAGCTGGTTGAATAAAAGCTTAGTATGAGCTTCAAGATCCAACTAGGAGGCCCAGTAAAAATTACTGGGCCTATAATTACATCTTATACTATATTAGACTTTGCTAATATAAGCATTAGATACAAAATAATCTAGACTATAACATTCATTTCTGTGAACCACAATTTTAGAGACGCACAAGAGAGCATCCAGAGGAAAATAAATAGGAGAGCAGATGGATCTAAAATAATATAATTTGGAGAATGGTTTAGATATGGAAGAGAAGACAGGGTGGACAGCTTTCTTCCATCATGGTACTGCCATTTAGAAGAAGACTTAGCATAGTGGATTTACTCTGCCACTTGTTAGCTGTGTGACCTTAGGCAGGTAATATCCTCCCTGCACCTAATTTATTTCAAGGCCAATGATAGTTTTATATCCATTTCATAGGGATGTCATATTACTTGAATTAATACATAAGAACACAGAGAGTAATGTTGTAAGCCTAGTAATAAAAGCCACAGAAAATGAAAGGAGCTGTGTAATAATTAGAGAACTTCCACACTGGAATGTTTAATCAAACCATCTGCAAGGTCATCTTTCAGAGACACTGCAGCAGACAGAGACTGGCTGGGAGTTTGACTCAAAGGTCTGTTTGGACTATAGGATCCTGCATTGTAGGAGAAGTCTGCTAGTTTGTGCTGAAACAGCAGGATGGAGGAGCTCACCAATGGAATGAGTAGAGTCATATATGAAAGGAAAGGGGAGTCAGCCAGTAGTCTACATGAGCCCAGCCATAGAGAACCTCTCAGCGTGCTTTCATCACCCAGTCATGGTCAGGTCCTGGTATAAAACTTCCTACATACAGAGAAGAGAAAACTTGAGTCTGTCACGCTATCTTGAGGAAGAAGGGGAAAGTCATAAAGGTAAATGACTCCCTCTCAATATTTACAGATGTTGTATTTGTTGGTTGCATATGCTTTGTACCTGCTCCTGTATATAAACTCTTCACAACAACTTTACAGGTAGAAATAGTGAGATCCATTTTATAATTAAGGAAACCAACTGTTCCCATGATTAATTCAAACTTCCACAACTGATAGGCAATGGGGCTACATTTTGATCCCAGATTGCTTAAGAGACCTTTTCTCTCCACAGAGTCATGGGTTCAGTTATCTGCTAACTTCATGCATGTCTAATAAGTCCTCATCAATCTGTCATATTCTGAGAATAAGCAGGTCCCCATAAGCAAAATTAAAATGTACTGCTTTGATTACACCAGTTATACATTTTTAAACCGTTTTAGTTAGAAATTTTTCTTCAATATATTCCATCCCGATCGCGATGCTGCCTGGACATTAGTTTAGGGTTATATTTCAGATGACTCAGTGTCATCATCTTAAATAATATTTACTGGCTAAGCTATAATGTGACAATGTCTTCAAGGCTTTACATTAAATGACTCAACAGCTTTATTGCTATTAATTCTGCTGTTTCTGCACATTCTGAGTTCACAGTCACAGTATCAACTTTCAGTAGCCCTGCTCTCCACAAGTCCCCTCCCTGTTTCTGATCTGCTATCTGCTAAAACCTAAATGGAAACTAGATAACCATGGAGTTCAACTAGAAACCTCCCTTTTCATAGGCTGAAATCCGAGGGTGGGTCTTTATTCTGCTAGAGCAAAGTACATAGACTTTGAAATCCATATTTCCCTTACTGTTCAACTTTTTATATCCTTCCAACTGAGTCACAAATGCTGAGGTTGCCAAATAGCTATAGGAGAAACCTCTTCCAGTTCCCCAAGTTGGGTGGATAACTTTGGTAAACATCAGAAAAGAAAGGATGTTTTGTTCAATTTCTTATTGATTAATACTGCTGACAGAACAAGGAAGGGTATCAGGAACACAATGCATAGAGAAATTCAAAACTTTGCATGGTCAAGAACTATTTGCATTCAGTACAATTGATTTTGACCACATGTTTATCACACAAAGTGAATTTATAAGTGCTTTATAGAAAATAAATAACTAGTTGGGCTTTCAGCCCAAAGGAAAAGCTAAAGCTCTTTCCTGTTTACATTTTTAGTTGCATAGCAGTCCCTTTTTTCCTAAATGTAAAAAGTAAAGTAGAGGTTCCTCTTCAAAGACTTTCCTCCCTGTCTAATTAGGAATAAATAATAGCTTCTCTTAGAAGCAAAATTCATTCAAAAACCTGTGCTAACATTCTTAAATATCTGCTAGCCATAATAAAAAAAAATCAATGTACTTTATGTTCTTAGCTCCCACAATTTAACCTAAATATTTGCCCTGGCATCCTTAATACTGCTCCAAACAAGCATTAGGTCATAGCCTGTTCCTCTTCCTTATTTGAAGGGGTTTTTACCTTTCTCAACATTCCACAAGTTACTTCCTCCTTCCTTTGTTCTCCTCTGCCTTTGCCTCTTTTAAAAAGTTCTAAGTTGCTAGCCAGTCAAGACAAACACAAAATGTGAGGTCCCGTTCCAGCCAATAAGAACCAGACACAACAGTAGGGTAGACGCGTCAAGTTATAAATAACCCTATCTCCTTTGTTCGGTATACTCTCGTAACAAAACTACTGGCAAGTGGACCCTTTCTACAGAAAGTATAAAAATAGCCTTACTAAAAAAAATAAATCTATGTTCAAATACTATTTATTTATGGCACCAGAAAACAAACATTTCAAACACTAAAGATACAGCAAAGATAATCTTCATTAACCAAACTGATAAACAGTTTCAATAGACAGAGTTCAAATTTGTGAGAATAAACATTGGATTCCAAGAAGGTTATACTGATTGTTACTGGCCTGAATTTATGATAGTACAGTGCCTGCCACAGTAACCGTAATTTATTTTGATACCTATACTGTACAAAATATCAGATAGCACTAGAGCAAGGAACTCACTAGTATAAATTTACATCTAAGACTTTAGAAGCAAAACATGAGCATTTATCCTAAGTGAGATGGGATGCATGGTAGAATTTGAACAGAAGAGTTACACGATATCACTTACATTTAAAAGAAATCCTGGGCCGGGCACAGTGGCTCACACCTGTAATCCCAACACTTTGGGAGGCCACGGCGTGAGGATCTCTTGAACCCAAGAGTTCAAGACCAGCCTGGGCAACATGGTGAAACACTGTCTCTACTAAAACTACAAAAAATTAGCCAGGTGTGGTGGTGTGTGCCTGTAGCCCCAGCTACTTGGGAGGCTGAGGTGGTAGCATCATGTGAAACCAGGAAGTTGAGGCTGCAGTGAGCCGTGATCGCACCATGGCACTGCAGCCTGGGTGACAGGAGTGAGACCCTGCCTCAAAAAAAAAAAAAGAAAAAAAAAAAAAGGAATCCCTCTGGCCACTACATGAAGAACAAACCACATATGGGGCAAGACTACAGTCAGAGAGACCACTGAGGAAGCTGTTGCAATAATCCAGATGAAATATAATGGTGGCTTGGTGGTAACAGTAGAGTTGATGAGACGTGATTGGATTTTTAATACATTTTAAAAGTAAAGCAAACAAGCTTTGCTGGTGAATTGGATGTAGGCTATGAAAGAAAGAGTCAAAGATCACTCCGGGTTTTTGGATTAAACAGCTAGAAGGATGAAATTAACATCAATTTAGATGAGAAAGATTGCTGGTAAAATAGGCTTAAAGGGAAGACTGAAAGTTTAGTTAAGTTTATGATATCTATTAGCAACCCAAGTGTAGATGTTGAGAAGGCAATTGGATATACAAATCTGGAGTTTGGCAGAGAGGTCAAGGATGGAGATACAAATTTGAGAATTGTCAGCTAGAGATGGTTACTCAAATATTGTCTCTCAGCTAAAACTAAAAAGAAAATATCTTACCTCTTCAAAATCCCAGTGTACTGAAAAGTATTAAAGTCTAGACCTCAGGAGGGAAATTGGAAGGATAAATAGTGGGGGAAAGTTACTTGAAACAACTCTCCTTAAAAGAGACATCTGTGAACAGAGACCTCAGAAATAAAACCACACATCTACAACCATCTGATCTTTGACAAACCTGACAAAAACAAGCAATGGGGAAAGGATTCCCTATTTAATAAATGGTGCTGGGAAAACTGACTAGCCATATGCAGAAAACAGAAAGCCGACCCCTTCCTTACACCTTATACAAAAATTAACTCATGATGGATTAAAGACTTAAATGCAAAACCCAAAACCATAAAAACCCTAGAAGAAAAACTAGGCAATACAATTCAGGACTTAGGCATGGCAAAATATTTCATGACTAAAACACCAAAAGCAATTGCAACAAAAGCCAAAATTAACAAATGGGATCTTTTTTTTTTTTTTTTTTTTTTTGAGATGGAGTTTCACTCTTGTTGCCCAGGCTGGAGTCCAATGACTCGATCTCGACTCACTGCAACCTCCGCCTCCCAGGTTCAAGTGATTCTTCTGCCTCAGCCTCCCTAGTAGCTGGGATTACAGGCGCCCACCACCATGCCCAGCTAACTTTTTGTATGTTTTTAGTAGAGACGGGGTTTCACTATGTTGGCCAGGCTGGTCTCAAACTCCTAATCTCAGGTGATCCACCCACCTCAGCCTACCAAAGTGCTGGGATTACAAGCGTGAGCCACCATGCCCAGCTCAACAAATGGGAACTAATTAAACTAAAGAGCTTCTGCACAGCAAAAGAAACCATCATCAGAGTGAACAGGCCATCTACAGAATGGGAGAAAATTTTTGCAATCTATTCATCTGACAAAGGTCTAATATCCAGAATCTACAAGGAACTTAAATTTACAAGAAAAAAACAAACAACCCCATCAAAAAGTGGGTGAAGGATATGAACAGACAATTCTCGAAAGAAGACATTTATGTGGCCAACAAACATGAAAAAACGCTCATTATCACTGGTCATTAGAGAAATGGAAATCAAAACCACAATACGATACCATTTCACACCAGATAGAATGGCAGTTATTAAAAAGTCAGGAAACAATAGATGCTGGCTAAGCTGTGGAGAAATAGGAACGCTTTTACACGCTGGTGGGAGTGTAAATTAGTTCAACCATTGTGGAAGACAGTGTGGCGATTCCTCAAGGATCTAGAACCAGAAATACCATTTGACCCAGCAATCCCATTACTGGGTATATACCCAGAGGATTATAAATCATTCTACTATAAAGACACATGCACACGTATGTTTATTGCAGCACTATTCACAATAGCAAAGACTTGGAACCAACCCAAATTCCCAACAATGATAGAATAGATAAAGAAAATGTGGCACATATACACCATGGAATACTATGCAGCTATAAAAAAGAATGAGTTCATGTCCTTTGCAGGGACATGGATGAAGCTGGAAGCCATCATTCTCAGAAAACTAACACAGGAACAAAAAAACAAACACCACATGTTCTCACTCATAAGTGGGAGTTGAACAATGAGAACACATGGACACAGGGAGGGGAGCATCACACACTGGGGTCTGTCGGGAGGTGGGGGGTAAGGGGAGGGAGAGCATTAAGACAAATACCTAATGCATGCAGGCCTTAAAAACTAGATAATGGGTTGATAGGTGCAGCAAACCACCATGGAATATGTACACCTATGTAACAAACCTGCACGTTCTGCACATGTATCCCAGGACAAAAAAAAAAAAAAAAAAAAAAAAGCCATCTGTGGAATGAACAGGAAGGAGAAACGGGAGTTTCAGGATCTTGGCCAGAGCATTGTAGTCCTCACTGGTTTATGGCAAAGTAGAAACATCTCAGAAGAACAGGGTGGTTAAGTTGAGGCAAGGTGCCAGTTCAGGAAAGTCAGCTGACATGACAGATAGTCAAAGTCAAGGGCTTAGACGCAATCCAGGTCAAGGCTGCAACACTGGTGGGCATTTAAGGCATAGAAGACTTATTGTGGAACCAGCTCTGGCATCTCAGCTAGAGTCTGAGGGTGACCGAAGAATTTTAGACTTTGGTCAATGCTTCCTAATTGACTCTAAATATCTTAGAAAACCCCTTTATTTTATTGGCCTCCACCTCAGTCTATGGATTGTGTATGAGTCATGTTTTCTGATCCAACTGGAAATGTTCAACAGTAGTTGTCTTCTTGAGGTCTAGCAGGCTCATCTTGGACACCTCATTGTATTCCTCCCTCCTCGTCTTCTAAGGGATTTGTCTGGTCTGAGCCATCAGTGGAGCTTGGTCAAGGTTAGTTACAGACTCCAACCTCAACCTTCCTATTCACTCGTAGAGTCCCTTCTATCAAGTTGGAAGAAGAGACCTCACAGAGAACTAACAGAACAATAACTCAATAGAGCCAGTTTTACTAAGTCCAGCATTGGTCCCAGGAATGCTGGTCAACGTTATAAAGTCCCAATTTTACTAAACACTGTTTTTGCCTCCTGTCAATCTGACGACTTGAATTTTTTTAAATATTATGATTCTCTTTTTTAATGAGTCAAGAGTAAAGCTCAAGCTACCCAATCAACTAATTAAAATTTATCCTCCCTATCACCACTACATACACATATAGTGGCACTATTTATACAACTTCCATCCTTTATTTTTTTTCATGACACCACCATCTGCTACACGGTACTCATAATTACATGTTTTACTAATGTATTCCTTTATTATCTGTCTCTCCCCACTAAAATATAAGCTCCAAGAGGGCAGAAACTTTTCTCTATTTTGTTCACTGCTATATCTTCAGCTGCTTAGAAAAGTGGCTGGTGCATTATAGGTACACACAATAAATATTTATTGAATACAGACATTGTTCAGCAACTCAGTAGTAAGGAGGAAGAAGAGGGAAAGCTCAGTTGTCTACCCTGTGTGTAGCATAATTCATTTTCATATGGCATATTTCATCTGTTTATTTGCCCATCCACAGAATGTGATGGATAGAGATTAGTATCAACTGAAAAAAAGGTGGAAAAATTTTCTGGAACAAAATGAGATTTGGAAGCTATGATTCAAGTTACTATGGTAAAAGACGTGAGAGAAAAACAGCATGATTACTGTAAGTCAGGCATTGGGCTAAATGCCTTACATATGTTGTCACTGAATCCACCAAATGACCCTGTAAAAATGGTATTGTTACTACCTTCTCATAGATGAAGAAAATGAAAGGCCCAGGCGCGGTGGCTCAGGCCTGTAATCCCAGCACTTTGGGAGGCTGAGGAGGGTGGATCACCTGAGGTCAGGAGTTTGAGACCAGCCTGGACAATGTGGTGAAACCCTGTCTCTACTAAACATACAAAAATTAGCCGGGCATGGTGGTGTGCGCCCGTAGTTCCAGCTACTCAGGAGGCTGAGGCAGAAGAATCGCTTGTACCCAGGAGGTGGAGGTTACAGTGAGCCAAGATAGTGCCACTGGACTCCAGCCTGGGTGGCAGAGCGAGACTCCATCTCAAAAAAAAAGCGGGGGTGGTGAGAGCATAAATGAAGTTTACCTCAATCAAGCTGCTTCTTCTCGCAAGGTCATACTATTATTTACTAAGTAGCCAAGCCAAGTGTTGAACACTGGTTAGTCTTTTCCCTGAGCCAGATATCTCAGCCCACAGTTAATGTTTTAGGCAACAAGAGAAATGAGGACCCTCCAGCATTGTATGAAAAGAACCATATTTATGTTGCAACTACCATGATGCCAAAGCTCACTGATGACTGAAAGTGGGTGTCAAGGAATGAGGTCACAGCAATGGAAATCCCTCCAGTTGGTTTCACTAATAATTTTTATTTTATAAAAATGTATTCTGAAATTTATTCACCTACTTTTTATTTTAATATGACATTAATTCTTCACTCCTACCCAATGCTGGCCCATCTGTGGCCATAAACTAGAACTGATTTTCCCATAGTTGTGGTTATCAGAATCCCTAGATGGTGAGATTGTTCTAATTGGGATATCAAAGTGGAATATTCCATAAAATAATAGTATTCTAGGATATAAATATAAAATGGCATATAAAAATAAGTATTGTAGATCAAGATTCAGGACATGTAAACACTCTTTAAAGTGGGTCAGCAAAACATAGGGCTGGTAATTCTAGCACTGCTAATTTATTCCACAATCTGGAGGGCTCTGAACTCAAGAGGTTAGAATGCTATCAAGAGTCCATGCCATTCCTTGAGGAGCTGCTATTTATTAAGTGTGGTCCTAATAACCAGCCATTAACTTCAGCAAAGATGAGATAGTCAAGTAGTCACAGACACATGCAAAGAGGCCAGAATACTGGCTAAACCGAGAAGCTGTTTTGGCAGCCATGGTGGATGCAT
Organism: Homo sapiens; assembly: GCF_000001405.40. NCBI lineage: Eukaryota > Metazoa > Chordata > Mammalia > Primates > Hominidae > Homo > Homo sapiens. The sequence continues at coordinate 15,613,026 of NC_000023.11, forward strand.
TTTTTTCCCAAACAATGTATCAAGAGAATTAGGATAAGATGATTATGACTTGGAGTTCTCAGACATGCCACTCCTGTTAACAAATTGTTATATTAGTACATCACAAAAATAATATGCCAAAAGTCCTGAGAGAGAAAAAAAATAATGATTGCAAAGACAGAATGGCATGGCAGAATATATGATAATTATTCTACAAAGTATAAAATTCTCTTTCCATTTGTGCCCCTCTATGACACACAATGTCCCAGATAAGAACTTATTAACACCAGTGGTGCATGAGAAATTGTAAGCTTCAAGGCTGGGAACTACTTTGGAGACATCAGATCTCTGGAAAGGTAGAAGGACCCGGGTGAGGCTCAGAGGGAAGCTTGCTGGTCTGGTCTATAGTAAGAGAAGGGATCTTAATTGGGGCTTTGAAGTTTTGCTCTAGATTATTCTATAAGACTGGTCCCCTGCCCAAGGATGCTATTGTTTATTTGATTGAAGGACTCCTTTGTTTTCCCTGTATATAGAACCTAAGCAAGTGGTTAGTGAGGGAGATGTGGGGGAAGATATCAGAGGTCATAGAACCATCTCATTTCCAAAAATTACAGACATAGGGAATGCGTAAGTTACTTTGTAAATTTTCAGGTGCTTAATATCTGAACTTCAAAGAGGACCAATCTGAAAGTCAAAAGTCAAAGGGTAAGGGCTTTAATTTTATGCCACATGAATACATGCACTTGAAATTATAAGAACTTTTCTGAGGTCTTATCGTGTATCATATTTTAAATAAAAATCCCTTGGTTTTTGATGATGCCAGAGATGTAATGTCACAATGATAATGTCACAATGAATATATAAAAACTAGAAGCTAAGTTGTGTAAGAGCTTTACTCCTACTTCATTCTTTGCCACCAAAGACCCTCCTAAGATTTACCAACTTGTCTTCAATCCCATCAGGAGTGTTCTTTGGCTGCAAAATATGTTCAGTGCCTAGAAATTACACAGTGCAAATTCTAGGGAAGCCTTGCATCTTTTCTGGGGACAGTCAAAATGTGGTAGGTCTTAATAATATTAATTTGGATTCAATGCAGAAAGGAATTGGGGCCCTGTTGCCTTGAAATTTGGATATTGCCATCATGCTACAAGATGTTATTTTTAGATCTTGGTGATTACCAGTGTTTTTCAACATTGGTTGAAAGGCAAACAAGGACTGAGCAACCTCTACAAGGATGAAGTAATGAAGCAATTATAAAAATTGGAAATTTGAGAACATACCTGGAGGAACTCTCATAGTGAGTGTCTTTCTCTGCTTAGCCTTTTCACTGGATTTGGTAGTTGGTATTGTGCAAAGCTTTTTTGACCTTCCTAGATCATCTTTATGAATTTTGCCTCAGTCTTCAGGGGAGCTTCCATGTTAGTACCAATATCATGCTGATGTCTCTACCTACTGACTACATATGAAATAACCAGATAAGAGAGGACAAGAGGAGGAGGAAATTCTGATAAGAGAGGAGAGAGTTCCCCAAACCACTATCCAATTTTGTATAGGTATATAGACCCCCCCAAGTGGTGTTAACAACTATTTACCCAATTTATGAGGTGGATGAGAAAATGCAAATCATGTAGAACATGTAATTTATGGCTCACACATCCTTGTGCTATTGGGAAATTTTATTCAGATGGCCCAGATAAAAGATAATGTGAATAAGCTTTGATCTATAAAATTATAAGAACTTCTATGATTTCAGAGATAAAAGAGGTCAAAGCGGGCTCATGGAGTCCGGCAGGCTTTCTGACGGAGATGAGACTCTGAATTATAGAGACTACTACTACCTCTAGCAATAATAATATCCAAACTTTGTTGAGTGATTATTATGTGCCAAACAGAGTTTAACTGCTTTACATGTGCTCCCTTATTAAATCCTCACAAAACCCTATGAGGTGAGTAATAGCATCATTCCCATTTTTTAGATGAGGAAACCGTGGCACAGAATCAAGGTCACACAGCTGGAAATCAATGGAACTGGGATTTGAACCTTAGCAATCTGTCCTCAGGCCCAGAATCTTTGTAGTCAGAAAGGGCTTTTTGAGAGAATTCTTATCAGAGACATGAAGGAGAGGGACAGTTAAAGCATAAGGAAGCATAAAAATCTTTGGTTCCATGATAACATCAAACTTACATGAATTACAAATATAGTTTGTCCTTGCATTTCTTATACTGCATTTTTTCTTTTTGATTTTCACTGAAAGGAGACAACTGGTGCTCTATTCTATCTTGGTAATAGGCTATGTTTTTCTCAGTAGGGTCAGAATATTCAGGATAGAGAGTAATTAGAGATCACAGACTCACAGATGACAACCTCAGTTGGTATGGCAGTAATTTATGCTCTTCAAAGCACTATATCAGAGATATAGAACAGGGGTTCTCAACCAGGGTGATTTTGTCTCCCAGGAGACATGTTTGGTTATCACACTGAGGGGAGAGTACTACTGCATCTAGTTGGTAGAGACCAGGGATACTACTTAACATTATACAATATGCACGACAGCCTCTCACAACCAAGAATTATTTGGCCCCAAATGTCAAGTACCAAGATTGAGGAGCTCTGATCTACATAGTGGTACAAACATAGTGTTCTCAGGAACTAACGTGTGTGCATGATTCCACCTCCCCACATCTCAGTCAGGGCCAAGGAGAATAGTAAATCACCTATTCCTAGTAGCAAAGCTCCCAAGGCATTCAAGCACGAAATAGCTAATCCTTTTGGACACGTATACGTATGTATAAGCTGTGGTCTCCATAACAAGTAGAAGAAATCAGAAATAGGCCAGGCACGGTGGCTCACACCTGTAATCCCAGCACTTTGGGAGGCTGAGGTGGGCAGATCACTTGAGGTCAAGAGTTCGAAACCAGCCTGGCCAATATGGTGAAACCCTGTTTCTACTAAAAATACAAAAATTAGCCGGGCTTGGTGGCACATGCCTGTAATCCCAGCTACTTGGGAGGCTGAGGCACGAGAATCGCTTGAACCTGGGAGGCAGAGGTTGCAGTGAGCTGAGATTGCACCACTGCACTCCAGCCTGGGTGACAGAGTGAGACTCCATCTCAAAAAAAAAAAAAAAAAAGAAAGAAAGAAATCAGAAATAACTAAATAAAACATAAAATATCAGTCCAGGTAATTAGCCCTGACTAGAACAACACAGTGGGGATAACTAAAACTTCAAGTATTTACTACATTCAGGGCACAAATGTACCTTACCTCACTGAGTGTTCACAACCACCTTAGAGGAAGTTGTTATTTTTCAAATCCTCAGCAAGGTTAGTAACTAGCTCTGTGTCATCCAGTAAGAGAACTGGGGTTTAATCTGTCAGTGTGTTTTCAATTGCAACCCCTGCCTCTTTCTATGGGATGTGGTAAAGGTTCCGAAGAGCTAGTAAGGTTATTAAAGAAGAAAATAATTATCATTTTAAAAAATAGATGAAAATGACAGAGTACTTTTGCCTTGAAATTTGTTGACGTCAGTACATAGGAGATATTGCCCAGATAGCTGTTTCTTGCAAGAAAAGAACAGGAGGAAATGTACTGAAAGAACACAGTGAAACCTCATGTTTAGTCTTCAGGGAGAATCACTTCACAGTTTGAAACATTGACGCAGACTACTGAAGGATGTTGTGTAATCTGCGTCTCTGGAGGGTTTATAGAATAGATGCTCTGCTGGGGAGGGTTTGAGTGTGGCCCTGACCAAGGGCAAGGACATGGGCTGCCAGGGCTCCACTCAACTGCTTCTCTGGTAATAATCCCTGACCACAGCCCAGTGTGGCCTCTTCCCCCGCCCCTCCACCATGCCCACTCCCACTTTGTGAGGAACTCAGTTCAATAGGCAGTCTAGCCCACCTTGCATTCCATCTCTAACAGTCTGATCTGGTAGGTCCTCTCTCTTTTCATTCCCAACCCTCCCAGGACTCCATCTCTCCAAGCCCTTTATAATGTTAGTTTTGAAGCGTTAGATCAAATTGGTAGATATATGGGTGTTCATTGTACTGTTCATCCAACTTCTCTTTATGTATGACAACTTTTATAATGAAAAATAGTAGGGGGTTCACAGGGGTTGAGAAAAGATTGTGTGGGGCCTGGTTACCATTTAAAGACTTCGGCTTCTACCCTGGGAGAGATGAGGAGATATGGAGAAGTTTGAGTAAAGGAATGATATGGTCTGGTTTTCTGTTTTAACATATGTCAGGGCTTTCTTTCTCTACTTAAACCTGGCTCAATACCAGGAGGATGAGGAGTGTTGTAGTTCTCGACATAGTCTTGCCAGAGTCTCTGAAATATGTCCTGCATTACTCACAAGAAAAGCATAAACAGCCGGGCACAGTGGCTCACGCCTGTAAGCCCAGCACTTTGGCAGGCCAAGGTGGGTGGATCACCTGAGGTCGGGAGTTCAAGACCAGCCCGGCCAACATGGTGAAACTCCATCTCTACTAAAAATACAAAAATTAGCCAGGCATAGTGGCATGTGCCTGTAATCCCAGCTACTCAGGAGGCTGAGGCAGGAGAATCACTTGAACCCGAGAAGCGGAGGTTGCAGTGAGCTGAGATTGCGCCATTGCACTCTAGCCTGGGCAACCAGAGCGAAACTCTGACTCAAATAAAAAATGAAAGAAAAGAAAAAAAGAAAAGAAAAGCATAAACAAGAAATGGCTTCAATCAAGGTATAGCACAGGAATAGCCAACAAACAATTGACCAGAGTGCTATGTAAATGCTAAGGCACAACTATAATCTGCATTTTAAAATGTCCAGTTGTGAAATACACCCAAATTGTCTAAGATTCTGATTTCTCTCTATGCCACTGCCCATGGTTCTGTGTTTGGTTTGGATCAATACTCACTCTGGCAACCACACTGCACATTATTCAGTCATGAGTTTGCAGACATTCCAATCCCAGTTCTTATTCTCCATTGAGTATACACCTGGTATGGTGAAGATGATATCTTCAAGTTATTCCAGGAAGAGGAGTTGATGACTGCCTTAGTCCATTTTGTATGTCTATAAAGGAATACCTGAGGCGGGGTAATTTATAAAGAAAAGAGGTTTTGTTGGCTCATGGTTCTGCAGACTATGCAAGCATGGCAACAGCATCTGCTTCTGGCCAGGATCTCAGGAAGTAAAAGCTTTTTGGATCCCGACCCAAATGGTGGAAGGGGAAGGGTGAGCAGGAGTGTCACATGGCAAGAGAGGGAGCAAGAAAGAGGAGGAGGAGAGGTGCCAGGCTCTTTTTAATAACCAGATCTTGCGTGAATTCACTACCATGCGGGAAGGCACCAAGCCATTCATGAGGGATCTGACCCCATGACCCAAACACCTCCTACTAAGCCCCACTTCCAACATTGAGGATCATACTTCAACATGATATTTGGAAGGGACAAGCATCCAAATCATGTCAATGACAAAGTATTTTTTAAATGGGCATAAGGTAAAAATAGAACAATAATAATTTAAAATAGAAACAAAAACAATCAATCACTATGAATCCTATAACACAACCTATGAACATTTTTAAATGCTGTATGATTTCAGGCAACATATTTAAATTTGCTTAGCCTCTGTTTCTTCTTTTGTTGAATGCAATTAGTAATACTTGCCTTATCCCTTTGGATGGAGATCCAAAGAGATATGATATCCATCCAAAGGGATAAGGCAAGTATTACTAATTGTAGTTAGAGTTAAATGAAATAATGAAAAACAGTAAGAATTAATGAATAAAATGAGACCTGTGAACAATACAAAGTAATATTGAAACTACTCAAGTCCACAAACTAAAGGAAAAAAAAGATTTATTTAGGAAACATATTTTACTTTATATATAAATATTCATATCCTCAATGACTAAACCTTGGAAGTTAGATAACCTATCCATCTGGAAAGACACATAGATCTCGCAGGAAGGTGGTAGAAGGGAATACGTAGATTTATCAGGTATCTATTTGAATTCTTAGCACAAAGATAAAAAGAACTATGAAACTATGAAAAAAACTGCCAAGTACATTGATTTCTAACCCCCCACAATACCCTCAACTTCCCACCTCTCTCCCCACAAAAGGACTCTAGCATAATCCTTGGGGAGGTTTTGTAAATTGTGTTTTGTTTGCTGATCTATTGAAATGTGCTGTGTCAAAGCAATGCGTTCAAAACTGTAACCTGAGGCTTTCTGCAATCATTGCACTACTAAAATGAACCTTGGTATTCCCCCTTTATAGCTGTACAGATGATAATCTAGTAAATAAATATAATATGTGATGGGAATTTAATAAGGGCCTCGATCGCTCTTGCAATGATGGCAGAGACATTAACATTGAGAAACCTCTATCACTTTTGAGCAAGCAGATTTTAGTTCTTACATTCATTGGTTTAAATTTCCTTTAGCTCTAAAAAGAGCACATTATATCACCTGGAATTGTCCCAAGTGAAAGCCAAAAGGCTTGTCATAGCAATAAATTGTTCCCCTGCTGGCTTATGGCTCTGTCCTCTCAAGGACCTTTGAGTTCTTGCTTACAGGAGCCCCAAGCAATGAAGAAATAGAACAGGTGAGTCATCCCCCACATACCTGGCAGATAAGTCAGAGGCACCAATCCTCAGTATAAGAGAGTCTAAGTAGCATTAGAATTTGACCAATCCACAAAGTTTTACCATGTTGACTAGTTAATTTAACAAAATAGCTTGTCCATCCATCAGATAAACTTTTTTTTAACTGAATTGATTGGGAAGCCAGTTGATTCAATAAATGTCAACTGGTGCAATGATAGTCATGGTCAGAAAAAAAAGTAATCATTTTAAAACATGGTCATCATTACCTGATTGGATGGAAGTTAATACTGGTGTAATTAGCTTTTCAATCTCTCTTGCACGTGCTCTCTCTCTCTCTCTGCAGTTTGTTTTTTGCAACTATACTAGTAGAGTTTTGCAGTGTCTTGTTTAATTTCTTTGTGTTGAAAATTCAAATAGATACATTACGCTCCCTAGTAGAGCAGATCAATGTGTGGTTGCATTTTTCCAGATGGATAGGTTATCCTACTTCTAAATATTTAGTCATGATAGGAACAATTATATATTCATATAGCAAAGTATTTCCCTTAAGTAAACCCTTTCCTTACTTCTTTATGGCCTCAGGTTGAATAATTTCAATATCAATTTTAATAAAGAAAAACTTCACTTACAGATCACATTTTCTTTACTAATTTTATGGTTTAATATTATTTCATTCTACTCTCACAATAACTCTTTGGGCATATAGAACAACTATTAGTTCCTTTCCTTTCTAAAGACAGTCTATTGATATCAAATGGGAACTAGTTCTTTCACTGGATTGCCTTCTCTCCGCTTTTATGAAACCTTGCTCACCTGGGGCCACTCAGTTAGTAAATGGTACTGTTAGGATTAGAATTCAGACAGTGCAAGGTAATGCTGTACATATGCTGTATATTCATCTACTCCAGTGGGATCTGGGATAGCATCCTATCACCAAACACTTGAATATTTCTGCATTCAGTAATATGATGGTATCATTTACTACAATAAATAAAGACCATTACACATAATAAATGAAGATAATAAAGAGCATTATGTCTGCTCAGGTCAAGTGTTGCCACCAAATAGTTTTTAGAGGTTTTTGGATTTTAGAGTTGCATATAAGGGATTGTGGATATGTTTTCCTCTGGTCCTCATGCTCTTTTTCACTATGTGAAGCAACCAGTCATTTAATATTCAAATAACTACCTACATACTTTTTTTCTCTTACTTCAAAGCTTCTCTGGATAGCAATCAAGCTATTGGTGGTCAGCAGACAGAACCATTAACCCCAAGTATTTTTTCCATTGTCTTCATTATGCACAAAATGCAATTCTGTTCTTTCTTTCACTACTGAGAGTTCAACTACACTTCACACAATATTACTCATAATTTTTCACCTGTTTCTTTCTTTCTCTTTCAACTTTTTCCCTAGCTTCTTTAGAAATGGTCCGGGAGAGAGACAGAAGAAGTAAAAGGATGAGGCCATATCCCAGAAGCCAAGAAGGCAGATTCTGTCGAAGAGGGTGACAGGGTGCCCTACACTGTAAAATGCTTCAAACAGATTTAGGAGAGTGAGGACCAAAAAGCTGTGACCTTGACAACCAGAAATTCACAGTGACCTTTGAGGAAACAGTTTTCTCAAGATGTGGAAATGGAAGTCAGAATGCAAAGAGTTGAGGAGCAAGTGCATGGTGGTGAAGCCAACCTATTTTTTAATTAACCAGGGTCAATGTACTTTAAAAGTCTTCAGAATGCCTGTAAGTTTCCTTTACTAGTTCCATGTACTTTCTTGTTTTCCCATAAAAATCTGGATTTGTGGCAGAAGAGAATGAAAAAAATTAAAAATTAAAAGCGCTGCTTTTCCTTAAGCACTGACAAAATACAATAAAAGCTGATTCTTATTAAGTTGTGTTCTCTTTTGCTTGTTTTCATTACACTGCTGGCATTATAACAGTTTGTATTCTAATATTTTATGTATAGATGTGCAATATTTCAGATATATTGTGAGATAATATGTTACTGTGATTTGGCCTGATGGCTGTATCAGCATAAACCTATTTATATAGGGAAATATCTTTCCTAAATTCCAAAGGATTGACCAGCAAACTAATAGCTTGAGGCATTGCCATTTTGTGGGTCAAAATGATTATATAGCAGTAATTTTATATAGTTCTACCTCACAAGTTTTCAAATGCAACCTTGAGACAAACTGAATATTGCCAAATACTTCATAAATCATTAAATGTGGCAGGCTATGAGCCAATGGCTTAGGATGACAAATGGAGTCCAGGGGACTCCAAGAACCATTAAGACATGAATCTTAATTAAACTTTTGCTAAATTTTGCAAATAAGGGCCACCTGTTCACTGTAGCAAGGCACTGGACAATGGCACCTTCCAGGCTTGCTTGCCTGTGGTGGCTAGCGCTCACCTCTGCTCTATGCCATGCCCAAGAGTTCTTGTTCCACCCTTTCCAAAGGTCTTGGGTATGCCCTAGCTCTGTTGTTCTGGGATCCTACTGCCAGATTGGGTCACAAGACATCAGAGAGTTGAAAAATGTACCCTCTCTGGATCTGATTAAATGTCTTCTTTCATCCAACACCTCACACGCATATTTATGTATTCACCAGTTTTCAAAAAATATAAGTGATATCAAGGGGTAATTATGGAAAAATTACATCTAGAGACACAATTGTCATTTTTTTATTGGCCAAACTCTCCCCTACTGGCCTGTACCACTATAAAGACTTGCACAAACTACTTGCATCCCCCTACTGCCCCTACTGTGTTATAATAATTTTTTAAAGATGAATGTCGTGTATTATAAATTGGCTCTTATTCTGTGCTCAGAATAAAAGTCCTTTTAGAACAATGTTATGAAAATAAAGAGCAGAATGACTCAGTAAATGACACCTAAAAATTATTCATTCATTCAAGCCAAAATTTTTTTTAAATAATGATATTCTTAGTAATTAACTTAATTTTATCATAATTAATGAATGGGTCCCTTATAGGACATTCTTTCTCTATATTATCTGAATCTAGCATGGTGTCTTCAATAAAGTAGTGGGACATTCAACACATTTTTAAGGAAGAGAAGAAGAAAGGAAAGAAAATGTGCATTTACTTATGTAACTAAACTTGAGAATATTTTATACAGGAAAATAAGATGTAAAATGGGAAACAAAATATTATGCTAAGGGGCCCCATGAATTGAAATAAGGACTGAGAATTTGGGCTCTGGGTTTCTTTTTGCTTTTTGGTTTTTAATCTGTGTCCTCTCCTATTCCCTATTTCTCATCCAGGAATGATGATAAATGTGCATAATCTGTGTAGTGATACTCGTATCTGGAGTCTGATCATTATCATTCTATATGCAATAACTTGCTTAATTCTTTTATATTATATTTTCTAATGGTTAGTTCTTGTGAAAAACATAGATGATGAAACTACACCAAAAAAAAAAGTTATCTGCATTTACATTTCTTCTGTGAAGCAAATCCAGATATCACCATCCCAGTGCATTTTCTTTCCGTAGTGAATTGATTTTCTGTCCTTCCAGTTTCATCAAGCAGTTTTTGCCAGGAACTTGGAAACTGGAATGACAGCTTTATTTCCACTTCCTTTACAACATTTTGTTTCCAGTACATATCACCTCACAATATGTTCCCTCATGGCACATTACTGGATCATTAAATTAAAAGTGAGAGGTGTGGTTGATGATTGACTGCTCTCTAATTACCCAGAGTGTTTGTCAAAGGCAGTAGGCAGGAGATATAAGCTCTATTTTGCTGTTACATTGATTGTCAAGGTTACAGAACATCTCTGCTAGCACAGAAAACTTTTCCAATAAGGATATTTAGTGGAACAGACCTTCCCCCAGTGGAATACATTCCCTCCGCAGCAGAATAAATAGTGAAGAAAATGGTCTCGTTATCAAAACAGGTTTGTCTCATGCCTTCAAAATAAGAAACATCTAGAATCAGTGTTTCTCAATCTTCTTTTCGTTATTGTGGCCTTTTAGACCTTTTTCTTAATAGTTATCCCATGAAATTTTAATATCTTAGATATAGTTTATCTGCTTACATACTGTGATCATTTGGAGGACTACTGATATCATCTGGACCTGTGTCCTCATCAAATCTCATATTGAATTGTAGTCTCCAATGTTGGAGGTGGAGCCTGGTGGGAGGTGGTTGGAACATCAGGGTGGATATCTCATGAATCATTTAGCACCATCCTCTTGGTCCTGTTCTCATGAGAGTGAGTGAGTTATCATGAGATCTGGTTGTTTAAAAGTGTGCAACACCTCCCCGCTTGGTTTCTCTTTCTCCTGCTCCTGCCATGTGAGACACCTGGCTCCCCCTTTCCCTTCCACCATGATTGGAAGCTTCCTGAGGCCTCCCCAAAAGCAGAAGTGGCTATGCTTCCTTTATAGCCTGCACAGCTGTGAGCCAATTAAGCCTCTTTTCTTTATAAATTACCCAGTCTCAGGTATTTCTTCACAGCAGTGAGAGAATGGACTAATACAACTACAAACCACTGTAATATCTCGAATTTTTTCTCCCCGCCAAGAACAATTTACACCCTGTTGAGAATGCGTATCTTGGATTATGCTTCCTAGCACACACTGATTGAATTCAGCTGATGTTTCACCAGTTAAAGACTTCTCTATGCAAAGTCAAACTACTCTCCTGAAGTACACCACTCGAAAGAGCGTAAGATAGAGAATAATTATTTAGTAAGTCACGTCTTGTCAACCAACAGGTCAAATCTCATTCCTTTTCTAAAAATAAGGAAGCCTACTAATATTAAATACCATATGGTTCCCAAGTCAAAATGGTGTTCAAGTCAAAAATCTTCTACCCACATATTCAAACTCTTCCACTTACAGAGAGAGGGGCAGGCTTTGCTCCCAGAAGGGATAAAACTATGAGCTTGCAACAGCTACCACTTCATGTGCTGGTTTATTAGCACACATTTATTGAGCTCTGACTACATAGACTTTCAGCTTCACGAGGGCATGGATTGTGTTTGGATTGTGTTTGGTTTTGCTCAACATTGTAGGATAAAGGAAAGAAAGAAGGGTCCAACAATGATAGACTGGATTAAGAAAATGTGGCACATATACACCATGGAATACTATGCAGCCATAAAAAATGATGAATTCATGTCCTTTGTAGGGACATGGATGAAGCTGGAAACCATCATTCTCAGCAAACTATCGCAAGGATAAAAAACCAAACACCGCATGTTCTCACTCATAGGTGGGAATTGAACAATTAGAGCACATGGACACAGGAAGGGGAATATCACACACCGGGGAATGTTGTGGGGTGGGGGAGGGGGGAGGGATAGCATTAGGAGATATACCTAACGCTAAATGACGAGTTAATGGGTGCAGCACACCAACATGGCACATGTATACATATGTAACAAACCTGCACGTTGTGCATATGTACCCTAAAACTTAAAGTATAATAATAATTTAAAAAAAAAGAAAGAAGGGAGAAAATAAGGAAACGGAGAGAAGGCACTCTACTAAGTGACTTGAACACTACCTCTAAGAGTATTATATTTAGTGTGAAGATACAAACATATAAACAAGTATAAAAAATGAAGCGTTACAATCATTATAAATAAAAATGTGTAGACATAATCAAATTACAAAGCAATAGTTAATTCTAACTAGTTGGAGGTCAAGGGCAAAGTGAAGTGCGTTACAAAAATGTTATGAAGACAAGACTGCATTAGGACTTTTGTGGGCCCTAAAACACTCTTGCCTTTGTGGTCCCCTTCCTCTATAGAAAATATATTGAAAAATAATAATTACAGTACAATGAGATGAGTATAATTATCTGGCTGTTCTAGCAGCCCATATCCCGGATGTCTGGCAAAGACTTCCTGAGATCAAAATGTTTATGTGAGAAAGACCCTAAGAACAAGGTACAAGAGTGGCTGAGAGGTAGGGTAGAGAAAACAGCCTGTTCAAAAGCTGGGAAGTGAGAGATCTATGTATGACTGGATGGAAAAGAGAGAGAACTTGTGAGAGATGAAGATAGGGAGGGAGGTGGAGATGGAGGGGGTGTCAAACTTTAGCAGGCCCTGTGTTAAGGGGTCTGGCTTTAGCCTAAGGATAATGATAAGCCATTTAAAAGTGTCTGTGTTAGGAACTAACAGGACCAGGTTTACATTTGGGGCATTCATTCAGGCTGTATCACAGACAATGGACCAGTAGATATTCTAAGGGGACTTCTGGGCTCCCTCTTCTAGGCCAATACACCCATCCCTAGCAGCTAAGAATATTGGCTATTGAAGGCTCACAGCTGAGTCCTTCAATGGGAATTGCATCCAGCCACAGTGAACTGCCTTTTTCAAGGATAGACCCTCTCCCAGAAGGCACCCACAGGCATGCCTGGCCAATGTGGAAATACAAAGGCCCTGCTCCCTTAACTCAATCAGGAATAGCCCCAGCTCCTGAGCTTCCTGAAAGATTGGCTGAGGCTTCTGTTGTAACCGTGTTTCTGGTTGTTTCTCCCTCTGCCTAATCCTACTCTATTTGTTACCTGTTGCTGCCACAAACTTAAAAGCTTAAAAAAATACACATTTATCATCTCACAGTGTCCATGGTCAAGAGTCTGGGCACAGCCTAACTGGTTCTTCTGCTCAGGCTGCAAAGTGTAGGTCAGACTGCATTCTCATCTGGAGATTTGAATGGGGAAAAATCTGCTTCCAAGCTTCCTCCAGTTGTTGTCAGAATTCATTTCCTTGTAAGACTGAGGATCCCAGCTTCTTGATAGCTGTTGGTTGGAGGCTGTCCTTGGTACCTAGAGGTCACCAGCAATTCCTAGAGCAAGCTTGTCTAACCTGTGGCCTGTGGGCCGCTTGCAGCCCAGGGCAGCTTTGAATGTGGCCCAACACAGATTCGTAAACATTTTTGGCGAATTTTGTTTAGCTCATCAGGTATTGTTAGTGTTACTGTATTTTGTGTGACCCAAGACAATTCTTCTTCAAATTTGGCCCAGAGAAGCCAAAAGATTGGACACCTCTGTCCTAGAAGCTGACCACAGTTTCTTTCACATGGGCTTTCCCAACATGGCCACTTACCGAATCAAGACAGCAAGAAGATCTCAAAAACAAATCTGCTAGCAAGACAGACTCAGATATAATATAAAGTAATTGCAGGAGTGTGACATCTCATCACCTTTATTGTATTCTATTCATTAGAAGCAAGCCACAGGTACCATACTCACTGAAGGGGAGGGGATTCTATGAAGGCATGAACACCAAGAGATGGGAATGATGCGGGCCACCTTAACAGCTGTCCGCCACACTTTGCCTTCCTCACTTCTTAAAGGTGTATCTCCTGAGCGCATGCCCCAATAAACCTGCTGTATGCAGCTACCTATCTTAGAGTTTGTATGCAAGGAGGCACACTGGAGGCAGGGAAGTGAGTTAGAGACTACTGCTGTAACTTTAACTATGAGTGATAGCAGTGGGAAATTGAGTAGCAAATTTTATTTTCATTAATAAATGTATAATCATTGTTCCTAGAATTTAGAATTATTCATGGCCTATCTGGAAATAGAATCAACCTAAAAACTACAAGGTGTCTTCAAACAAGGATACACACAACAAAAATAATTCATTTCTATGGTTGTAGAGCAGATTAAAGATAACTAATAAAAACAAGACTATGTTCCACAGTGTGAAAATAAATTCCAGACCACAATCAGTCACACAATCAAAAAGAGATGATTATTACTTTATTAAGTTAGCACAGATTGGACTTTTACAAATTGTAGAAATGGTCAACAAATAGAATTGTCCTATTAGGGGCTGATATTCAGAAAATATATAATCAACTGTTGGTGTGATAACAGGATAAAATTCCACCCTGTATATGAGTAATTCCATTTTTATCCATCCATTTACAATAATTACTTCTCACTTTTGTTTACTTAGTCATATACAGAGTGATATAAGTGATCGTCAAAAAGGATCCATTTTCAATGATTTCTACACCATATTATATGTATTCTCCACTGGAAAATTTATTTTTCCTTAGGTCTTTGAAGTGTGAAAATATATACATATGCCTGATCTTATTTCTAAAAATGCTTAAATCAATAACTACAAATACCACATGACCACATTTATACACTATACTGTCAGAAAAATATTTTAGAATATTTTGAGTCGTGAATAGCTTATGATTTCAGTGGTGTTGGTGGGTATAATTGATTGCTTTTCACTTTCAAGCACATTCAAAATTTATTACAAAAGAAGAATGGTGAAACAAAATATATGATCTGCTCTTGGTATTTCAGGATGCTCAGCAGTCACACAGAAACAAATGTTTAATTTCTTGAGGAAGCAGAACAACAGCCCTTCAGAGAGGGGTGAGCCTCTCATCCTCTGTCATGAAGGCATCATTAATATGCCCTCCCTTCATGTCCAGGGGATCAGAGGGGATGCCATTTTCAATTGTGATCATGTTTTCACACTTATCTTCAGCGTCATCCACTTCAGATGGTTCTTTGTTCTTTCTAAAAGCACATAAAAAAGAGTGATTGGCATCTAGAAGGACCATAACCATGGTTGCATATGGTCTTCTGAACGAACATGGAGAACAGGAAGGGGAATAGGAACCTTAGAACAATGAAATAATTTAATGATATTGTGTAATTTTCAAACGAATTTCAAAGACCATAAAGAGTTGGTGAGGTGAAAAGATACTATCAAGATGAGAAGTCTGTATAGATGACATATACATAGTGATCAACACAAGTGGTCTTATTCAGAATACTAAAATCAATATAGATGAATATGTATATGAATATGAGTGTATATGCACATATATACACATAGACACTCACACACACAAATTGCATGAAGTAATGTGAAGAAAATGCATAGTAAATTCGCAAGTTTAAAATCCATCTCTAGGAGAACTTAATAACAATTGAATTGCTAAAAGTAATAAATTCCTCTCATGGGATTTGACAAATTAATGGTCTGAAAATGTTGAGTGAAAATCAAATAGAAATGAGCTATCAGAAAGAAAATTAACATTACTTTGTAGAAAGTAAGTGCTATAAACTTCAAATATTGCTGCTTGGCTCTACTCATTACAAAATAATTGTGTTAATTTGCAAGTCACGATTTTGGAACTCAGAATACATTTTCCCTAATTACTTTACAACTTGTAGTTATAATTCCAGGTCACTCCAAAAATTCCATATGACAGGATAAATTCTTGAGTTTCTCATAGTTTCACCCTTTGTAGACCTTGCTGACCCCAACCGAAGTAATATGCAGATCTGTAATATTTCTTTGGAGTGTGGAAAACAGTAGACTCAAATTCAAAGGTTTTTCCTGTCTTTTGTGAAAGACTAAAACAATGAGACAATTATGCTTGATATCATGCAGTAAAAGAAAAAAGAGAGGTGGGTGCCTCTAGGCAACCAGAAGAAGGAGGGGTTTCCCTAAGGCTTATCACAGGTTGGATGTTGGAGCACCACTCCATGGTGACACCACGGAGGCATGATGTTAGGCATGAGGCTCCTGGACTTGCAAAGGATTCTCTTGTCCCACGAATTTGTGGAAATGCCAAATAGCAGAAAAGAATAGATCATCTGGCTGAGATGTTGGGCACTGCAGTGGTGACCAGGTAGAGTCCCACCACTATGAGAGTCCCTTAGAACCTTGGTGAGTCTCTGACAGGTGAGGAGATGGTGAAGGTGCCCCAATGATGACCGAGATGGAATTCCTATTAGTCCTGCGTGAGAATGTGCTTTAAAGGATATGGTGCACATGTACCCTAGAACTTAAAGTATAATAAAAAAAAATTTTTTTTAAATCATCTTTCCCACCCACATGATTTTCCTGACTCCATTCCTGTCCTCTGTATCATTTTCCCCTATCAGTTTTATTGAGGTATAATTGACAAATAAAAATTGTATATATTTCAAAAAAAGAATATGGTGGAAGAAAGTGAAGAAAAGAGAAAGCTCTTTTTTTATAGAAGAATGCCAACGAATATAGAAAGAGTAATAGGAACAGAAAATCACCATATAATAATAATTGATTCTGATGAGGATTATCAATGGATACTAAACCATTATGTGAGAGACGGTTGGAGAACAGGATATTCACATGGTTTCAAGATATCACCCCCATAAGCAAAATATTAATTATAAAAGGACACTTGTATTTTGCTAAAAGAGAAATCTAGTGAAAATTTCCAACAATGAAAGAAACTGACAAGTCTCTCCTGATGTGATACACTGAGTAGATCACATATATGTTTTTCCTGTGTTCCAGCCCCGCCCCCTCCAATTTGTTTTGACCTGAATCTCATAATAAGGAGCCTAATCAGAAAAATCCAAATTTAAAAATGTTTTGCAAAACAGCTGACCTGGACTCAGCACAGAGTAGGCATTCAACTGTATGGGTAGATGAATCAATGAATGTAGATTAATGGCTGACTGGCTGGATAATAAATACATGGATGGACAGAAGATGGGTGGGTGGCTGAACAAATGATGAAAGGTGGATGGACAGATGGATAAAATAATCAATGAATGTAGTTCAATTGCTGGTTGGCTAGATGATATATTAATGGCTGGCTGGCTGAATGGATGGATGGATGGATGGATAGATGGACAGAAGATAGATGGTAGATTGAACAATTAGATGTATGTATGTATGGACTAATGTTGTAGGTAAAGTTACTCAGGCAGTAGCCCTAGGTAGACCTTGAACGGGCTTTACCACAAGAAAGAAGGAAGGAAGGAAGGAAGGAAGGAAGGAAGGAAGGAAGGAAGGAAGGAAGGGAATTTTACACACAAGAAATTTCTTGTATCTCTTGTATTTTAGGCTTTGCTGATGGTTTATTAAATAATTTCAAATAGTTGTTCATTTAAAACAAAGGTAAAGTAGCATTCCAATTCTGTAGATCCCAATGTCATCATTTGAAAGTATTTTACCATTGCATATGCCACCATCAAATATCACAATTAAACACAATAGGCAATCACTGAATTGCAGATGCCACATTTTAAACATTTATTAATAAAACTTCTGGCCCAATGCTGGGTTGAAAGTCAGGAGTTGTGGTCCTAGAGACCTAGGGAAAGATAGGCTGCTATATTTTTCCATCCTTGGAGTGAAGACACCACACTGGTCATGGCAAGCATCAGCAATCAGCAATCAGCATGGGTTGGGGTGGACATAGATTTTAATGTGATGAGAGGATCCTTCCAGGTGAAATTACCCACCAGAGGATTAGAACACTTTGGTTCCTCTTCCTATAGATAGGTGTATTGTTCACTTTCCACGTCCTCCAGAAAGCAAAGGAAATCAACATTCTATAACCATCAATCACATCACTTCCATTCATAGTATCCAACATTCACTAACAGCTACATTTTGAGCGTCTACTATGTGTATGGAAGAGATACAGTCCTTGTCCTAAAATGAACTCAATGAAAGGGAAAAATGCCATATATACTCATCCTCCCTCTCCCCATTTTAATGCTTTATAAGAGAGAGGAATGTTTCTTCTAAAGATGAAGCTGTAAGTAGCAAATGTCTATTTATAAATCATCATTTAAAATGGCTATCTCATGTAAATTCCCCCAAAATCACTCCTCACTGGGCTTGGAGTGAATGATAATTTTCCACAACAATAAATAGATTGTGGACAGCCAAATTTTACCCTGATATTTGTATATGTTAAGTATGAAACCTGTATTACAAACATTTTAGTAAAGGAAGCATTCTGAAGTAGGTGGCAATGCAATAGCAGTCTTAGAAATAATAATTGCCAGGGCCTATTTTCCAGTTTCTTCAGTTAATAAAAAAAGTATTTATGGAGTTAGAAGAAAAATAACAAAGAGCTAGACGTATGTGATGATCATTACAAGGAATCTCGCTTCCCCCTTCCCAGCAACAAGGAAAAATGATTCATCAGGCATCACGAAAGAATGGGGAAAAACTAAAAAGGAAGATGTAAACAAATGAGGACAAGTTTTTCTTCTTTAGAATAAGAATAATATCTCAACCAAAAAGATTCCAAGGGGAATTGCTGTAGAAATTTATCAAACTGAGCTGTGTCAGTGGCAAATTAGGTGCATATTGTTCTTTTACAACCATAGATCCAGTTGCAGAGTCCTGGCATTGCTGGGCTTCACCAATTGCAGTGTCAGGAACTTGCTGCTTGGTGGACATGATAAGCAGCTCAAAGGCTATCTAACAGTAATATATCACTTTGTCACATTTCATAGTGTTTGCTGTAATAAATTGATTCACTACCTGTGCATTGCTTTTACTAAGAATAATAAAACTTAACTATCTTTCTGGATCATTCTGATTTGATGTTCTGCTAAAAACATGAGTTCTTTTTCCTGAAAACTAAAATCAAGTGTTAATTACTTCTGCTATTCCTGCAATGTCAGGGGGTTCAGGAAGAGGATGAAAAAACTGATTAAAATTCCTGGAACGAGCTCCTAGAAGCCTTGAGAGTGAATATCTCTCATATACCTCATAAATATAGAGAGAAGAGGGGCAAAAGAGGGGAGGAAAGAAGTATCAGGTGTGGCCCTCAGAGCTAGGGGATGTTGAGGAACGGGGTTTGCTCTGTTCTAAGATAAAGTAATGGTGCCAAAAGCAGGAAGAGCATTTCTGTCCCCCTTCAAACAAAATAGAGCTGACTGCCGGGCGTGGTGGCTCACGCCTGTAATCCCAGCACTTTGGAAGGCTGAGACGGGCGGATCACCTGAGGTCAGGAGTTCGAGGCCAGGCTGGCCAATATGGTGAAACCCCATCTCTACTAAAAATATAAAAATTAGCCGGGCGTGGTGGCGCATGCCTGTAGTCCCAGCTACTCGGGAGGCTGAGGCAACAGAATTGCTTGAACCCGGGAGGTGGAGGTTGCAGTGAGCAGAGTTCGCACCAATGCACTCCAGCCTTGGCAACGGAGTGAGACTCCGTCTCAAAATAAATAAATAAATAAATAGAGCTAAAGAGGCTGGGTGTGGTGGCTCGCGCCTGTAATCCCAGCACTTTGGGAGGCTGAGGTGGGCAGATCACAAGGTCAGGAGATCAAGACCACCCTGGCTGACATGATGAAACTATTAAAAATACAAAAAAATTAGCCGGGTGTGGTGGCGGGCGCCTGTAGTCCCAGCTACTCGGGAGGCCGAGGCAGGAGAATGGTGTGAACCCGGGAGGCGGAGCTTGCAGTGAGCCAAGATCTTGCCACTGCACTCCAGCCTGGGTGACAGAGCAAGACTCTGTCTCAAAAAAAAAAAAAAAAAAAAAAATAGAGCTAAAGAGCCAAGACCCAAGAATAGCCAGAAAGACAATAAAAGACAGACAAATATGATTTTCAAACAGTACAGAATCAATTATCGGGGAATTGAGACCATCCTCAGAATTGCTCTGGATGATTCTGGGGGTAAATAGGGTTACTGGAATGATTTGAGTGGGCACTGTAGCACAGTGAGATTGATGGACTTTGAAATCAAACCTACCTGGTTTTAAATCCTGTTACTATTACTTTCTAACCATGTGACTGTAGGCAAGTTGCTTTACATGTGCCATATAATAGCAATGATAATGCTAATGATAATATTAAGTATTTATTACATGGTAGAAATCAGACTAGATGTTTTGTATGCATCATCTCACTTAATTCTTACTGCAATATTATGCATATTTTATTATCACTGTTTTTCAAATCCATCGTTTTAACCACTCAGCCACGACTACGTGCCTCATCTCTGTTTTTCAGATGAAGGAATTGACACTCAAATACGTAGAGTAACTTGTCTTTCAGAATGAAACAAGACTGGTGAAAGGAGTTGACCTAGAACTCTATTTACTCTCCCCAGGCTTTACTCAACACACTTACATTAGATTTTTATCAGGTATGTATATTTAAGAACAGCAAAGAAAAACATTTGTTATATTCGCTATGACATTACTCATTTTATTTACACCTCTATTTTTAAGACTATTCATTTAATTAAGACTTTATAAGAATGTGGTTTCAGGATATAAAAGTGTTGACTGAGCCACATCCGCTTGTGTGAAAAACAAGATCTGTGGAAATCCAAATGCATTTTTATTTACTATTGACCTTATGGGAATATAAGTATAACTAGAAACAAACCAAGCAAATTTACTAATGACTCTACTCAGCTGGGAGCATTAGCTAGGGTTCTATGTCCTAAGTCTTTGACCTGGCTTTGTTACTATAAGATTACAATCTCCTTTTAGGCAAGGACCATCCATGTTATTTATGTTTGTCTCATCCACAATACATACTATAGCTCCTATCACAGAATGGATGGTCAATAAAACAATAAAATATTCTTACTTATCTGGGCTTTGGTTTCTGGAGGGTTGGATTTGGATCATTGTTAAGGTCCCTTCCTAAGACCCAGTTGTGATCTTAGATACAACTAAGGTCTAACATTATAACAGTCTATTTATATACTGGATTCAACATCAATTCTAGTATATACATGTAAATCTGAAATTGTGCTGTGTCCATGACTGTCCTTGTAAACTACAAAGTTCCAGGTTATATAAAATTAGCACTTTATAACTGCTTTTTATGGTCATGCTAGTAACTTAAATTGATATAGCACTTTCTAGCATGTAAACCACTAGATATATTCTCTGATTTTGTCTTCTCATCATTACACTATTTAAGAAAATATTATCATCATTTTCCTTATGTGACCTGCTCAAGGACACAGCTAACAAATGCCAGAGCCTGAGACTGGAACCCAAAACAAAGAGTCTTAGTTTAGGGCTCTTTCTATTAAAACACACATCACATTATCAACTTCATCACCATCACCATCACCATCATCACCATCACCATCACTATCACCATCATCATTATCACTACCATCATAAAATTGACCATACAACTAACACACCTACTTCTAGCCTGTGGCTAGACACTAAATCTAGTAGAGACATTATTGTGAAGTATATGCAGTTCATCCTGGTTGCCTTCCCACTTGTTCTGCTCCCTAATTGTTGCCCCAAATTTTCAAAATCATTCTCAGTAAACTATCGCAAGAACAAAAAATCAAACACCGCATATTCTCACTCATAGGTGGGAACTGAACAATGAGATCACATGGACACAGGAAGGGGAATATCACACTCTGGGGACTGTTGTGGGGTGGGGGGAGGGGGGAGGGATAGCATTGGGAGATATACCTAATGCTAGATGACGAGTTAGTGGGTGCAGCGCACCAGCATGGCACATGTATACATATGTAACTAACCTGCACAATGTGCACATGTACCCTAAAACTTAAATTATAATAATAATAAAAAATAAATAAATAAATAAATAAATAAAAGAAAAAAAATCGCTTTTCCAACTTCTTTCCTTCAACAAATCTCTCATTTTCACAAACTGCTATTCTCATCTAGAGGGCAATAGAGAAGCAACCTCTTCTAGGTATTTCACAAAGAGGTGGCAGCTGTAATGGTGTGCTAGATCTGGCTGGTACAGGTTTTCAAGGGCTGATTGCTAAATATTCAGAATTTTTCAGCCTTGATGGGAAATTGGCAAATGCTACAAATTAGGGTATTTATTCAGAATTTTTCAGCCTTGATGGGAAACTGGCAAATGCTACAAATCAGGGTATTTATTCAGAATTTTTCAGCCTTGATGGGAAACTGGCAAATGCTACAAATCAGGGTATTTTTTAGAGAGCTGGTTAACCAATTCACCACTATTGTGGTGACCAGTAGACCTCATAGAATTATTTGCATTTTTAAAAAGTGTTTATTCAGCATGGTAGTGGCATCAAAACAGACACATAGACAAATGGAACAGAATAGCAAGGACAGAAATAAATCCATGCACTTATGGTCAACAGATCTTCAACAAAGATGGCAAGAACACACAATGAGGAAAGAACAATCTCTTCAATAAAAGGTGTTAGGAAAACTGGATATCTCGATGCAAAAGAATGAAACTGGATTGTTGTCTCACACCAAATACAAAAATCAACTCAAAATAGATTAAAGACTTAAACCTAAGACCTGAAACTATAAAACTACTAGAAGAAAACATAGGAGAAAAGCTCCATGACATTGGTCTGGGCAATGACCCCAAAAGCACAAAAACAAATTCAAAAATAGACAAATGGGATTTACATCAAAATGAAACGTTTCTGCACAGCAAAGGAGTTAATATCCAAAAATATATAAGAAACTCAAACAACTCAATAACAAGAAAACAAATAACCCAATTTTAAAATGGGGAAAGGATGTCAATAGAAAATTTTCAAAAGAAGACATACAAATGCCCAACGGGTACATGAAAGAATGCTCAACTTCACTAATCATCAGGGAAATGCAAATCAAAACCACAATGAGATACCACCTCACGCCTATTAGAATACCTATTATCAAAAAGACGAAACATAGCAAGTGTTGGTGAGGATGTGGAGAAAAGGGAACCCTGGTACACTACTGCAGGAAATGTAAATTAGTACAGCCATTATGGAAAACAGTATGGAAGTTCCTCAAAAAATAAAAAATAAACTTCCATATGATCCAGCAATCCCACTCTGGGTATATACCCAAAAGAATTGAAACCATTATGTCAAAGAGATTTCTGCACTTTTATGTTCAACCCAGCACTACTCACAACAGCCAAGGTATGGAATCAACCTAAGTGTCCATCAATGAATGAATGGATAAAGAAAATGTGGTACAATGAAATACTATTCAGCCTTTAAAAAGAAGGAAATCCTGACATTTGTGACAATAAGGATCAACCTGAAGAACAGTATGCTAAATGAAATAAGCCAGGCACAGAAAGACAAATGCCACATAAATAAGTTGAATTTATATGTTAATTATTTGATTTAGCCATTTCATAATATATACATATATCAAAACATCACCTTATATGCCATAAATATATACAACTTTTATTTGTTAACAACACCTTAATAAAATAAAACAAGCATTTAATAAAATCCCAAGCAATGAGTTGGTGAATTGGAGAAGTTTCTACAGTATGATGGAAAATACCAAGATATTTTCCACAATATCTTGGTGGAAAAGAGATCCTTTCCCAGCACCTCTTAATCATAGCAATGGCTTAAGCCGATCTTGGATAATCATAATTACTGTTTATTTAGTGCACACTATATCCTAGGTACTTTATACACATTTATGTCAGTCAATCCTCATGAAAGCCCTGTGAAACATCATCTCCCTGTTGCAGATGGAGAAACTGAGATCCCTGGAAATCAGGTGACTCAACTAAGATTATACAGGTAAAGGGCACAGCTGGTATTTGAGTTTACCTAGTTTGGGCTCCATTGGTTGCATACTTGCCACTCACTGTCCCTGAATAATTAATATAATGGTGTTATTGGCAAAGATAACAGAATTGTTAAAGCTTTGCTGAGAAATTTCCTCAATAGTAAGTTTAAATATATATATGTGTGTTAGATGACTCTGGCACTCTTCTCCATAGAAGCAGAATGGTGACTTAGATAATCCCATGGTCCCTCCAGGTCTTCTAAGTTTAAGATTCTGTACCACAAAAACTATGTTCATTATTATCTAATGTATGGATTAGATTGTTGAACATTCCTTTGACTGTCTTCCTCGAAACTAAAGGTTTTGGGGGCAACTCCTATCTTTTCCATGATTAGAAAGGGCTTTCATTGCAATTTTCAGGGCTCTCCCCACTTCAAACTGCACCCTCTCCTCACATTTGACGCAACATTTTGTCCAGGAGAAACCCATCACAAATTGTGTCAAACTTAAAACACAACAAACAATTTATCTTCAGAAGGTTGTCATAATTTTCCTGACTATATTTGCTAATTATTGATGCTCTCCCGGTTTACACAAGAGATGTGTCCATCTGCTTTCCCAGTTTGAACATGAAATAAATTTGTAAAGGCAAGGTGGTGACAACAGCTTCACTTCTCCCAGGCAACAAATTATGATGCTACACACCCAATTATTATATTACTGCAGAATCTGCTCAGAAGGAAAGAGATAGCTGATCCCAATACAAACTAGCTGAAAGGCCAGCAAATGGCAAGATCATAAAATAATAGTAACAGCTAACACTTATTGAGCACTCACTGTGTGCCAGATACCACTCTAAGCACTCTATGTATTAACTCTTTTTATCCCACCAAGTTAATTATTTCCAGTACACCTCACTGTCACTCTAGAAAAGTTATCTATTCACAAACAGTAAAGATAAACTTAACCAGCTTGAGTCTAGCACCACAAATTATATTCTCCTAAGCTCAGTTTCCCTGACTCACTGTGCTTCCTGATATCCATACAGTTAATGGATTATATACAAGGGCAGAATCTAAGAGATAAATATGTTGAGTCTAAGCAATCTATCTCCAGAGTCCATTCTTCTAACTCCTACACTATACTGTACTAGTGAGGAAATTAGAAACCAAGTAGATGGAGTGAATTCACTAATGTTACAGTTGTTAGAACACAGAATCAAAGCATCTCAAGATTAATACAAAACAAAAGTATTAAACACAGGTATTCAAGCATTGCATGAGAATATTTCTCAATATTTTCAAAAGAAAAACCAAAATGCACATCTTGTACCAAGTCTCTTTGCATTACATGCCATGCCAAGATCATCAAAAAAATCAGGTAAGTGTAACTTGATCCTAAATCTTTGAATTTAATTTGAGGACTAGACATAAACCATATTTATTTCATAGCATTTTACTTATCATTTGTGAATAAAATTACAAAGCCCAAGATTTAAAATTATTACCTTCTGTTAGTTACTAGGGTGAAACATATGGAAAGTAGTAAACTTCAAGAGGAGCATTTAGTCAACACATACTTACTTAGCCAAACACATCCCACATGTCCCATGTAAGAACCAACACTTTTAAAAACCATGTCCCTGTTATTTTCAAATGCATGTCACTGTAATTACCACTTACCAGAATTATTCTTCCTTAGTATCAGAAAGGAAGGTTTACAAGCATTAAAGTCTAGTGAAAAGCTGAGGATTTTTCCATCTTCCCCCCTGCATTAGAGGTACTGGTTAACAAAATCATGCTGAGAAATCCTGTCTCCTCTTCTTCTCCACTACCTCAGTAACTTCCCCACAGGTCTTAAATTCCCTCTTGAAGCAGTATCAATAACTTAGACATCGAAGTTTGCAAATGCCTCCAGAATCTAGGTAAACGAACTCAAGAAGTGAAACTCTACCTATAAATTGTTAAATTGAAAGCTCTCAAACTCAATGAATAAGGATGACCTGAGTATTCATTAAAATGCATCCCTTCAGAGATTCTAATTTAGTGGGTCTGCAATAGGGCCAAAGAACCTACATGTTAAACAAGTGTTCCAGGTGATGTCTGATGCTGAGAGTTGATTTAAAGGCCACAAGCAACACAGCTCTATTCAATATCATAGGCACACAAGGGATGAGTGTCCATCAAAGGGAAGGAAGTATAAAACAGTACAAAGGCATCTGGGACAAGATGGTAGCCTGCATGCACTGGACTAAGAAGAGGTAAGCCAAAGTAGGGAGGCATGCAACTATGAACCTGCTGGCATTTGGATGTGGATGACTACCAAAGATTAACTCTGCCTACCCAAAAAGTCTGTTTAGCTCCTTACATCTAGCTTACAAAATCACAACACAGATATTAAAATCAAGCCTGGATATGAAACATTTATGTGGTACAGAATAGAGGGAAAGGTAGTCGTGGAAGGAGCCTAGTTAAGTAAGGGACGCTGGACTCTAAAATATATCTAAAGAAAAGAGCATAAGTGATATTTTTGAAAATCACCAATTTTTTCAAAGTTTCAAATTTAAGGCATTATCTTCAGCCAGAGGAAAATCCTCTCCTGATTTGTCCAAGTCATGAGGAAATAAGAAAATGCTCTTTCAATCACTCCTTTTAAATATCTTACCTTCTACGTTGCCAGATCCCTGATAAAATCAGTAGTGCAATTGCAACTATGATGATGCAAAATATCACACCAAATATAATAATCCAGATGGGCACAGATGGGTCCATGGGTGGTGCAAGTGTGGAAGGGATTTTTAAAAATTCCAGAGTTTGGTCATTTAGAAAGAAGGCATTGTTGATCCGGTTCTTGTTCATTCTAAAATGCAATGATAATTAAAAATAAACAAAATAAGACAGAAAAAAAACTATTAAGACAAAGTACAAACCTGTTTCTCCATGATTATAAATATCTCTATAAACAAAGCATCCTCCTGGCAGGAGACTTCAAGTTGACTAAAAAGTTTGCTGAGGGCAATCATGCCATAGTTTCTCTTAAGTTACAACACTAGCTGCCAGAGGGATACCCATGTATCCACTGCTGCCCCCATTGTTGTGAATGTCCAGAAGTCCTGAGCTTTGAGCTCTGTCCACCATGTTTTATTTCCTGAGAGGTAGTAAGGTAGACGGAGGGACTCGTCTCTGGAGGCAGGGCTCTAACCCTGGACCAAACTGAGGACTAACTAAAACAGAGCTAGGGGGTGGCGGGGAAGCAGCTTTCCATCAGACATGCCCACCAGTGTGCCATGTCAGTTTACCATTGCCATGGCAACACCTGGGAGTTACCACCCCTTTCCATAGCAATGATGTGATGACCCCAAAGTTATTACCCTTCCCTAGAAATTTCTGCATAAACTGCTCCTTAATCTACATGTAATTAAAAGTGGGTATAAATATGACTGCAAAACTGCCCTGAGCTGCTAGTCTCTGCCTACAGGGTAGTCCTGCTCTGCAGGAGCAGTCACAGAGCAGTAACATCACAGGAGCTATAATACTGCCTCTTCAGTAAAGTTGTTTTCTTCTACTTCTGGCTCTCTCTTGAATTTTTTTCCTGGGCAAAGCCCAGAATCCTCATGGGCTAAGCCTCAATTTGGGTTTCACCTGTCCTGTGTGAGTAGCATCTAGATTAGAATGACAAAGCTCTATTTAAGGTGGCTTACATAAATATCACAGCCCCCAAAAGTAAAATTACATGTAAAATATGGGTGATGAATAGGAGAAGTAAAGAAAACCAGAAGCAAAAATGAAAACATGAACCAGGAGTGGCTTCAAATTCACCAACTTGATCTTGATATTTTTTTCATTAATTCAACAAACATTTGCCAAAAACTTATTAAATATCAAATACTGTGCTAGATGCTGGAGATACAACGTGAAATTAAAGTACCAAGGAGCTTACGGTCTAGAAGGGTGACAGATCAGTAGATCCACAACCACAGTGTGGTACAAAATGTTCTGTGAAAGAGGCAAATATGGGCACAGTGTGAGCAGAGGGAAGGGCCAAGTACACCATTGTGAGAAGTCAGAGCTGCTTTGCTGTGGAGGCCATTTTTGAGCTCTGTTTTGAGGGACAAGTAGGAGTTTTTAGACCAAAGTATGTGGTGAGCACAGGAATGGAAACAAGGTAAAGTAAGACTTGTTCAGCAAATTGCAAGTAGTTCCATAGGACTAAAGACATTAATGATTTAGGAGTTCAAAAGCTTAGAAAAATGTTACTTTTCCTAGGAAATATCTGCATTTTTAGTGGTGGTGGCAGTTAAGGAGAGGTTGGTAGCAAAGACTTATTTAATTGAAACCAAATAAGTGAATTTCTAACTGTAAACTGGAGAGTCCTTGGAGATATTTTATGACCTTTACTGAATTCATATTATGCAAGCTGCCTTTGTCTACCTCTAGAGCAGCCCTGGAAAACAGAAATATAATGTGAGCTTCGTGTGACTTAAAATTTTCTAGTAGCTGCACTAAAATAAACAGATGAAACTAATTTTAATAATGTATTTTTTGTCCAATATATCCAAGAAAATGTAATTTCAACATGTAAACAGTATCAAGTTGACTTTGCATGTTTGTTTGTTTGTTTGTTTTTTGAGACAGGAACGATCATGGTTCATTGCAGCCTCAAACTCCTGGGCTCAAGCAATCCTCCTGCATCAACCTCCCAAGTAGCTAGGACCACAGGTGTGTGCCACCACACCTGGCTGTGTGTGTGTGTGTGTGTGTGTGTGTGTGTGTGTGTGTGTAAACAGGGTCTTGCTATATTGCCCAGGCTGGGGCTCCACATTTTATTTTGTACAATGTCTTTGAAATTTGGCTTATGTTTTACACTGTGAGCACACCTGACTTTGAACTAGCCACATTTCAGGTGCTTAATAACCACATTTGGCTGGTGGCTACGGTACCGGACAGTCCAAGTCTACAGCCTGATAGTATGGCTTGAGAATCTCTGCAGGCCAGCACCAGGCTATCAGGAAAGACCCCCTTTAGTAAATAAATAACTATGCTGTGGCATGATTATTCATGGATGTGAAAGTGAACTCTAGCCAGATAATCTACAACAAGGGATTTTTATCCAACAATGGAATATTTTATTTTGTCATAACCTAATATTGAACATCTGAGAGCACAAACTTTTCCACAAAATAATGAAACCCACTGCTAAGATATAACTCAGAGAAAAATGAGAAGTTGCTCTGCATTCTCATTCTATCTTCCTAGTTGGTTAACCCTTTGTTACTTGCTCACTCTAGGCTTGGAATGTATTCTATCATCTCACAGACTGACTGGAAGTTCTAGCTCAGGTACATATTAAATCTGCTCCACCACTGGAATCACCAATTGGCATCAAGCATCATGTATGTCTTTCAGCCAAGAGTGGTATTGAATTAGGCCACGCCCTCACAAAAGAACTAAAACAGACATCTTGGAATTAGTTGGTCACTCCTTTACCTCATACTATGTATACTCTGTATTGGTAAAAAGTCCAGTACTCTTTTTTGCCCATTTCAATTATTTTACTTGAAATGAGAATTTTGTAATTCTCATTCTGTTGGCTATCCCCACTTCCTAAATAGTTTATCCTGCTAGGACCTTTGAAATAGACATTTTGTGAACAAATTCACGTGCTTCCTGGACCTTCACCCTAAGCACTTTGTGTAAAGGAATGACCAACCAATTCTAAGATGTCTGTTTCAGTTCTTTGTGTACTCTGGTAAACAGGAAAAATCACTGGATATGGTGGCAGGATGCCTAGGTTCAAGTCCTCACTTTCTCTTTCTAGCATGGTGGCCTTAACAAATCAATTAATCTCCCTGAGCCTCAGTTTCTTCATTTATAAAGGAGAGATAATAGTAATTACTGAAAAATTATTGGTGTTGGCTGGGTGCAATGGCTCATGCCTGTAATCCCAGCACTTTGGGAGTCTGAGGCAGGAGGATCGCCTGAGGCCAGTTCAAGGGCAGCCTGGGCAACATAGTAAGACCCTGTCTCTACAAAAAAAAAAAAAAATTTAAATTAGCCAGGCATAGTGGCACATCCCTGTAGTCCCAGCTACTCAGGAGGCTGAGACAAGAGGATCACTTGAACCCCAGGAGTTCAAGGCTGCAATGAGCTATTATCATGCTACTGTACTATAGCCTGGGCAACAAAGCCAGACTCTGCCTCTTAAAAAGAAAACAAAAAAAAACTGTTGGTGTCATTATTAAATGCCACAGATGCATAAGAACATTCCTTGTGAACCAAAAAGTGGTATGCAAATATTAGGTGGAACTAGTATTATTTTGCCCAATCACTTAGATTCTTCAGCCTTGAAATTCCTATTATTTGCTCTCTAAACACCATCTCCTTTTTTTCACTCTATCCTTCCTTTGTTGTATAGTTTCCTTTATTTTCATCCAATCCTGATGTGCCCTACTAATTCCCTGACATAAATTCTCATTCTATTGGCTATCCCCACTTCCTAAATAGATTCTCCTGCTAGGACCCTTGAAAAAGACATTTTGTTGTGAACATATTCATGTATTAATACTTCCCAGACCTTCACCCTAAGCACTCACTCTTCCTCCTCCTATCAACTGAAGGACTGGTTTAACCCAGTGCCTTCATTTTCCCTGTAGCCCTCACAGATCACAAGACATGAATAAAATCTTTTTTCACATGAAATATGATATTTATAATTCTTACTCCCTAAGTGGTGAGAGTCTTAACAGTATTCTTAGTGGCCACAGTGAAGAAGCAATTTAGTTCAAACTTTCT
The DNA here is from genome assembly GCF_000001405.40 of Homo sapiens. NCBI lineage: Eukaryota > Metazoa > Chordata > Mammalia > Primates > Hominidae > Homo > Homo sapiens. Next base: position 15,643,689 of record NC_000023.11, read on the forward strand.
TGTTAGGGCAGATTCAACCATTTCCAATCAGTATAAATCCTCAGTGCCTTTGCTTCAGCAAAAGAAATAGATGATGTTCACAAAAACCTTTGACATTTGATTATATACTCATTATCTTAAGTGTTAACATTTTACAGAGAGCTAATGAGTTATTCCAGTAGGTATTTATCCTTGGTAAAAAGAATAATATGTATTTCAGTAACTTGTAAATCTTGTGTGGGGAGAGCTACTTTGCTTTGTTCTAGTTTATTTCCTGAGCTCATTTTTTGAGTATATCTTTGCCCAACATCAATCACATGTGGTATTTGAAGTTTTGACACATACCAAAGGCACAGTAATTGAAAGAAATACAAGTTGCATCCTCCTAATTCTTGAAAGTCTCGAATTCGTTTCACTTTTGAGTTTCTTACGATCATAAGGAGGGGAGGAGTACAACTGTCGGGAAGTCGGGAAAAATTGTAAAATACTTGAAATGGGCAAAACAGAGTACTGGACTTTTTCCTGATTGTCCTGCTGAGAGCACCTTTCTAGGCAATTTCCATCTCTTACGGTCTTTGAGCTACTTTGCAAATCCCTAAGTTCTTGAAAACTAACATAATGTAAATGATTCTTGTCCATAGAAAATCAAATGAACTGTGTCTAGTGGAACATAATTGGTTACTGCCCGAAAAATAGACTGATGCATCCTTCTGTAAATGCATTTTGCCATTCCTCACTTTCTATATATGGGTGGTTCCTTGAAGTCTCCTTGAAAAAGAATTTAACATCTTACTAGTGCCCTCATTAACTAATGAGATAAAATTTTTGATAGTAATAATGATTAGTTTGCATGAGAGTCATGATTTTACCTTTTTTTAAAAAAAATTATCTTTTTAAAGTAAAGACTATATATTGACTGAAAAAGGTAAGCTATTGGGTCCCTAACTTCTGCTTACTCAATGCTGGTGGTACCACCACCCCCTCCAGCTGTGACAATAAAAATGTCTCCAGACATTGCGAAATGTCTCCAGATATTGCCAAATGTCTCCTTGAAGGTAAAATTGCCCCTGGATGAGAACTACTGATCTATACTCATCTCTAACAGAAACTAACAAAATGAAATCTTTGTCATTTTAATAAATAATTCATGTATGAAACAGATAAAACTCTTCAATATCTATTTTTAAAAACAGTTGAATTAATCAGCAAGTTGATTGACTAATAGAAGGCATATTTAAGGGTGATTACCTTATGGCTGATTGCACCTCAACAGCAGGAAGGGTGTGATTTTTTGAAGGGTCTGTAACCACAAACCAGAATGATACCCTCTGGGTTACATTGCAAAGTAGGACATGGGAAATTCTGCAGACAGTGGAAAGAAAAAATACATGAGAAGAATATCATACCAAATGGCATTAAACCGTTCACTCTGATGCTACTACTATCTTAAGAGACATCTTAGCTATGTTTAAAAAGTCATTTCTACCATTATGAAGAATGAGCTCAGTAAGAAGAAAATTATATAGGAAATTCCCATTGTTTCAAAATCATATACTTGGGGATCATTCCTTATAGGGAATAACAGGGAATCTGCCAAAAAATAATAATAGTCAGTGGAGAGCATTAGGGATCTCATTCTCCATCACCGGTTGGTGACAGCCCCCGTTTCCCCAATGCTTGGCCCTCTCTGAACCACAGAAACCTTTGGTATTTTCTCATTCAACTCTTTTTAGTGCCCTGCCCATTCAGTCTTCCACCTCTCAGATCCAGAGAGGATCTGCTGCCCCCTCATGATTCAATACTTGCTCTGTCTGCATCTACTGTCTCTCTTCCACCCCAGCATCAGGGCCAAGACAAAAGGCACCTTCTGTGTGTACTTTTGAAGAAAAAGTTCTCAAAAACAAGTTTCTTTTACATCGCCTTGAACAAACCTCCAACTTAAACACTATAATCAATTCACCAGCAGTCTTTGAACTCTTTGTTTTGCAGTTACAGACTTTTCAACTGCAAATTGGAAATGTGACTCACTCTCCTCTGTATTACAAGTGAAAGGGGAGAAATGAAAATAGTGTTCAGAGAGAGACAATCTATACATGGATGTACTCAGGATGGAAATTATAGGAAAGTCCACATAAAATCAACATTGCCAATGCTAAAACAAAACCTGATGGCTTTCCCAGTTTACTTAAGAGCAAAATTGCAAAAAGCAACATTAACATCCATCCTAGAAGAATCTGATATGAGTAAAGGATTTGTTTAGAGCATCCAAGTGTATTGTGATCATTTTCACACTGATCAAAGAGAGCACCCTTCTGTCAACAGGTATCTGCAGTTTTCAGGACCTGGCAGAAATTCTTCTATGTTCTGTTTTTAAAGGTCAGGTACAAAAGTAGAGGCAGCTGCCAGGCCCCTCTGCCCAGAGCTGAGTGTCTGGGACCATGAGTGGGAAGGACTGAGGCTTGAGCCTCCTTGGTCCGCCAGACAGCATGGGGCGCCACTTGCCCCTTCTGCAGCTGCGCGCCGCAAAGCTCTGGCCTGGCCGTGGCCTCCTGCCCCATGCAACACTTGGTGGCCAGACCGTACCCGGCACATGGCGCCTCGTGCACTTTCTGACATTTTGATACCAAAGGTCGCTGGTCACTGAGCCCGGACACTATCTCTGGCCCTGACCGCAGATTTCGGAAACTTCTGGCAGCCCAGTGTCTACTGGAAGGCCCAACCCACTGCCCTGCTCTCATGGGCAGCTACCTGAGCGGCTTCCTGGGCTGGCTCTGGGCCAGAAAACCGCGCACCCACCCCCCCGCCCGACCCCCGCGCCAGAAGCACTGGGCCCTACTGTCCAGGCCCTTCCTCAGCTCCCAGGTCCAGGAGAACTGCAAGGTCACCTACTTCCACGGGAAGCGCTGGGTCTGCATCCAGCCCCTCCCCACCGCTCCTCCCAGCTGGGACTACGCCCGCATCCGCATCCGGAGAGAGATGGTGCCCGCCCGCATCCGCGTCCTGAGAGAGATGGTTCCCGAGGCCTGGAGGTGCTTTCCCAACAGGCTGCCGCTGCTGAGCAACATCAGGCCTGATTTCTCTGAGGCTCGCCTGGCCTACATGAAGCGGTGGCTTTGGACCGCCGCCACCCCCCCACCAGCCTGTCCGCAGCCTGGTAACCATGAAAATCGCCCCGCCCGAGCGCAGAGGGAGCCCGATGCCCAGGCCATCTGCCTTCGGGTCTGTGATGAGAAACGGAGTGGCCCATTCCTTTCTGCCCGGGTCTAGGCCGCTGAGCAGAGCCCCTACTCCCGGGCAGCGTTGTCTCAATCCTTCCTGGCGGCCGCCTGCCCTGCTGAGGATATGTGGCCGCCAGGCGCCCGGTCGCCGCAGGAGCGCTAGGCCTGCGGGTAGCACTGCCCTGACGCCTCAGGCTTGCCTGCACCTGGAAGGAGCTTCGCCAGGTGGGCCATGAGCCTCTGAGCACACCCAGCCTGCTGCCCGGCTCCAAGAGTCAGGCCCCTGCCACCACCTCCTGAGCCTCCAGCCCTCAGCACCTTCACCCTACTGACCGCGGTTCTACCCCCACACCAGCCACCGGCCCCACCGGGGCACTTCCCACTGCTCCAGCCGACCACTCAGCGAGCCCCAGGCCCACCTCTCCTCTCCCTTAAAGCCCTTCCCTTGCCCTTGCCCATTCGCTCCTGCCTTCTCCCTGGGGACAGGAGGCATGCTTCTCCCCAGTTTCCGCAATAAAATATTTGTTGTTAATAATAATAGGTGTCTTTATTATCATAGAGATTGTCATATTCTTTCTTTCAAAGACGACACCATGGTTTCTCCAGCTTGGCACTACTACTTGGGCCAGATGGTTCTTTCTTGGTGGGGGGGGGAGGGGGGAGGGGAAGGGGGAGGGAGGAGCGGGAAGCTGTCTTGTGCATTGCAGGGCCTTAGCAACATCCCTGGCCTCTCACTTCTAGGTGCCAGCAGCACACTCACAGTCCTATCAAAAATGGCTCCAGGCGTTGCCAAATACTCCCTGGGAGGGTAGAGAGGTCAAAAGTCATACTGGTGGAGAACCACTGAGGAACAGTGACCTCTACTGGCAGAAACAGGCAAGCCTAGTCCCCCAAAATGTGCGGTTTTCTAATACATATCAAAGACGTAGGGACAAACCAAATGAAGTGGCGCATGCTGGACAGAAAACATTTTCACCAGTTTTCTAGAATGCTTGGGGTGTGAATGATTCCTGTGGTCTGGTCTTACTAGCAATCAGGAAATGCAAAATTGTTACAAATGAGCTACTATTTTAAACGTTTCAAATTGGCAACAATTTAAAAGTTAAATAATACCAAGGGCTGGTAAAGACGCATGGAATTGGAATCCCAGGTGACGCTGTGGAAGCAAGGAGTCCAGCCACTCTGGAATGGCATTTGGAAGTGATTCCCAGAACAGAAAACGCAGCTACCAGAAACCCTGTGGCACACATACACAGACACTGGTGAGGATGTTCTTTGCGGCACTCGTCACCATAGCAGAGAATTGGAACAACCCAAATGTCAATCAGTACGGGACTAAAGTAAATATAGTATATGCTGTCGAGGGAATACTGTTCCACAGATTAAAGGAAAGAAATAGCCCAGGGTTTCTCAACATCAGTACGATCAGGCCAGATAATTTTATGTTGTGAGGATACCATGTGCTTTCCAGGTTGTTTAGCAGCAAATCTGAGCTCTATCTACCAGGTATCAGGACTACCTCCAGTTGTGACAATCAAAAATGGCTACAGGTGTTCCCAAATATCCCCTGAAGGACAAAATCACCCCCCTGGTGGCAACCATTGAGCTAGAGCTATATAATTTTTTAAATAAAAGAATAAATCTTGGCCTGGCACGGTAGCTCACGCCTGTAATCCCAGCACTTTGGGAGGCTGAGGGGGGCAGATCACGAGGTCAGGAGTTTGAGACCAGTCTGGCCAGCATGGTGAAACCCCATCTCTACGAAAAATACAAAAATTAGCTAGGCATGGTGACGCACACGTGTAATCCCAGCTACTCAGGAGGCTGAGGCAGGAGAATCGCTTGAACCCGGGAGGTGGAGGTTGCAGTGAGCTGAGATCGCGCCACTGCACTGCAGCCTGGGCAACAAACAAGACTCCGTCTCAAAAAAAAAAAGAATAAATCTCAAAAATACACCATCAAGTGAAAAAGATAAGAGGTAAAATATTATGCGTAGTACATAACATTTATATAAATTAAACAAATACCAAATAGAATTTCAGGCATAAAAGGCCAGAAATCATGTAAAGAGTCATTTAGTTACTTTGCCTGTATTATTTTTTCCATATAAAGCCTCTTTAAATACTGTTCAAACATGAATTTCATGGTATTCCCCATTACAGAGCCATAGAATACAGCTGTAAACAAAGCAAAATCCTTTATCTCATGGAGCTTGCTAAGGAGGTGGAGACAAAAGATAAACAAGTAAATAAATGCATACACTGTGGAGGTGTGAAGTAAGTACTATAAAGAAAAAAAAATAAAAGGAAGGGCATACAACTCCATCAACACAACTATGGCCCCAAATACTTTCCTCTGTCCCCATCACTATGGAACTATACCATGAATTCAAGTTCTTTAAATTTATTCAAGTTTCCAATGGGTGGCAACTCATACTTTAACACATTACCTCAGCAAATAAAATGAAAATATTTTATCTACTTAGAAATAAAGATTTCCAAAAGATTAAAATTTTTGCTGAAAATAGTAAACCTTACATTTTCAATAGAGACAGTTATTGTTAGATAGAAAAAGTTCCTGGACTGAAACTCTAAAAACAAAGTTTTTATTTTGAAATTTACTACCTGCCAAATGGTGGTCTTGAGACAAGTCATTTCGCTGTCTATGAGTTACTAGGAAGGGCTTGAGCTCTTAGTGTGTCAATGGGGGTGTGCTGTTGGCATTTTGGGTGGGAATGTTATGGGTAACTGTCTTGAGCCATTCACCACACTGATTATCTCTCTTCCCCACCCTTTAAATGCCACAGCACTCTACAGTCATAGATATAACCCCCATACAGATCCCATTTCCTTATACTCCATGGGCAGGGGGCGGTCAGTACCAAGTAAGAAACACTTCTAAATCCCTTCAAAAGTTTCAAGGTCATGAAAACAAAGGAAGACAGAGAAAGTGTCATAGAGTGGATCAGACTAAGGAGAAATAGATTCTTAAACAGAAAAAGGACATTAGTAGAAAAAGTGAACCAACGTGAATTTCTTTGTTTGGATAAGTCTACCGTGGTTATTTAACATGATATCATAAGGGAATTGGGGTTAGAGCAGGGTTTCTCAATAGCACCATTAACATTTTAGCCTGGATAATTCTAGGTTGTCGGGGACTGTCTATGTTTTGTATGATATATAGCAGCATCCCTAGCCTCTACATACTAGATGCCAGTAGCACATCCAATTGTGAAAACCAAAATGTCTCCAGAAATTGCCAGATATCCTTGGGAGCAATTGCAGGGAACCCCCCCACCAAGTGTTGAGAACCACTGGTACGTAGGGACTCTCTATATTAACTTTGTAACTCTTTTGTAAATCTTTTTAATTAAATACACAGACATATACATACATATAAGAGCAAAGCAGTTATTTAAAAAGTTGCCTGGGCACAGTAAAAGTATCTACACGAAAAATAAAAACTAGGCAACGTTTTAATGCTTTTGACTAGCTTCATTGATAAGGAGATAACAGATTTAAAAAATTTGTTTGAAATTAAGAAAGCTGTATTCAAATGCAAGATACTGGTACCCACCAGCATAAGGATGGTATTAATAGTTACCTGAATTTTTTAAAAATTCTTTGTTATACATTCAGATGTAAAATTATTTATTATGATGACTTCCATCGTACTAGTTTCTTAAGCATCATTTCTCTAAGATTGATATAAAGAGAAGAGGTAAATAGTTTTGGCTGTTTGTGGTCTTCTTCAACAGGACAATGTTGTGTCCTTCCTACATGATGTTTCTGCCCAAATATGTAACTCGTCTCAAGATTCTAAGCAAACAAAAAGGTAACCTAATGTTCAACAAATGTCACCAACAGATATATAACTCTACAGACGTGTTTATATTTTGTTCACATACAGGCAGTTGAACTAAGAATTAATAAGCCCACTTCCCACAGTAGCAATGTTGTGGGAAGGGGGCCAGGGGAAAGCCTAGCCCTGCTCTGAAGGCAGCAAAGGCTGTATATGAAGATGGAGACACACTCTGGGCTGATACTTCCTACTTGCTTGGATGATGCTTTCAGAAACTAACTGATGTCTTGGCCTCCCCAAGAGTAAGAAACCGAGGTCCAACAAGAGCTAATACCCAGGCAACAGGGAACTGCTTCTACTCTGGCCATTGTGTGCCAAATCCACCATGGGAGCATCCTCCTGTGGGACTGAGGTGAAAAAGAGAAAGAAATTGGGGGGATGGGGGGACATGGTTTTCTTGTGTCCACTGCACCTCAATAGACAGGCCTCTGGTTTAAGAGCCAGGATGTTAAACATGCTTCATTCACTCACAACTATTTACTAAGAGCTAACCTTGATTAGCCAGTATGGTTAGGGATATGGTTAGGAAAAGAGTTCCTACTACAGCGGCCTTCAGATTCCGTGCCCCATCCCATGCAGGAATTTAGTGATGCTAAGACTCTTGAAAACCAAGACCAGAGTCTTGAGTCCACCAGAGCATTAAATACCAAAGTGGAAGCCAGTAACCCCCACGGTGGCAGAATTTGCACATAGTTCCATGCCCTATGTGAGAATAGACCCAGGACATGGGGAGGACAAAGATCTTCTAGATTTCACATGGCTTGTCTGCATTCTTTGTCAGGAGGGTCTCTAATCCCTGCCCTGATTTGAACTTCATGATCTCCAAGCAAAGAGCACCTGTTTTAATTTGATCAGTTGCAGGGTCACTAGGGAGATTATCAAATATTTTGTCCATTTGCAGCAGATTTCTCTTGTGCCCTGGGACATGAGGACATGAGTCCCAAGTCTGTCCTGTGCTGTAAGCCCCCATATTCCTGAAGCTTGGCCCACGTGGATTCAGCAAGTGATTGGGGGGAAAAATGGATGGATGAAAGAAGGTTAACATCTCAGTGCTTCTGACATTATTCCCAGAGAGACAAACTGAGGAAGTAAATTGGTCCAGGGCTGTAATAACAGAAAAGAGAGGCAGGGAGGGAAGGAGATTACTTTCCCGAAACTTTATCTACTCACCTACAAATACTCAGACAACAAAACAAAACACAGAACTCTCTGGCAAAAGAAGAATCCTGAATATACTGTAGATGAAAGTAGCCAAGAAGAACTGTAAATGTGAAGGCAGAAAGTTGGTGCTAAAAAGGAAGTAACATGAAGAATGACTGCACATAGTTCTGTAATTTATGTATTAAGGAACCAAAGGATACAAATTTCTTCCAGTTATAGATTATGTGCAACTAATGTGACTTCTCCATGGCCTTTCTTCCAAATGTGACTACATTGAATGTCCTCCAAGATTTGTACAGAATGAAAAATTGATCAACAAGCATTTCTTGAGCTAAACATGTCTTTTTAAAGCACGTTTTGATGTCATAAAGAAACTGAAATGCCATTAGCACAACTAAATAAAAATCCTACATTTTCAAGATTTTAAATATGAATGAGTCCAATGGAATTATTTTTTGTTGTTGTTAGAGCAACTCAGCGAAACAAAATTCTAATTTATTGTTCATCATATTGTTTCACACATATGTCAAAGAGGCCAAAAAAATAAACAGCAACTTTACAGACAAAAAAAAAAAAAAGGCAGGGAGGGGAGTGAGAAACCTTTTATCTTTGGCCTTTTTAACCATCTCATACAAACTTATAGTACCGCTAAGTTCATATACAAAAAAGACACTGGAACACTCGGAATAAGATTTTGTTGTTGTTGTTGTTGTTTTTGCTTTTCTTCAAGGTTTGTTTTTTCTTTGAACTGTATCATGAACATGGTCACACCACAAGTAAAGTCAGAAGTAAGACAGAGAAAGCTCTGAAGGCTGGTTTGATCATTTGAAATCATTAAAAATGGCTGACCCCTAACAATATGTACAAAAATATACAATGAAAATAAAAAATATTGCCAGGTACAGTGGCTCACGCCTGTAATCCCAGGACTCTCGAGGCTGAGGCGGGCAGATCACCTGAGGTCAGGAGTTCGAGACAGCCTGGCCAACATGGTGAAACCCCGTCTCTACTAAAAATACAAAAATTAGCCAGGCGTTGTGGCAGGCACCTGTAATCCTTGCTACTCGGGAAACTGAGGCAGGAGAATTGCGTTAACCGAGGAGATGGAAGTTGCAGTGAGCCAAGATGGCGCCACTGCACTCCACCCTGGGTGACAGAGCGAGACTCCATCTCAAAAAAAAACAAATAAATAAACAATGTAAATAAAAAATATGAACAAATTTTTTTCTTGAAGTACTTTTAAGGAAAAAAGCTGAGCTTTGGAAGTTTGGGGTTTTTTTTCCTCCCCTGTTGCAAATTCTTGTGGTTTGGGTTGGGTGTTGAAGAGTGCTTGCCCGGCAGGCCTCTCTACTTCAAGATGACTACACTTAGATTCTGAAACAGGGTGAAGAGTGAATGGATCACGGTGGCCTTTTCTCTTTTTTTCTTTTTTTTAATTTAACTTTTCCTTTTTTGCTGTCTAGTCAACCTCATCAGTCTTCTGCTTCTTGGTATCAACGTTGTCATCCTCAGCATCTTCAACTGCCCATTTGCCCATAGCATCCTCAGCTGCCACATCTTCATCTTCATCCTCTTCCTCACCATCACCTTCTTCCTCCTCTTTTTCCTCCCCATATTCTTCCTATTCTTCTTCTACCTCATTGTCAGCCTCCTGTTTCCCATTTTCCTCATTAGCGTTCCCATTACCAGGACCATCTCTTCCCTTCTCTGCCTCCTCCACAACTTCTTTCTTCTCCTTTAAGACTTTGGTGATGATCTTGGAGCTGGTGTCCACAGTTGCATCTGACATGGTGGGGCACACCAGTGACCAATGCAGTGGACTAAAAAGAAACCGAGAGTTTGGGGACTGGCAATAATGCAGAGTCCGAGAAGGGCAGGTGTAGCTGCAGCAAGCTGGAAGCCAAACCCAAAAACAATGCAAATATGGCTTTTCAGAGCAGCCAGTGGGCTGGTGGAATTATTTGAATTCACTTTAATAATCATTTTGACCAATTGTTTTTACCAAGAAATTATATTAATTCATACATAAGTAACTTCTTTCAGCAAATCATGAAAGAGAGGTAAAAATGTTTACTCCTTTTCCTCAAGTGTGGAAAGCCCTGGTCTGAAGGTTTCTCTAAGAATTGGATCCACTGCCATTTTTCATCAATGGCGCCAGACAGGGCCAACTGCCTCCAAAGAGTGGTAAGAATCTGGCTCTTGTTTCTGGAAATCAAAAGGACTAAATAGGCGCTGGGCTGCTGTTTTACAAGCACAAGACCGTTAATCCCCTTACCGTGGATACAACAGCACGTTGTTCCTTTTTAGATCACAAGACTTATCCTTGAATAATTAGGCAGAGGCAGAAATCCATTATATATTCTACACCATTTAACTCAGAAAGAGAAAGCCTTGCCTGAGTTAGACTTTATCTTTCTTGCTAAAAATGATAAATTATCTAAAAGTTGATGTTTGAGTAAACTAGGCATATTAAGTTTCCAGTTGACCTGGGAATTAGACTAAACTTTGGATTAGATTATAGCTTCCTTAGAAATTCCTTTCAACATTTTAAAATTCCTGTGAAACTGTTTTAGTAAATCTGGCCTAAATCATATTTTAAACAGTTGAAAACACTTGGTTGCCATCTTCAATCCAAGTTCCAGGAAAACCTCAAGTAACCTCAACTAATGAAACCAGAGCTTTCCCTTAACTTCATTTTTCCATCTATCTCCCATTCTGCTCCTAAAAAAATACAGCAATAGCAAAAAAAGCATTTAATATCAGAAATTGTGAATGATGATTTTGAAAGAGTTGTCTTGTTGCTGTCACATTTGATCTATCTTTCTACAATGTCTACCAGGGCTAGGTTCCTGGGTGTGGACCTGGTGCAGTGTGGGACCTGGTCTTAGTCCTCATTCGAATCTCAGTGCTCAGCACGTAGCAGGCTTTCAGTAGAGGTCACTTAATCCTGTGGCTCCAGCCACAGCAGTGTAGTTCCACGGGCTGGCCTCATGGACAGCAGTGAAGGAAGAGGTTGATGTTGCTCACACTGTTCCCTTTGGGCACTCTGTCAGCTCCTTCTTCCTCGCCTCTTGACAGCATCTGGGGCAGATGGTGTGGCTTTCCTGTCACTTCCGGCTGCTAAGGCATCCAGGCCAGTCTAACCAAAACTGCCTTCCTGCCTCTCACCTACAGCTGCTCTCCTTCCAGCAGTTCTGGCCAGAGCAGGGACCTGAGTGGTGGGCTCCAGCCATTTCCTCCGGGCTCCACTCCCTACTCCCTCCCTGCCTGTGCTCCCCTCCACCATGCTTCATTCTCCTCGCTTAGGGACAGGAAAGCAAGATGATGGGGGCGTGAGATAGATAAGGAAAGGCCAAATTATTCTTCCTGGACCTGGGTCCTTGTGGTTCCCCCGCTTTGAGAGGTCTTCTGTGGTAGTGGACGTCCAGATGCTCTCCACTCAGAATGCTCCTGTGGGGCCTTCAAGGGCCCCTCCAGGGACCTCTGCACTGCATCTTCCCCTGACATGGGTGACACGCTGACTGATTTCCTCCACCTCGCCTCGGCTCTGCCTCCGGGGTGTACACCTCCAGCCTCACTCTGCTGCCTTGCCTTGCTCTGTCTCACTTAGGGACATGGGCCCAATAGGCAGTAACTCTATCCTGTTCCCTTCCAAAGCCTCTGCTTGGCCCCAGGAATATATTCAAGTGCAGACTGCTCAAAAAACTGCTCTCTCTCTCCCCAGTCACAGGTACTCAAGCCAGCCTTCCACCATGAGACTTCTCTGGCTAAGAAGTAGCCACCAGTTTCTGTTCCAGATACACTCTCAGTGGCTAGGGACACCATCATATTCTCTAGAGCTCCAGCTACTGTTACTCTAGTGGCAACTTGACGGAGTCCTGAGAATGTCTGCAAGTTGGGGAGCATCCCTCCAGAAAATATTATGCCAGTCTCCTTTCTTAAAGACAACTGTATCCTCTATGAGCACTTCTCTACCTGACTTCAGGTAGGTAGGGATGCAAACAAGAATATCACTCCAACACATCATCACTCGTAAGGAATGGGGACCAACTCATCAGCATGAACTCAGTTGTCAACACCCTAGCTGGCCGCACTGGGGAATCTGCACAGGAACCCATTCCCAGCCCTGTTCAAGTCCTAGGGGAGTGGAAATGCCACAGCCCTCTCTGCAAGCCCACACCCTCAGCCTCTCTGATCCCCTTAGGGAATCCCTGGTTTCTCTTCCACTGCCTGCCTGCGGTGATGGTAACTGGACTAGATCAGCTCTCCAACAAGACATCACTTCCTTTTTCATAGCCATGCAAGCTTCTACTGTAAGTATATGCCAATTGTACGTTTCCAAATAGGAAGAGGCATGCTCAGGAGACAATGAGCTCTGTATCATTGGTGGTGACCAAACTTGATATAAGAGATGTTGTAGATATCACCCTGGGTAAAAGGTGGGATGAAAGTGAGACTATTCATTATTCTGTTAATTACTTGAATATCTTTATTTTTAATTCACGTGATTTGGTTTATTTTTGTGCTTTACAGTTTTCTGCAATATTAGTAGATAAACAATGGTGGGCGGGGGGGAGACAATAAACAGCCAGTCCCAAAACTTGGATCCTGAAGCTATCCTGGAAAGGAATATTTGCCACACTCCTTCAGTCTGCCCACATTGGCACCAAAAGATTTCTGGAAGGCGGCTACTGGTATCTTCCATCCACCTGCCACACTGGAGAGAAGCAGCCTCTCCGCAAAGCTATTTTCAATCCAATCTTGCATTATGTGGTGCCCTTTCCCATAGCTCTTCATGTAGGGGTGCAGCTTCCAATATGGCAGTGCATGTGGAATCCAGGCCAGCAGCTGAATTGCATCTTAAACACATCTCGCTCGCCAATTCATCCCCTTGATAGCAGTATTACCAGGACTCATACTGCCTGACTCTTTACAGAAAAATGTGTACTGACCCTCAGTCCAGTTTTGCAGTTTTGATTTTTACAACTGACACTGGCAACAAAAGCTTCTACTTTTCTTGAAGGTGCCATTACTTGCAATGGCAAAAACCACAATTACTATTTCACCAACCCGACATATATCCTGTGTACCCAATTTTTTTTTTTTTTTGAGACAGAGTCTCACTCTGTCACCCAGGCTGGAGTGCAGTGGCACCATCATAGTTCACTACAGCCTCAAACTCCCAGGCTCAAGTGATCTCAGCCTCCTGAGTAGCTGGGACTATTGGTGTGTGCCACCATGCCCAGCTAATTTTTGCATTTTTTGTAGAAACGAGGTTTTGCCATGTTGTCCATGTTGCCCAGGCTGGTCTCGAACTCCTGGGCTCAAGTGATCTGCCTGCCTCGGCCTCCCAAAGTTTTGGGATTGGAGGCGTGAGCCACTGCACCCAGCCCCAGTGCCCAACTGTAAGTCAAACAACCTTTCAAATAAACCGGATCAGATATTCATAGACTCCTACAATGCTCCAGATTCTGAAGGAAGATATTTTAAAGGTAAACTCCCAAAAATCAATCTGAAATGTTATATACTTAAATTAAAATTTCCTAAGAATGGAAACACTTAATTTAACTTAGTCATGTACTAGGTGAAATGTGATCATTTAAAGGAACTAATAGTGCCATGAACACAGCAATGTATAAAACTTGCTTACAAGAAGGGCTAGAAGAAAATACAAAGAGAATATTTAAGAGGTTACCATTGTGAGATAACCAGTGGCTTTTCTTCTTATTTTTTTTTTCCTGTTCAACTTTTTGTAATGTAATCACCTTATTTTTATTGAAAAAAGTTATTATAAATAGTTGTGAAAGAATGCTGCAGTTTAATGGCATGAAATACAATATATATAATTTTAAGATCTATAAAACAGGAGTAGAACTTAGGGCAAAGTTTTGTTTTATTATATACCTTCTTTTCATTTTTTGAATCACGTTAATATATTATTTTAAAACATATATTTAAAATATACATGTGTGTATACACAAATGTATATGTGTTCATTTTGCTCCCTCAAATTCCACTCTTCTGTTTCATTCTTTATATTCATATCCCATGCATCAGATATTGTGGATGTGAGGGAGACCAATTAATAGTAATCATCTATACTGGGCCTTGAATTATTATAGAATTAAGACAAAAAGATTGTACAGATGGGAGACCAAAATAAAAGGTTAGGTTGGAGGATATGACTTTAATCAGCAGGCAGAATTTCTCCCTAATTTAAAAAAAATCCTGAAATGAAATATATTCACCTCCATTGTCTCAAGTAGAGCATAAGTGAGGCAGGTATTGTCCTGTACTGGAGTAATACACAAGATATTTAACCCTTCATATAAAATGGCACCTACTAAATGCTCCTCAGCTGCAAACAGCAAGTACAACCTTAGGGTGTATGCACCTGTGCATGCAGGGCCTGGTTCTGTACTTAGCTAGAGAGTTGCATGAGAGACGTCTGCTATCATTTGGGGATGGCTACCTCACAAGGAGAAAGGAACCCATGCCCAGGTTCTCCTTCCAGCTCACCAATCACATAAGTCATTTTACCTCTCAAGGGAGGAGTGAAGAAGGGAATAGAGAAAGACCAGGAATGTTACCCTCATCACAAATAGAGAAAGAAAGAAACATCATAGAGAAGATTCCTCCAGAAGAACAGACAAAAAATATAAAACTATTAAAAGTCATATTAAGTGCTTTTAAGAAAATAAACAAGGTACTATGATAAATACCAAGAGTGGAAAGAACTTATACACACTTAGGTTATTTTCAAAATAAGAGTAAAATTCTTTGGTATCTATCTGCAAGAAAATTATATATATATATATATATATATACACACACACACACAATAGAAATGTAGAAAGCTTAGGATATATAGCTGCAATTTTGAGGGATATTTATCTTCATATTATCTATTAAACAAAGAGCATTGTTGGAACATGATATAAACTGTAAGATGAGTTAGATTATAAAAGTTATTTTTAAGTTTAATAAAAGTGTGAATCCCTTTGAAAAATTAGCTTAATAAATTATTTTCAAAATCAAGGTTTGAAATAATGCACTATCTCAAATAATACTGTAAATAATCAGTTAAGATTTCTCATTATTTGCTTACTCTGTTGCTTCTCTGTTGGGAACTTTTCTCATGGAGAAAGCTACCATCGCTTTGAAGAGGTATTCTTCATTGGTATCCCAGGCATACTGAAAAAGAAGGAAAACAAAGTGTATGGGGGAAAATATGGTCCATTGGTTCTACTTGTACCCACAGTGGCTCTCCCTCTCTCTCTCTCTCCACACACACACACACACACACGCACACACACACACGTTTCTCATATATTAGATACTGGAGACCACGATAAATTATATCCCCATGTTTGGGGTAGGGTTTCTTGGACATTCTAAGTTTGGTGTGTCTCCTGTTGCACTATCTTCCTAAGAACCTGCAGCATCAGTACCCAGCCAACAAATAGGGCATTTGGACATTTCATCCTGGCCATATATAGTCCATTTTCATTTCCTTCCTCCCTTTCTCTTTTCCCTCATAAACTCCCTCCCAGTTGCCTTTATTAACATCAGTACAATTTTTAAAAAATTTTCTTAGCCAGAAACTTTAGTGTGTGTGCGTGCATATTATGGGCTGAATTTTTGTCCTCACCAGAAAAATTTCATGTTGAAGTCCTAACTTGCAATACCTCAGAATTTAACTCTATTTGGAGACAGGGTCTTTGCAGTGATGATTAAGTCAAAATGAAGTTGTTGGAGTGGGCCCTAATCCACTATGATTGGTGTCCTTAGAAGAGGAAATCTGGACACAGAGGGAAGATGATATGAAGACACAGGGAGAAGACAGCCATCTACATACAGGCCAAAGAGAGAGGCCTGGAACAGATCCTTCCTTCACAGCCCTCAGAAGGAACCAACCCTATGACATCTTGACTTCCAGAACTGAGAGAAAATAAATTTCCGTTGTGTAAGGCACCCAGTCTGTGTTACTCTGTTATGGCAACCCTAGCAAATTAATATAGTATATTTGACTCACTCTGCTCCTTAATGCAGTAAATGCAAAAAGCCTGAGGCAAAAAGAAACTGAGCTGTTTAAGGACCACCAAGGAGGGTAGCAACTAAAGAGAAGCAGGAAGGGAGAAAGTAGCAAAAGCTGAGCGGAAGAAGTTGGTGAGGGTGGGGGGTTGGTATATCACAAGGACATTGTCAGGATTGGGGTTTCACTCTGGGATGGGGAAACATATTTTACCGTTACTGCCTTTCTCCTCTTTGGTGGCAGGGAGGATAGTAAGTAAAAATAAATGACTCCTAAATAACAACAACAAAAAATGTATTACTCAGTTACCTTCTCTGGGTAAGGTTTATGACTGTGCTGTACTTTTTCCTTTCTCCTAAATATTTTCATAGCATATTCTTTTTTTGGAAGGGAGGAGGGATGGGGTCTTGCTGTGCTGTCCAGGCTGGTCTCAAATGTGTGGCCTTAAGTGATCCTCCTGCCTTGGCCTCTGTAACATAGAACCTTAAACTTTCTTCAGTTGCTTCTTCCACTTCACCATTTTCTCCTTCAGTCCTACCTTATGTAACTCTGCTGTAAGATGTTACCATAAAGAACAGAAAAGGGGGACAGGAGTGGTGGCTCAAGCCTGTAACACTTTGGGAGGCCAAGATGGGTGGATCACTTGAGCCCAGGAGCTCAAGACTAGCCTGGGCAACATAGTGAAACCCCATCTCTACCAAAAAAAAAAAAAAAATCAGCCAGGCGTGGTGGCATGCACCTGTAGTCCCAGCTACCCAGGAGGCTAAGGCAGGAAGATTGCTTGAACCTGGGAAGTGGAGGTTGCCGTGAGCCAAGATCATGCCACTGCACTCCAGCCTGGATGACAGAGTGAGACCCTGTCTCCAACAACAACAACAACAACAACAACAACAACAACAACAAAAGAATGGAAATGGAAAAATCACTTTTCTCATATGCAAATGTTAAATACTGCATTTTAATGTCAACTTTAGATCTTATTTGAAGTGCTCCTTCAATGTTTTGATGTGAACTTTTCATTTGATATTATACTATGAAAGTTTAAAAGTAACTGATTGGTGGCATAGCTCTTTGTTTTTGATAATGCATTTTTTTCCAAAATTAATTTTATTCAGAATAAGAGTAGCTATGATCTAACCTAATAATAAATGAATAAAACATGAAGAAGAAATGGGTCTGATTAAAAATGGTGCAGAAACACTATTAAGACAGGGAAGGCTTATTAACAGAATGCAGACACAAGGAATAAGCCTGCTCAAGAACAAATGAGAATAATAAGCTCAGTGCAGAAAATGAAAATAAAGATGTTAGCCAGCTCTCCCTGGGACATGAATTTCAGTTGCTTTTCAGATCTTGGGGACAACTTGACCTGATCTCCTGTCCTTCCATTTGTTCATCTCAAAAACAAGAGCATAAGCTGGCTGGGTAGGAGTCCAATTTTGGTCACAGAACAAAGGTCCAAGCTACTTAGATCAGAACAGAACTGATGCAGTTCTAGATTGGGTTGGGTATCCTGCCAGTGGAACCAACTTATCTTGGGCAAGTGTGAAAAGGATTGAAAGCTTGTGCATTGGACGTAGTGTATTTCTCCCAGGGCATTCAAACACTTCAAAGAGAGAGCCTCCGCTTATAAAAGGAATTGAGCACATATATTAATGAGAAAATGTACAACTTAAGAGAGGATAAGGTAAGAGTTACTAAAGCTAAACATTTGTATACTTTATGATCCATTAATCTACTCCAGGGTAAATACCCCCAAAAAAGAAGGCATATGAAAAATACACATATAAGAATGTCCATAGCAGCTTAACTACCTGTTGTGCGTATACTTGACACATAATAGGTGCTCAATGTGAAATTGAACACATCTTTATATGCCACGTGTGGCTTCACAGACCAAATGGTACAAATTAATTGCATATATTTATCTATCAGTTTAGATTCCTTGGTTCCTCATTTCAATAACATGTGCCAGGACCTTAAATGCCCCAGCTCACCTTGCTTTTTGCACACATCTAAGAACACTCAAACCATGGCTAACCCCACATTTTAGGTAAGTAACTGGTATAACTAGAGACAATTACAGAACAGGGTTAGTTGGTTTAACTCTAAATTCATGATGACCTACCCCCAAATTGCCTGGGAATCCCTAAGGTTTCACCATCAGTTCTCTTTCTCATGGGTCACATAACTATTTCAAACCTCTCTCTAGAGAGAGAACTGATGGTCAATGCTTTTTTTTTTTAACCATTTTTCCCAATGGTTTCCCTCAAACCTCACTCTCACTAAATGGTTTTGCTTCATAATTTATAGATACATCTCATCAATTTCAACTCTCCCAACCTCCTGACATCAAGATACAACACTTCCTCCATAGACACGTCTTAGCCGCCTCCTCTCCTGAAGTGCCAGACAGAACTATGCCTATCAGAGGCCATTTCCGTCACTTATATTAGGAATGCTTCTCCTCTGCCCTTCTCAGATCTAAACAATATCAGTTCCCCTCCATTCTGTGTATTTAGCTCTGACCGGAGTCTGTTCATTGTCTTTTAACCAAGCTCAAGACTTTCTCATTAAAGCCATAGCAAAGAGCTGTTGTTTTGCAACAGCAAAAACAAATCATTTTACTCAGTCTTCCTTTCTTCTACCTACTGCTATCTCTTTCCTGCCCTTCACAGCCAAAATTCTCCCAGGAGTTGTCCACACATCTGTTTCAACATGTTCACCACTCATTTATTTTTTAACTCCCCACTATCTGTCTTCCAGCTCCTCCACCCCACGAAAAGAGCTCTTTCTAAAATCACCATTGACCTCCATATTGTCCAACACAATGAACATTTTTCAGTCGCCTTCTGGCTTGGCCTCTCAACGGCATTTGATGCTCTTGAACCCTCCCTACATCTCAAAATGAAACTCCCTAACACAGCCCACATATTCCTTGGCCTGCCTGCTCCTCTCTCTTTAAGCTCATCACCTGCCATGTTCCTCCTCACTGCCCCAATTCCAGATATTTCTGCCCTCTTTCTAATCTTTACTCTCACCAAGATCCTTCCTGTGATAAGCCTTTGCACATGCTGTTCCCTCTGCCTTTCCTTCTTTCATTTCCTGTAACACTTCAACTCATGCTTCAGACATCACAGTAAGTGCCAGGTATTGTGGGCCTTGACAAAGCCGAAGTGCCCTTGTACTTCTTCCCGTAATACTTGTCAAGATTGCACATTTGCATTTGGTTTACTGAATATTTAATAGATGACCAATTCTACTACTACTATAAGCTCCACAAGGGTAAGGACAAGCCTTAATCACCATTACATCCCAGCATTCAGCATCGTACCTGCTATTAGAGGATACTGGGATGGCCAACCCTGCACACTAGTAGAGACAGTGTATTCTGCACTCAGACTGCCTGGGCTCAAATCTTACTTCTGCCACTTGCTGACTTGAAATATTGAGCATGTTACTTAATTTCTTTGAACCTCAGTTTTCTCATCCATTCAGTGGGAATACTAATACCTGTACTACTATCTTCCTCAAAGCATTGTTGTGAGGGCTAAATGATTTGATAGGAGTAAGGTGCTTAGAAGAGCCCCAGCTAGAAAGTAAGATAAGTTCTCAATAAATGCTGGCTGTTATAACAATCATTACTCATTGAGTCAATAATAAAATACCAAATTGATGAACTGGCCTGCAAACAGAATACCTCTAAGTTTCTTTAGCACTCTTTTTTCTGTTTCTATGCCTAAGGCATCTTAACGTCACCTTCTATTGGGGAAAAAATTTTGCAGACCACACTAGGAAACTGAAACTAGAATTAGACAATACTGTCTTTTTAATTCAATGATCTTTACCATTCCTATAGCCACATGGGCCCTATGACTATTTTTTAAACTTCTATTTCATAAGCATATATTTCATATGTTACTTTGATAATTGAGAATAATTGAAGAAACTTCAGGTTCAAATTGGAAATTTTTTGTGCTATGAAAGACTTTATGTGGGTAGAACTATCCCTTATTTTCAATGGTAGAAAATCGAGGCTAACAAAATTCAAATGACCACAACGGTGAGGAGTAGACCCAGTCCAGACCTGAACGACTGACTCAGGCCACTTGGCTTCACTATCCCGAGTTGAGATGCTGGTTTTTTAAGTTGTTTTGTGTGGCACAAAACTTCACATGTTGCCTAGCATACACTACTGATTAAATACTTTAGGCAAACCTACTTTATTAAAAATTCATATTATTCTATAATCTATCTTTAAGAAATCAGATTTGAGGTCTTTAGAAATAATTTATTCAAGATTAAGGTAACTATGCAGACAGGCCCATTATTAGAGAAAGCACAGTGTTATTAGCAAACAAAATTTAAAAAGAACACTCAGGTGCTCCACTTACTGCTTTATCTCCCAGAGCTGTTCTGATACTAAGTCTCACTTTAAAAGCATTTTCTGCACCTGCCAGAAAAGAAAAAAGAAAGAGCAGTATATGATGATTAGGATCTGCCAAAACAGAGTCTGAAAAATCCTAATATGTAATGCAACTCAAACTAATGGAACAAAGAACTACAATTAAACAGCCCCAAATACTCCTGGAAGTTTAACCTAAATCATCTTAGATGGTTTAATATTTTCTTTCAAACTCATTAAACACTCACTGCCCCAACTTTCAAGCCACAACATGTCTGCAGATTTAGAAAAATAAAGAGTTCTTTCAGTCGATGACTTGTCAAACATGTAGAAAACTGTTCATCTATTTTTAAATTTCAAGGCTACATACCTGGTTGACAGAGTTCAGCATGAATGGCAGTCACCAGAAAAAAGAGCAGCCACAACATTCTTTCAGGGTGGAAAACACAAGGCAAAGTGAGAAAAAAAAAATCCACGCTGCACTTAAATCTGCCTTAGCCATTCTGTGACCCGGATTAGAATATCAGAGAAACAAGCGAGCCACCACCAAAAAGGTTTAATGATTAACACCCATCATTTGGGTTAATACTTCCATAAAAACAGCCCATCTCCTGTCAGTTATTTATGAAAACCTGTTTGGAAAACAGATTAGTTGTTTTCCCTACTCTGACTCTACCTCAAAAGAATGTCTTCTTTGCTGACTCAAAGTTGGAATCCTCCCCGACCCCTTCTGCGATTCTCTGGTTACGTGTATGATGGGAAGAATTGAGTCCTGTCTAGAGGTTTCCTTGACATGCACTTCCCACCTTTTCGAGGCTGAGATACCTGGTTCTTAGATAGGCTATCTTCATTCAGGAAACAAACGTGACTCCCTTCTCTCTGGTAAACAAAGGGTGCCCTCCGTGAAGGGCCTCACCTGACTCTCACCACAGCGGGTGAACATCCCAGGAGAGCTTCGGAGCTTCCTCTTACCTACTTAAGGTTAGAGGGTGGGAGGAGAGAGAGGATCGAAAAACTACCTATCGAATACTATGCTTATTATCTGGGTGACAAAATAATCTGTACACCAAACTCCAGTGACACACAATTTACCTATACAACAAAACTGCACAGGTGCCTGCACATTCACACATAGGGAATGATTGTGTTCAGCCCTGAGGTCTGGCACTTGAATTAAATCAAAGTTAATGATACAGAGCAGCACTGTCCAAGGGACATTCTGTGGCGATGGGAATGTTCTGTGTCTGTACTATCCAATATGGCAGCTACTACAGGTAGGAGGCCATTGAGCACTGGAAATGGAGCTAGTGTAGCTGAGAAATGGAATTTTTGTTTAATTTAATTTAAGTAGGCACATGTGGCTACTGACTACATTGGTCAGTACAGCAATACAACAGTAATTAAAAGTTACCCACTCTGAAGTACCTTCACTGGGTTATTTCTCTGATCCTCAGACACTTCACAATTGTTATCATCATCTCATACGGGAGGGAACTGAGGCTCCAGCGTTGAAGTCATTGGCAGCAATGGGATGAGTGGGATGGGTGTCACTTTACCAGCTAGGTTGACTTACACTTGAACCCTGTCTCCACCACACCCAACTGCTCTGTGTCTCTGGTCACCATTGGTCAAAATTGGAATTGATCAAATACCACAGTCTCACTGATAAGTGGGAGCTAAACATTGAGTACACATGGACACAAAGAAGGGAACAACAGACACAGGTACCTACTTGAGGATAGTGGGTGGGAGGAGGGAGAGGATCGAAAAACTACCTATCGAATACTATGCTTATTATCTGGGTGACAAAATAATCTGTACACCAAACTCCAGTGACATACAATTTACTTATATAACAAACCTGCACATCCACCCCTAAACCTAAAATAAAAGTTTTAAAAAACCCTGAAGTTGCAACAAAGCCTCAGAGATGCTCTGAGAATTAAGATAATGCGTGTAAAAGAATCTTTCCCCGGTGGGCATTCCACAGATGCCAATCAACGCCCCGCCCAGAGGTTGATGTCAGGACTTTCCTCTCTACCATGCTGCCTCTTCATAAATTCAGTCCCCAAATTCCACCCCATTCCTCAAAAGTCATGAATGGCAGAATTAGATTGGGTGACTCTGGTGTTAAATAGAAACATTGGATTTTCAAAGCAACAACGAGGAAAATATCAACAATGAGACTTCTGCAGCACTTTGAGAAACACATCATTTCTCCCTCCTTGCGAGGGTGGTATTTTATTGTAAAGGACCCACATCCATCAGCTAAATCCAACTGAGAAAGCTTTTTCTCATCTCCTTCACCTTGGTTGCAAGGACACGGAGTCAGGAAAAGCTGTACTAAAAGGAGAGGGAGCCACAACTTAGTCCAGCCATCCTAGCAATGTCACTGTATTAGGTGCAGTGGAAATTTCCAGAAGGAAGAGCTCACCTAGCTAACATCTGAAAAAAATAAAGCCAGACTAGATGAAGTCATCTTGGGAAATGTTAAACTAGATAAAGTCATCATGGGAAGGAAAAGTCAATACACATAGAGATTGTAACAAAGCATTTTACTTACATCAAGGAAGAAAGCTATGCTAAGAACATAGAAATCTGCTTCAGCGGCTGGGCACAGTGCCTCACACCTGTAATCCCAGCACTTTCGGAGGCCGAGGCAGGTGGATCATGAGGTCAGGAGTTCAAGACCAGCCTGGCCAAGATGGTGAAACCCCATCTCTACTAAAAGTACAAATAATTAGCCGGGCGTGGTGGCAGGTGCCTGTAGTCCCAGCTACTCGGGAGGCTGAGGCAGGAGAATTGCTTGAACCCGGGAGGCGGAGCTTGCAGTGAGCCGAGATCGTGCCACTGCACTCCAGCCGGGGCAACAGAGCGAGACTCCATCTCAAAAATAAATAAATAAATAAATAAATAAATAAATAAGAAATCTGCTTCAGCTTTCCTTTAGCCTTACACTTCATAAAAGTATCAAGTGGCTTTCTTTGGCTTTTACTTAGTCATTGATGTAACTCGGGTTGAAGACAATAGAACACTGAGTCTTAGTGTAAGTCATTCATTTGAGAAGACAATCTCTTTTGAATGATGGTTTCTCAATGTTTGTTGTATCATCTTTTCAAAAAGAGCAATAGAAATTCTTTTTAGAAAATACAAAGCAGCACAAGGAGAAAAGTAAAAATCACCTGTAATTCCATCAGCGTCAACGAATGACCAATTGTCAATGTTTTCTAAATATTTGGAACATATCTTTCTGCCTTGTGCTTTCTTTTTTGTGTAAATACATGTACATTTCTTCTTAAAAACAAAACTGGGGTCATGCTATTATGCAGCTTTGTCATCTTTGTTGAACTTAACTGTGTTTTGTTGTTGTTTGTTGTTTTTTTTTAATAGAGACAGGATCTTGCTCTGATGCCCAGGCTGGAGTGCAGTGGCACCATCTTAGCTCAGTGCAGCCTCAACCTCCTGGGCTCAAGCAACCCTCCTGCCTCAGCTCCCAGAGTAGAAACACAGAATTCTTCTTCAGGTTCCTTTAGTCTTGCATTTCTTAAAAGTGACAAATTTCTTCATAAGCTTTTAGTCATCTATGTAACTAGAATTGAAGACAGTAAAATATTGAGTTTCAGTCAGTGTAAGCCATTCATCTGAAAAGGGAAGACAATCTCTTATTTCATTATGATTTCTCAATATTTGTGTTCTCATTTTTAAAATGATTGAAAAAAGCAATAGAAATTCTGTATAGACAATATAGAGAAGCAAAAAAAAGTAGAAAACATCCATAATACTACCAGAATGGATGACCAATGCTAATATATTTTCATAGTTAGAATGCGCCTTCCTTAGCCTTGGATCTCTTTATATGTTCTTGTAGGATGTTGTTTTTTCTCACTGCAGTGGCACTATCAGAACAGAGTAATACAATGATGGGAATAAGACGCACCCTTGTCTTCTTCTTTACTCTAATAGGAATGCCACTACTGCACGGAATCTGGCAAGTGGCTTTAAAAATGATGTGTCATGTGATACGAGCATTATATTTGTAATTACAAAAAATTATTTTCCTCAGTAATTGGTGTTGCATTTTATCAACTGCTTTTCACTATTAAAATTTTTACCATTTGGTGTATTACATTAATACATTTTTCACATTGATTCAATTCTTAGATAAAACATTTTTTTAATTTATTTTTAGTATGCTGCTGGAATCAATTCCTGGTTTTTCCCCTATGATTTTTAAACCTATTTTCTTAAAAGAATATCAGGTAGGTTCCTTTTCAAGTGCTGATTCTTGAAGCGTTTTTTTTCCTAGCCTTTACCATCTTGAAAATGATACAGAAAGATTTCTAACATTGTCTATGTTTAGAAATACATATAATGTACCAGAAATAAAGAGTTCACAGATGAAGAATCTGGACCATGTGCATTTTAGAGGAAGAGTTCTTCAAAATTTTTCATTCCTTACATTATCATTTATTTCAGGTTTTATACCTCTTTCTGAATCCATTTTGGCTGTTTACAATTTCCAAGAAAATATTCTGTTAAGATTTTCTAGTATCCTCATGGACTTTATAGAGTATTTCCCATAAAATATCTACTTTTGTTGTTATGTTCTCTTTATATTTTCTAATACGTGTATTAATTTTCTCATTTTGATTATATTATCTTTGTTGTTTAATCAAAGAAGAAGATCTTGGACATAATTTGCAATTCTTTCTGTTTTTTGATTCATAAATCTTATTTATATTGGTTACATACTGTAACAAATTCATTGTTAAATAGTTTGATGGAGATCTCAGTAAAATAAATGGAAAACAGAACTAGATACTAGGGTTCTTGCCTCTCAGCATATTATATTTTCCTATACTTTTCAAAGTCTTGCACAAATTTAGTGCTTGTCTTGATGTACAAGTTTTAAGTAGTAAGTTTCCAGAGCCTTCATATCTGTATAAATTGCTTCATAAAATGCTCATTTCAGCAATTTCACATATGGGAGCTTCATAACTTATTAGTAACCATGGTAATGATGACAAATAAAGCAGTTCAATCATTCTGAATATGTTACTATTTACTTCCAAACGTTCAGAGTTTAGAGCATGTAGATTTAAAAGTTCAGATTACTGTTGCCATGAGCCACACAAAAGGGCACTGAGTCTCCTGAGATGGGAAAACGAAATTGATTTCTCCGTGTTTTTTATACTCCACAACACTCTTGAAAAGCACTTTCTGGGCACATAACTATGGATCTACTGCTCTGGGGTAAACAGAATATGAGATCACATGAAAAGAAAACACATGTGTCGTTCTTTTGATTCATGCAAGATCCCTTAAGTTCACTAGATTCGTATAAATACGTGGGCGTATGTAGGCTCCATTCACCTCCAATAAAGCAAGAGGTGGAGATGACCAATGTTTCTTTTAAAATTGACCCTGGTTATTTTGTTTCATTATCAAAAACAGAAATTTAGTAAATATATAGCTCCTAAAATTAGTAAACTGTAAAACCATCTCAAATGTGACATTATTCTGTATATTTTTATTGGATTTTCAGAAATGTTATCTGGCTGTGACACATTAAAAGAAATCAATTAAAACTTTTAATAATTGAACATAGAAACTTTGTATAAGATTTTAAAACTTCACACTTTTTGCTGCTGGGCATGGTGGCTCATGCCTGTAATCCCAGCACTTTGGGAGGGCGAGGCAAGCAGATTGCTTGAGTCCAAGAGTTCAAGACAGGCCTGGACAACATGGCGAAACCCCCTCTCTACAAAAAGTACAAAAATTAGCCAGGCTTGGTGGCATGCACCTGTGGTCCCAGCAACTTGGAAGGCTGAGGCAGGAGGATCACCTGAGCCCAGGGAGGTTGAGGCTGCAGTGAGCCATGATTGTGCCACCACACTCCAGTCTGTGTGACAGAGCGAGACTCTGTCTCAAAAAATAAAAAAAACAAAAACCAAAAACAAAACACACACACACACACACACACACACACACACACACACACACAAACCCCTTTGGAAGTTTTAATATCTTAATTAAATGGCTCTACTCAATGATTTCCTAAATGTTGTAGAATTTTAATAAATGACATCCTTCCTTGTTTAAATTGTAATGAAATGGATATACTATATATAATAAACAATATCAAGATGTTTGTATTATTAATAATTTATACAATGTTTTCAGTATAATTAGGCAACAAAAATAATTTTATTCTCTTTAAATTGTCAGTGTTAAGATACATGGAGAGACAAAGTATTTTTGTCTATTGTGTGTAAGTTCTATTTTAACTCAGTGGTTTTCAATTGGGGGTGATTTTGTGCTCCAGAGACACTTGGCAACGTCTGGTGACATTTTTAGTCATCATGAATGGCAGATGAGAGGATTCTACTGGCATCTAGTGGGTAGAGGCCAGGGATGCTGCAAAACACCCCCACAAACTTTAAAAATGTCATTTAGGTAACTCTTTTCTTCTTGTAGTTGAGTTAATGGAAATAACCCACACAAGGAAGAACAGAAGAAAAAAGGGAGACAAGTGTGTGTGTGTGTGTGTGTGTGTGTGTGTGTGTGTGTGTGTGTGTGTGTGTGTGTGTGGTTTCTCTAAGGCTAAGAATGTAAAAATATATACATTGCAATGCATTTCATGGTACTTAATTTCCAGTCACAAGCTTATTAGAACTTCAGTTTATGATTCAAATTAGTCAACTCAGTTTTCTTAAACTATCATATTCATGGGCTACGAGAAATGCAAAAATGAACCAAATATAGTCTCTGCCCTTCAGGAACTTACAATTTTGTAGGACACAAAAGTAAATCACGATGGCAATAGATGCACATACAATTGTGAACAAAATGCTATAGGAACACTGGAGAAAAAGAGGATAAAAAGTTACTGGATTTGACAAGTCAATTATAAAACTGTTAACAAAAGAAAAATAGAAGAAAGGTTTCTCAATGATAATCAAGATAGACCTGGAACAATGGCAAGATGTTTAAAGATAAAACATGAAAGCCCACAGGATACAAGTTAAGGAAATCTGAAAACAAACACAAAGGACAGATACAGGATATGGCCAACAGCAGGGACTTGCTGGTAGAGTGGTTCAGAGGAAGATGGGGGAGAGAGCATCAGTGTAGATGCATCTGAAAAGCCAAGTTGGGTTCTGATCTTAGAGGTCAGAGAGTCTGGATTCTCCAACAATGGTCCTGAGAGGCTAATGAAGATTTCAATGTGGGAATGGGTTCATTGTAAATGACACAGAGAAGGACAATGGGAGATGGGAAGGACATTCCCTGACAGTGAGTTTCCAATGTGCCCTTTATTTACTAATCACAGGCTGTTGGACTGGCAGCCCACTACGTGCCCATGACTACAAAAAACAGGAAATTATTTTTCATTGGCCATCTTAATAAAAAGATAAATGAGCTTATTTTAATAATAATTTTAGAATATAGAACAGATGATGTTACAATCTTTTGGTATGCTTAATTTTATGCGCGCACACACACACACACACACACACACACACACACACACACAATTTCCAGTATCCTTGGTAAGCAAGAAACTCTATAATGTGGAATATTTTTGTCTCCATCACATATATCCCCTTTTTAAGATGAGAAATCATATTAAGCAAGGATATTTGAAAAGCTCATCAAATTTTGTAGGTTAATCAGTAGCCATAATCATTATGAACTTTGTCTTATTCTTCACAAGTTAACATTTTTCTACTTCAGAGAAAGTTAATCACTACCGTTTGGAAATAAAAATTAATTCAGATCAACTGAGTGAGTGTAATTCTGCCAACTTTATGCTCCTAAAGTAGCAATTTAAAGGACAGTTTCTTAAATGGGAAAAAAAAAGTATGTGTGTCTGTGTGTTTCATCTTGTGCATGGAGACCAATGCTTTATAATGGGTCTCATGTAGTTAAAGCAAGACATTTCTTTTACAGGTTTAGCTGGTTCCACTGTTGCTCAGGTGTAAGAGTTTTCTCATGATTTGGCAAGTCAATTTTCTCTTTTTACTAGGCTAACAGTATTGCAGCCATGGTCTATGAAATAGTATTTTCCATCCTTAATCATCAATTTGCCCACCAGTTGGAGGTCACCTAGTCACATTTAGCCCTGACAACAGGTACTTCTTTTGCCAACCTCTATAAAGGGTGTGGGGGCGGGGGCGGGATCAGACCACATAACTTTTAGGTTATATGCTCTCATTAATATTAAAGACATATGAATTAATCAATATCTCAGAATTTCTGATCCTACGTTTCGGCCAGTGATGACCCTGAACCCTCTACTGTCTGAAATTCATCAAAAGTCTTATGAGAAATGTTTTTGTGGACTGCCTAAAAGATGTGCACAAGAGATCCCTATTACTACAAATCAGAGATGACAGGTTGTTTGCAGCCATTTGCTCATCCCACACCCATGACAAACATTTTTTATCTATTTCAGAACTTTTTCCTTCTGTGCATGGACTCAGCCACCCCAACTGAGCTATTCAGTCCACTAATATGAATAAATGGGAGTTGACATGTGAGTTGAAACTTATGTGCCATTATGGGGAAAGATTATCTAAATGCTACCCTGAATTAAACCAGACCATTGTGGGGCTGTGTACTCAGTCGAACAGGAAATTTTGGATGGTTCATGAAATTGATTCAGTGCCCTGTGCTTTGTGATTATGCCAACAGTTTCCATTGAGGGAATGTGGGTGTAACAACTTATGACACTTATTTCCCACGTAGCTCACAGCGTCATCATGATGAGGAACTGGGATTTGCCTTGGGGCTAAAAATTATTTTTAAAAAAACAAACAGTGCTTCTCAAAAGCAAACAAAATCCTGATTGATTGGTTTTTATGAACACCGTAAAACTTTAAAATACTTGTTATCTCCTGTTTTCTATGGAAGCTTAGAGTGAGATCTCTTGCCCACCTTCAAAAACTGTTCTGGATCTGAAAGTGTGCATACTTGAGTGTTAATCTTACCATTGGCTACATTATTTATTCTCCCTCCATGAATTTCCCCTCTGGTTCCTTAAACTATAATACTTACTTTATACAGTGTTGCCTATATTTTGGTACGCGGCCTCAAATCATCTGGGAGAAAATAATGCTATAAAAATCAATGCAGTAATTTACACAGGCTGCACTTGATCCCATTTCCGGTGTGTTTAATTTTTCATGCAAAAAATGATTAGCATTGGCAACATTTTATATAAATGAGATAGAGTTCTCAGAGCCAGGGTGAGCTTAATAAAAAATGTTTTGTTGAAAATTGTCTTTTACTCTGTGCTCCTTGTAGCTCAATATTGTGAAAGTTCCCACTGTCTTCAAAGCAGAAATGGATGGAAGGTGGGAAGAGAAAGGAACTTTTACACTTTATATGTGATCATAAAATCTTGATTACTGGCATATGTAGAAGTGTATATAGTAAATCTCACTGCCATGGAGGGAAAAATTGTAATCCTCTATACAAGTGAAAAGGGAATACTTTAAATGAAGATTGAGAATTTATTGTGAAGGGAGCTGTACTAACTGCTATGTAAGTGGCTTCCTATGTTTGCTGCCCCAAAATACTCCTGCTAATTAGAACAACAAACCAGCACTTATCAAGTCCTTTTCCACCTATCAACTCCTTTATTACACCATCTTTAATTTTCTCAATTCTTGTGCCATCTAAACTTGAGTTGGGGAAGCTCAGTCTGTGATCTCTTTGACTCTTGTCTTATTTCTTACTGGAACATAGTACTTGATAAATCTGTCTTGAATGAATGAATGAATGAATGGCTAATGGAAAGTGTCCATCCTCTAAGAATGTCCGTTCAGAAATTTCTGGACAGAAAAGCTGGTAATAACCTCCTCACTTTTTTCCTGTGAACCCAGAATTGCGAATGGAGGGAGTAAAAAAGCGTAATCTTGGAGCAGGGGGCTGCAAACAGAGGTCTGAATGTGGTGGTGTCTAGACAGGACCTAGAGAGCATTAGGGCACCAAGTGCCTAGGAAAAGTCATCAGGAGGACACATCAGGAAGTAGAGGAGTGTGCTTACTCCATGTATCTCCCTAGCATTTAAAGTCCGCTGACTTTAAATGGGCTGGAAGGAACACGGTTCCAGTTTATCTCCATATCGGGTTAAAGGACATGAAACCTAGCTAGAAGGAACATTGCTCCACCACTGGCCCATCAGTTCTGTTTCCTACTCGGTTTTTGCTTAACGAGTTGTGGTGTTTAGAGTTGGGAGATACATGGAGAAAGTCACTTTTTAGGAGAGGATCAGAGATCCGCAGGCTCATTTCACTCTATAAATGCCGCGGACATCTGGTTCCAGGACCTGGACAGTCCTCTCTGGAGACTGGTGGGCCCCTCCAACACCTCCGTGGCTTCCCGGGATCAAGTATCGCACCTAAAAGGAGCGCAGAGAGCGTGCAACTGGCGGGAGAGGCGTGACCAGAGTGGAACCAAAAGTGGGTGGCCTGGGAACCTAACGCGTGACCAGAAGTGAAGGTAGGTAAGTGCGCATGCGCAGGATGCGAGTGGCCAATGAGGACCACAAGGTTGTAGCGTGTGGCCTGAGAGGACGGCCAGGACTGGCCAGAAAAGAGAGGTGTGGAATGCAGTAAGAAAAGTGACGCGGACCAGAGGGGTCTTGCCTGTTCCGAGAGAATGGAAGGGGTTAGCCACGGTGGGAACGGCCACGGCGGGAACGGCCCCGCCAGTGAGGAGCGCAGGCAGCAAGGCTTAGCGGAAGAGGCGTGACCCAGGCGTACCGCAGGGGCGTGGCCCGAACGAGCTGACTTTAGCCCTTACGTGAAAGGCGTGGCGTAGTCGCAAGGGTGTAAAAAAGAAATTCGAATTCGCGGGACGGTCGGCCTCAGGCGGAGTAGGGACGTGAGCCCAAGGGAGGGAGGTGGGGTAGGCAGACTAGTTGTGACTGGATGATCACTGGGCGAAGGGTGGAAAAGTGGCCACAGATGGAAAGGCGGGCTGCGGAGTAGTGACCGGCAAGGGAGGTGGCGCGAAAAGGGAAGTAGGGACATGACGTAGTTGGAACGCAGAGACGTGCCTCGAACGTGGGGGGCGCGGTCCTTACGTGTGGGCGTGCCTTGTTGCTCTGAGGGGCGTAACAAAGATGGTGGAGCAGGCGGAGGGCAGAGGCGTCGGCAAGTTAGCGTGCAGGCGCGTGGCAGCGACAGGAGATGTGTAGCCAGAGCGCAGAGCAGGTGTGGACTCCGGCGCTGGGGAAGCGTGGCCAGGGCGAGATTTCAGCCTGGGTCGGGGACAGAATGGGGACTGATAGGGGCGTAACCTGGAATGACGAAATGACGTTTGCTGCGTAGGGACGTGGCTAAACGTGAGGGGGCGTGGCCAAGATGGCCGCGTGCGGGATCCTCGGGTACCGGGAGCGAACGAGGAGGTTCTGGCTCAGGTAAGTCGTTCGGGTAAGGGCGGGCGGCAGTAAGGAGCGTGGGCAGCAGCAGGGCGTGGTCTGCTTGAGAGGGCAGGAACTGTGCCACTTGCCGCAAACATGACCGCGTGCCGCTATCGGCCCTGGAGCCAGAGAAGCTTTTGGTGCGGCGAGGTTGGCCGGGGCCCTGGCGGGGCTTCTCTGAGGAATGGGAGTGGGAGGCTGGCGGCGGGGAAATAGCCACTTCCCCACTCTAGCCCTCTTTCTCCGCTATGGGGATCACCAGACATCCTTTTAGGATTCTGTCTATTAAAAAGTAGAACAGCTTTCCCAGAGACATTGCGGGATGAGAGGAGTGTCCAGAAACCAAGGAGCAGCAAGCTGGGACTCCCTCGGGTCTGCATTGTTGATATTCCCACCTGACTATGCTAGGGGCTATGGACAGACACAGCCACCCCAGAGTAGATCAAAAGCACAGTTGTGTCCCTTGGACAAATCTGAGTTTTTCTGTTGTGCCTTGCCCCAGAGCCGGAGGAGAGGAACCTCCAAAATGCAGA
Source organism: Homo sapiens (assembly GCF_000001405.40). Classification (NCBI taxonomy): domain Eukaryota; kingdom Metazoa; phylum Chordata; class Mammalia; order Primates; family Hominidae; genus Homo; species Homo sapiens. The sequence continues at coordinate 15,676,315 of NC_000023.11, forward strand.
CATTCTTGGTGGCTGGGATTCTGTGTGATATTCAGCGTTAAATGCTGCTGCTCTGAGGCTGCTGGAAACGCGTTAGTATTAATATCTGTGTACTTCTCTCACATTTACTTTTGCTGGAAAAGCTTGGGAAATGACTTAACGAAGATGCGTAAACCTTAATTTGTTTATATGCTCCTTATTAGCCACTGAATACCACATTGCTTTCTGCTTCCCCTTCTTCTTTACTGATAATCTGACCATTTCCACTATGCACTTTGAAAGTCTTGCTGGAGTATGGAGAATAGTCAGAAATCTCTGGTAAGATGCTGCCCCGCGCATCTCTCAGAGGAGTCACTATTCATAGCCTGCATCAGAGTTCACAATGAACCAAAGTTCACCCCACCTCCCCTGTCTTCAGGGACTTAGTGAAAAGCTGCACTGTTCTTGAATATTTTGGAAATGAAAAACTTTCTGGGCTATTTTAAATCAGTACCTGGGCTGGAATTAACCGAAAGGCGAAACAGCAAGGGCACCATTCTCTGTGCCTATACGTAGCTGCCCTGTGCTTGGAACCAAGCAAAAAGGCTGCCACTGCTCACAGTTGCAATGGAATAAAGGTTGAGTGCCTTGTGATTGCATATGAATATTAAGGAAATCTGATGGAAAGAGGGAAATTCATCATGTCACTGGCCACACTGGGGCAGTTAGTTGCAACACACAAATCAGGTATAATATATTTTGAAACCTTTGGCAACCTCAGATTGGGATCACACTCTCAAGGAAGAAGTGAGTGAGAGGAGGAAGCTAAGCTTTCTTAAGACATAGCAGCGTAATCTCTAATTTAAGTTTCAGGAAATTGCAAAAGGCAGGCTTCCTTTTGAAATCAGGAGTTGAGAAAATGAAGAGTCAATCTGATGCCAATCAAGGAATTTTTCAATATAATTGTAACCTTTTGTTAGTACTTTTCCTGTCTCTTTCGCATAAGTTGCTTAATCAGGCAGAGTTCAAGCTATGAGGCATTTAATAAATACATTACTTATGAATGACATTTAAAGACTTTTAGAATCTTTTCTTTTTTCACACATTTCTAAGGCTGCAAAACAACAGAAAAAGAACATGTTAGTAATATCCAAGGCATACATGAATAATCAGTGACAGCAAAGGATGTGTAGCACAGAAGGCTTAGCTCTCCTAGGCGGTATCCAGCCACACACTGGTAATTGTTGAAATGGAGTATTGGATATATAGATGATTTATTCTCACCATTTTTTTGTACAAGTTTGAAGTTTGCCCTAATAAGGGGAAAACAGATTCTAAATTCAGTTGACCCATGGACTATTGCTGTTTAAACCTGCTAAGTGAATTCAGATAGTGAAGTTATTTAAAAACCAGATGCTCTTACCTGGCTGCAGGAACTATCAAGATAAGATATTGAAAGCTTATTGGCAGTCTGTCTTTTAAATCCTGAGCCAGACTTTTTTACATGGCTTCAACAAGGTGATTTTTCATCTCCTTAGACATTTTGACATACACACTCCCACTAAAAACTGTATTTACACAAACACAGATAAAACTAAACAAAAGTGATTTTAACTTTGGTTTGAGAATTGTCAGCACCTTTTAGGCAACGCAGACATACTTTAGGTGTCACTGGCTGTTACGAGTTCAATTGCACCCTCCCATCTCAAACTCATATACGTTTAAGTCTTAAGCCCCAGTACCTCAGAATGTGACCTCATATGGAGATTGGGTCTGTATAAAGGTAATTATGGTCATTAGGGTGACCACTAGTCCAATATAACTGGTGTCCTTAATTAAAAGGGAAATTTGGACACAGACAAGATGAGAATGGCTTACGAAAATTGGATTTAATGCTGACACAAGCCAAGGAATTACCAGAAGCAAGGTTTATTAGGTGTTCTCCAGAGAAACAAAACCAATTGTGTGTGTGTATGTGTATATATGTGTGTGTGTATGTATGTATGTGTGGGTGTGCCTGTGTGTGTGCTTGTGCGTGTGTGTGTGTGTGTGTGTTTAGAGAGAGATTTATTTTTAAAAATTGGCTCGTGAATGTAGGCTCGTGAAATTTGCAGTGCAGGCCAGCAGACTGGAGACCAGGGAAGAATTGATATTACAGCCTGTCTTACTCAGTTTTGTGCTGTAACAGAATACCTGACACTGGATAATTTATAATGAACAGAAATTTATGTGGCTCATGATTCTGGAGGCTGGGAAGTCCAAGGGCATGGTGCCAGCATCTGCTCAGCATCTAGTGAGGGCTCTCTCTTGCATCATCCCATAGCACAAGGCAGAAGGGCAAGAACATGTGCATGTGAGGGGTGGGAGTGGTTGGGGGTGAAGAAGGAGGGAGGGAGGGAAGGGAAAGAAGCCAAATTTATCCTTATATCAGGAACCCACTACCTCAGAAACTAACCAGCTCCCCCTAATAATGGCATTAATCCATTCATGAGGGGAGGGCCCTCATGATTTAATCACCTCCCAACACTTTTGCGTTGCAGATTAAGTTTCCAAAACGTGAACTTTGGGGACACATTCAGACTGGATTGTGAGCACAAACTGGTGCCATGGCACAGCTCCAGTCCAAAGGCAGTCTGGAGGTAGAATTTCCTCTTCCTCAGGGGACCTGTCTTTTTCAACTTAAGGCTTTCGACGGATTGGGTAGGGCCCACCCACATGAAGGGTAATAATCTTTATTCCAAGTCTACTGATTTAAATGTTAATCTTATCTAAAAAATACATTCACAGTGACATTTAAACTGGTATTTGACCAAACATCTGGGTACCATGACCTACCCAAGTTGGCACATAAAATTAACCATCCAAGTAGAAAGGCCTGGAACAGAGCGCTCATTGCCCTCAGAAGGAACCAACCCTGCAGAGAACTTGGACCTCAGATTTCTAACCTCCAGAACCATGAGACAACAAAAATTTTTAAGCCAACCAGTCTATGGTACTTTCTTACGAGCTAATACATTGGCCTAAAGACCTCCGGTAGGGAGTCAAGCCTAGAGGTAAGGAACCTCCACAGGATTCACTAACTTCCTACCAGTCCCCTTTAATGTAATGGCTGCACATCTCTGGCTCCCTGAGTTCAGCGCACATTAGCAAAGTGATGCATATGCAAAGCAAAGCGCATGGCACTGTGCCAAAAGACTGGCTTCTCATCCTGCTGTGCTTTATTTCACAATGCACATAGAGATGATTCTCGCTCCTTTCACGTAGGTGTAGTCTTCTCTCTAGCTTAGATGGAGCAGGATCAAGGACAGCAGTACAGAGGAGAAGAGCTAGTTCACAGCCAATTACTAGCATGAATGTGCACAAAGAGAGGGGAGGATGAAAGCACGTTTGCCTCCTTTCTCAGCATCACTGAGGACCATGATGTGGGTTTTATATCTTACATTCTTCTTGGAAAGATGGTGTAAAGAAATAAAGTTCAGATTTGTAAGGGAAATGTGTCTTTAGTGCCCCTCAACTTCTACATTTGTGCCTTTTGCCACCCATTCCCACCTACCCCAACCCCCACCACTACCCCACCATGGCCATACTGCTGAGAGCCCCTCTTTTGGCAAGAGAAGGCAGAATCTGAGGTGGCAAAAAACACCCTGCTGCAAACTGGTTTGCTCTGTGTTTCTCTTACCCATACTATGTGCATTTCAGGAGGCTCCTAAGGGAGAAATTACATACCTGGAAGGTACAGTTCAAGTCTTGGTCATCTTTGCATCATAGCACCCACCACTGTGCTTGGAGCAAAAGAAATGACAATACATTTTGAAATGAAAGTGCTAACTGGCAGAATCCCAGCCCTGTGAGACTAGATGAGGTTCATACTCAGGGAGGGTCCTCTTTTTAGATCAGGCAGGATTTGGGGGGTCCTTTGGATCTTTTAGATAGGGGTATGAGACCCTCCTCTCAAAGGAGAAATATTTAAAAGTGTTTTAAAAGTATAGACATCCCTACAAATGGGTGATGACGTTTGAGAAAAGGAAAGACCCCTAGTACTGTCTCAGAGCATGCTGGCAGTCATGGCACAGTTCTTAGTTCTTGAAATGCGGACCAACATCTTTGTCACCAAGGGAGCCTACTCGGGTCAGTTGGCTAGTACTCCCAGCACCCATTTTGAATGAGGCACTGTGTCCCTAAGAGATGCAGCTCTGACCAAGGCAGACACGGTCCCTACCACCATGGGGCTTAGATACTGGAGAGGATGCAGTCATAAAGTACATTCCTGGTGAGGTATTAATTCGACTGTGATAAGCACTGTGACCACAAAGCAGTTCTGGGCTGACCTGGTGAGCTTGTGGTCGGGGGAGCTTAGAGGAAGTGACGCTGGTGTCAGTCACCTGAAGTGGGGGTAGGGATTCACCAGTCACAGATGGAGGGAGAGTCCAGGAAAGGAAGGGCATCTGCACAGGCCAGAGGGAAAGGCAGGAGTTGGAAGAACTAAAGTCCATGTGGCTGGTGGGCGGGCAGAAGCGCAAAGTGAATGTGAGTGAAAGCAAGTGGGTCTGTCATCTTGGGGTGACCAATGAGTTTGAGGAACAAGAGTGGATAATTGACTCCCATTTGCCCTCCCCTTCACCTCAGGGTGCGTATTACGAGTCTGAATATTGTCCTACTTAGAGGTTTTCTCATGATCTTAAGTCTCTATTGTTTACAGCTTTCACTTCTCTGCCCTCTTCCCTCTAGGTTATTGGGTTCCTGCAAGTTATCTGGGAACTGATCAAAGTTTCAGGGTAAGATGGTGGTGATGAACACCCTGAGGGTCACTCGTCCTGTGTCCCCATGCAAATTGCTGTGGAGAAGCTTCCAGATTCCAAGGCCCAGGCCATTCTGCAGCCTCTGTACTTGTACTTACAAAATCCAGAAATAAGCCTGAGAGTACACCATTTCATTAAAGAGAGGAGAAAAGGCTTGTTGGTTTTATAAAAATCACGCGTGTTAAGCGTTTGTAGCTGTGATGTCATGGGCATTCCAGTGTGAGATTATATGCCTTATGGACTGTGAGAATAACTGTTTCTCTATTTGTCCAGTAAAATAAATGTGGAACATTCTTTCTTGACAAATGTTAAAATGTTAAAATGATGTCATGCAGAAACTGGAGAAGGTTTCAGATATTCTGGAACCTGTTCTTTATTATTTCTGGTTAGCAGTTGTCTTTTTACTAAGGTTGATCCACAAACTGCAGATTATTTCTGTGAATCTTAAATTGCTGGAAGCTGCACATGAATGTTTGCAAGCAGTTCAGTGGCTTCATGCTTCAGAATATTCTGTCCAGAGTTAAGAATTGCAGAATTAATTCTAGCTGACTGATTTGCAAGTGTGTACTCTGCTGTAAACACAGAAGATCATGTGACACAGCAAATGTTCTTCCTCAAGCCTTTCTCATCTCGTTCCCCTCCTGGAAATACAAGGTACTATCTGCAGCTGGATGTTGCAGGGATTCTCCACTGTGGCACGATGGACATTGGGGATGGATCATTCTGTGGCGTGGGGGCTGCCCTTTGCTCACTGGATGTTGAGTGGCATCTCTGATCTCTTGCCAGTAGCACTCCCCAAATGATCACATTCAGATACGTTTCAAGACATTGCTAAATGTCCTCTGGGAGGGAGGGCAAAATAACCCTGGGAGAGAACCGCTGAGATGATAGGAGAGATGTCTGTGATGGTGGAGAGTTGTGTTTAATGAATTGGCTAAATATATCTTTTGGGTTTTTTTAATATATTTTCCACTATTCACAATGAATTTACATAGTTTTCAAATACTGGCTTGTTTCAGGATTTGAGGTTTCTCAGATTGTGCTCTTCGGGTTTACCCTTTTTGAACCTCCACGCACATAAGAAAAGGAATTCCGTTAATAATGTTGATTTAGCTGGATCCATTGCCTTGAAAGTGCTTCAGAAGAATTTTTTATTACAAGTTTATTTTGTTTTATCCCAACATTGACTATGTTCTCATTGAAATGAGTTGGTCGGGGTCATAACAAATTTATGATTGCTGGGTGTGCCCATATCCTACCCAGACTGGCTTATTCCGAACCCTGGGACTGCATTCTAAGGCTTAACGTGGAAAAAATTTAGTCATATTTATCTAGTTACTAACGTTTTGTGTGAGTGTGGGGTTTTTGCCTTGATATTTAGTTTGTCTTTATTTGCAGAAAGTTGAAAGTTAAATGCCTAAAGTCCAATCAGTCTATGCCATTAGGATAACTTGCTGCTTTTAGTGCCAACAGAAACCAAATAGTGGTCCCCCGAGGAGATGGGGTTCACTTGACTAATAGCTATATTATATGATGTGTTCTTGTTTCTAAGTTACTAGAAAAACACAGGTGGAAGTCAACATTTGATTTTGTTTGTGGTATGTTTCACTGTTCCAACCTGTTTTCCCCAAGGAGAATATTGTGGTCTTTCTTGCCCTGGGCCTTTGAGCAGGTCCTATTCCTATATTCTGGACCCTCATCTGCTCAATTGTAAACACAGTTCTCATTGTTTCTGACAGCTCAGTACCCCAGCAGAAGGCTAGTGTACGCTTGTAACCAAGAATAACCCCAGATTCTTGAGGGTTAGAAGCTCAGTTATGAGGCCGGGCACGGTGGCTCATCCCAGCACTTTTGGGAGACCGAGGAAGGCGGATCACCTGAGGTCAGGAGTTCAAGACCAGCCTGACCAACATAGTGAAACCTCGTCTCTACTAAAAATACAAAAATTAGCCAGGCGTCGTGGTGCATGCCTGTAGTCTCAGCTACTCAGGAGGCTGAGGCAGGAGAATCACTTGAACCTGGGAGGCGGAGGTTGCAGTGAACCAGGATCTGTACTCTGTCTCAAACAAAAAAAAAAAAAAAGAAAGTTGTGGCAGCTACTTCTAGTACTTTGTTATCATCATCGTAGGCTCAGTGCCTGCCTCAGATGTTTAAGTCTGAACATTTTAAGAGGAGGCAAAGCAGAATAAGGAGTGAATGAAAGTAGGAGGTTGTGGCAAATTCGGTAAGCAGCATTTCAGGTCAGCCCAGTGCTCTGTGCTCATCATATCTTTGCTCCCAAGGCTCTCCACAGATAATCTTTAGCTGTCAACTCAGATTGCTGTTTGCTGTTATCTCAAGTAGCAGACAGTAACTGTTGATAGTCCTAACTTTAGGGACTTGTAATATAACAAGATAAAAATAAAAGCCTACACCTGTTATCCAAGATGAAAATAAAATCAGTTTCACTTAGCGTATCATCTAGTGAAATTTAGCGTGATGATCGCATAAAAAGATTTAGGTGGCCGGGCATGATGGCTCACGCCTGTAACCCCAGCCCTTTGGGAGGCCATGAGGGGCGGATCACGAGGTCAGGAGAACGAGACCATCCTGGCCAACATGGTGAAACCCCGTCTCTACTAAAATACAAAAAATTAGCCAGGCATGGTGGCACACACCTGTGGTCCCAGTTACACGGGAGGCTGTGAGGCAGGGGAATCGCTTGAACCCGGGAGTCGGAGGTTGCAGTGACCCGAGATCGTGCCACTGCTCTCCAACCTGGGTGACAGAGCAGGACTCTGTCTCCAAAAAAAAAAAAGATTTAGGCATGAGATCTTAGGCCATAGGAAAATTAATTTAATAATGTTAATTCTTAATGAAATATAAAGAGTATCAGCTATAATGTAAATAGTACAAATTTAATATTATTCCAGTGATTCTTAATGTTCATGATCTCCCTGCTTTTAGAAAGAAAAGAAACATTTCCTTTTAGGATAACTTGGACTAGAATGGCGCTGTCTAAAATGTAGCCACAATTAAATGTAGCCACTGTGGGTATTTACCTGTAAATTTAAGCACATTAACATTTTATAGCCTCATGTGCCTACAACTTACCATACTGGACATTTTCATCTTTAGAGAAAGTTGTATTTGACAGCACTGATTTATATTATAACTCAACTGTGTTATAAAGTTCTATTATTTTTCCAATTAATTTTGAAGAACCAAAGCCTGGAGAACAATACTTGTTTTTTGGTTTTTGTTTTTTTTTTAACTTTTATTTTAAGTTCAGGGGTATGTGTGCAGGTTTGTTGTATAGGTAAACTTGTCATGGGGGTTTTGTACAGATGAGGACAAGAGTTTTAACAGGCTTGTTTTGCAATGTCTTCCTAAAGACCTCTGATATAGGCTGGGATGCCTCAGACTGTACTGTCTCCATTAACTTTCAAATAATCTTGAGAAACAGTGGGAGGATTAGGAGTCCCATGGAATTGCACTAATGGCTTCAGGGTTGTCTTCAGCTACCTGGGACTGACGATTAGCCCTGGAACTGACCGCCAAGAAATGTGGGCTTTTAGTCTCCTGTGCTGATAACTGCATGTGTATTCTATGGCTAATGGACTCAGCATCCAAGTGCCTTTTAGAGCCCTGATGCTCTAACAAGGCAATTTGTGATCCTGCGATTATCCTCAGCCAAGTCATACAGAGGGTCCCTGTGTATACACCCATCACTGCACTAAGGCCAAGGCCTACACAGATGGTCTTCAGTAACATGAGGAAACAGCACATCCCTCGTAAAAAGGGTGGTACATAGCAAGGGACCAGATAAAAAGCACATGAGGGTATAGGGCAACATTGTCCTATAGACATATAATTGAGCCACATATGTAATTCTCAGTTTTCTAATAGTCACATTAGAAAAGGGGAAAAGAAAACAGGTGAAATTAATTTTAGTAACATTTTATTTAACCCAGTATATCCAGGATATTATCACTTTAACATGTGATCCATATAACAGTTATTACCGAGTTTACATTGTTTACCTTGCACCAAGTCTTCAAAGCCTGTTGGGTGTTTTACATTTACAGCACCACTCATTTAGGATTGACCACGGGGGCAGCATGGAAACACCAGCGTTTGGAAAGAATGAGGAGAATGGTTAGATAAGTGAGGAGGGTTCTACTAGAAAAACACAGGCACTTGGACACAGAAGTTTCCACTTGATGTACTGTCTTTAGCACAGGAGCACCCTGACAAAGCCGGTAATTTGGGAAAACTGAGTGGCTGAACTCAGGGGGTAAAGGGAAGTGAGAAAAGAGGACAAATGACCAAGAGGCTTTGTGTGAAGTCCATGGCGTAGAGTTCAGAACTAGGCTAGTGGTCTGGGCAAGGCGAGGAAGAGCTAAACCTGAACGATTGTTAAAGAAAAATAATGTGATCAGTGGGGGTAATGGGAAATAAAGCAAAAAGAAGCAAACTTCTTCGGTGATATACTTCATCTGATTCATTTGATCCACCGTAGTTGTTGAAAGCCAGCTTGCTTGCAGAGCAGTGGGGGAGGCCGATAACTAAGTGCGTGTGCATATAATTATAACTATACCCATGTAATAATGTTGTGAAGGACAAAACCAGAATGCTGTGATTAAAAATTCAAGGGGATCATGTTATAGGAGGGTAGTCAAAGAGGAGAGGAGGTGACAATTAAGGCAATAACAGGAGCCAGTGCCAAGTGGAATGAGGGGAATGATTCCAGCAGAGGAGAAGAATCAGGAACCGAGGGGCTTGAGGCAGAAATGAGCTTTCTACATTTGAAGAGCCCAGGGACATACAAGGAGGCTAGAGAAATAGGTGGTGCAAGCATAAAATAAATCAAACGCAGGACTAGGCATATAAATAAGAATTAAGACCAAGTGCATCCTCACCATGAAATCTAAAGGAGTTTTCTTGCTCATCAGTGACAGATTATTGACACCTTTTTAATGACAGTGTGCCCTTCACTCATTTAAACTGTGATTGAAATAGTCACAATCTCTTCACTTTCTACATATAAGAAAAACCTGAAAATGAAGCCTCTCAGAATGCTTCGTGGTCACCTTCCTGTTTTGAGGGAAAGTATGAGAACTGCCAAGAAATCATTTCTATCTGTATTTTGTTAAAATGGTAGAAGGGGAGGGAAGAGGAAAAGAAAAGTGTGAATTTATCATTAGCAAAACAAGCCCTTGGCAAAAAGTTGGCTTCAATAGGGGGATAATGACCAAGGACCACCTCTCCCCACAGTGGGTTGGATGGTCTAGCCTAGATGGTCTTTGTTTAAAAAGGAGGAGGTGGGTAGGAGGAAAGAAACCTTCTGGAAGCTGAACTTGTAAACTCAAGGGCATAAACTGATCGTGTCATTATGGTCATTAAAGAGCAATTGAAGGAACAGGCTCAGTTTTCTTGGGCTGGTATTTGCATGAGTCTGAGTGTTGATACTTCCCATTTCATGAATGAGATGGGGAACAATTAAGGATGACCAAGGCATCGTCTTAGGGAGCTGATCGTCACTCCAGTTCTTCCCTAGTCTTCATGGTAGACCCTGATTGAATGGCTTTGAAGAATGTGAATTCTCACATTATCAACCACAGTCTGAGTGTCTGAGGGGAAGGTGCGTAGTCTCTTTGTGTCAGGAATCTTTTAAAATATAATCAGGGCCTTTCAAGGGCTTTCTAGAAGGAATCTGCATTCCAATCAGATTTATAGTATTGAAATATTGTGCCAGTTCAAATGCATTTTTAATTTTTGGCTCCTAAATTTAACAGAAAATTATTGTTCTTTTTCTGTTGTATTTTTTCTGTTTTCTGTTGTAAATCTATTATAAGGAATTCTTTCATACTAAGAAAAATGAAAACATTGGGTTCAACCTGTTGGGTATTATGCTCACTGGCTGGGGTGATAGGACTGTTGGGACCCCAAGCCTCAGTGTCACTCCATATACCAAACCTGCATGTGTACCCTTTATAGTTAAAGTTGAAATTAATTTTTTAAATTAGGTTTAAATCTCTTTAGAGATAAGAGAATACTATGTTATAGGAAGAAATAGGAAAAAAAAAGAAGAATATTCTGAGTTTCTGCAGACTGAGATTCTCACCTGGGCCACTATTGACATTTGGGGCTGGATAACGCTTTGCACTGGTGGCTTCCTCCTGTGCTTCGTAGAATATTTAGCAGCATCCCTGGCATCTATCCACTAGATGGCAGTAGCACCCTCTTCCAGTTGTGACAATGAAAAATGTCTCTAGATATTACCAAATGTCCTCTGGGGCCGTAGTCACTCTCCTTGTTGAGACCACTGGTCTGGATGCTCCCAAGAGAGCTCAGTGTCTATACTGCCAGGACACTTTTGCCTACCACCACACAAAAATAAAGCCAAGGCTAAGATTTTAAACTTCCATCTTTGGGCTGCTACTGAAGCAGGAGAACTGTCGCCCCTGTAAGAGTAAACCAGAAGCAAGTTTCTGGTTTTTATGGAAACAAGAGGATGTCCCTGCCATATTCGGGGGATTTGACTGGGTGGGAGCTGCCTAGTTATTTCTCAAATCCTTCGACCCATTCTTAGTGGTGGGGCAAGATGCAGAGGGTCATTGGTAATGATTTCTCTCAATTCATGTTTCTCCTAGTTTTCCTATTGTCCTTGATTCTACCCATCCATGGTACTTCTAAAGGACAGGGAAATGGACCACCCCAAACTGATATACATTGGTTCTGCTCATCACACATGGGGATCTCAACAGGCCAATCTGTGTTACCAGCAAGTCTACTGATACTTACCAGGGACTTGCTACAGAGACCTGGTGCTTGACTCTGGAAGAAAATCAGCATCAGCAATGTCTTCAGTGCCTATGGAGGATGAATTGTATGTGTACACCTTAATAGATAATCTCCACATCCCTGTGACACACTGCAACCTCCAGGGACCTTAGCAATGCCGATGTTCTACCCAGGTTTTGCAGGATGGCTGCCTGGTCCTCAGAGTTTGCTTACATAGGAGGTGAACTCAACTCAGCACGCACAGTTATGTGGGGCGAGCATCTTATGGGATGCAGGCTACACAAGTCTTTTTTTCTACCAGCCAACCAGTTAAACACTGACAATACTTGATTGAACATTTCCTTTCTCAAAGTTCTTCCATTTCTTTCTTTTTTTTTTAAATGAGTCTGTTATTGAAAATCGAATTAGTTTGTCTTTGTATTTAGAGCTAGTTTGGGGGCTTGGGGCTTGGGAAATTCTCAAAGAAGAAAAGAAACTCATTTATGAATACCTATTTCCACATGGCGCTAATCTCCATGCATTTTACTGTTATCACAGGACTGATTGCACTTGGTTTAGGTGAGCTTAGTAGGCAGACTGAGACGAGTTGGGTTTTCAAGATGGCAGAATGCTGTTTTTCTGCACAGTGCTTTCTGACTTGTCTTTAGCCTTTGCTTTAGTCAGCTGCTTAAGGCCCTGAATGGCTAATTGCTAAAGCTCTTAGTTCCCATTAGCCTTGACAGGGTCTCCAGAAGTGGAATTGCCTCATGTGTGATGCTAGATAGTAGACAGTCTTGATAATAGCCTGACCTGCTTTCTCCTAGTGCATCCACTCTGGGAGAGCGTGGACCTGGTTCCTGGGGGCGATCGCCAGTCACCCATCAACATTCGGTGGAGGGACAGTGTTTATGATCCCGGCTTAAAACCACTGACCATCTCTTATGACCCAGCCACCTGCCTCCACGTCTGGAATAATGGGTACTCTTTCCTCGTGGAATTTGAAGATTCTACAGATAAATCAGGTGAGGGCAAGATCTGGTGGTCTTGTAAGGAGTTAAAGAAACAGTGTCATGTTAACAGAGGACACATCAAACTCTCTCCATGATAGTATTGACCTCTTTGTGAGCAATGGCATGGAACTCATTGGAATTTAAAAAAAAATTGTGGTGAAATACACATAATATGAAATTTATCATCTTAACCATTTTTAAGAATACAGTCAAGTAGTATTATATTAAGTACATTTCCATTAGTGTACAATCATCACCACCATCTATCTCCAGAAATCCTTTCATCTTGCAAAACTGAAACTTTACCCATTAAACAGTAGCACCCCATTCACCCTCCCTCCAGCTTCTCGCAGTCAGTATTTGGCTTGCTTGCTTGCTTGCTTTTCTTTTCTTTTTTTTGGAAACAGATTCTTGCTCTGTCACCCAGGCTGGAGTACAGTGGGGCAGTCTTGGCTCACTGCAACCTCTGCCTCCCAGGTTCAAGCAATTCTCCTGCCTCAGCCTCCCGAGTACCTGGGATTACAGGTGCCCGTCACCACGCCCAGCTAACTTTTGTATTTTTAGTAGAGAGGGGGTTTTACCATGTTGGCCAGGCTGGTCTCGAACTCCTGACCTCAAGTGATCTGCCCGCCTTGGTCTCCCAAAGTGCTGGGATTACAGGCATGAGCCACCATACCCAGCCAGTATTCTGCTTTCTGTCTCTGTGAATCGGACTACTCTAGGCACCTCATATGAGTGGAATCATACAGTATTTGTCTTTTTGTGACTGGCTTATTTCAGTTGGTATAATGTCCTCAGAGTTCATCGATGTTGTAGTATGTGTCAGAATTTCCTTCCCTTTTAAGGCTTAATGATACTCCATTATATGGATAGACCACATTTGTTTATCTATTCCTTACCTTTTGGCTTTTGTGAGTAATGCTGCTATGAACATGGGTGTACAAATATCTCTTTTTGACTCAGTTTTCCGTTCTTTTGGGTATATGCCCTGAATGGGCTTTCTGGATGATCACTGGACTCACTTTTCAGTGTATGGAAAAATTCCCTTCTCTTTTATATGGATGTTTCCTTCTACTAGTATAGGTAATATTTTCTATTAACAAATACATATATCTGTATGTACAGATTTTGTAATTGATATAGAAGAAAGGGCATGAAATGAAATGAAAGATTTGCCAGAAATCTATTTTCTGTGTGTGTATGTGTTGAATATGTACTAGTTTTCCTTGGCTGGCTTACTTTGCAGATAACTTCTATATTAAATAGTAATTATGTTTAATTACATTTTAAAATGTAAGATTGCAATACAGAGCAGAAGGATAATTAGGCAAGAAAAACACATTTTATATTTGGGGTCACCTGATAACGTGTATGTATTTTATCATTTATATATTTATGTTTGTAACATTTTCTGAGTGGCAACTATGTGCAAGGCACTGCACAAAGTACCAGGAGTACTAATTCTCAACCACCCAAAGGGCAAAGTCTAGTGAGGGAAGAATACTCGAAATTAAAATTATAAAGCAAGTGTGATTTGAAAAATGTTTCTGAAAGTGCTATGGGACCACAGAGGAAGGCATGTGATACAGACCACTCAGAGGAGTCTATGATGATTTCACTAAGGAGGAGCCATTTATATTAGGTATTAAAGGATGTATGGAAGTTTGCCAAGAGGATTAGAAGGGCATTCTAGACTGAGGGAAAATCGTGCAAAGGCAGATTTGATAGAATGTTCAGGAAATGACCAAAAAACAAAATGATGTGACCAGAATGTTGAATGTGTGTTGTGGGGAGAGGCAGTGAGAGTGGTGATCATCAAAGCATAATAGGGTAGATGGAGGGCAGGCTCATCAGAAACTAGTTATTTGTAAACAAGAGAGTGGCATAGCTTGATTTCGTTTAATTAGCAGTTTATGTTTTTAGATTAACCCAGGCAACAATGCAGGGCCACAAGTTGCGATTAATCCAAGTGATAGATGGTGAGAGATTAAATGAAGGCAATAGAAATATAGAAAATGAGCAACTTTTAAAAAGCATTTCTGAAATAAAAGCAACAGGACTAGGAGGTGAGATCCTCTTCCAGAGAACAGAAAGCAAAGTTAACCAAGACCTTGAGGTGTCTCACTTAGGAGACTTGGGGGAATGGTGATGCCAGAAAATAAGTTCATGAGTGGTGGACAAGGAATGATTTGTAGAGAAGTTATCTTAATCCATTTGTGTTGCTGCAAAGGAATATCTGAAACTGTGTAATTTATAAAGAAAAGAGGTTTACTTGGCTCATGGTGCTACAGGCTGTACAAGAAACATGGTGCTCACATCTGCATCTGGTGAGGGCCTCAAACTGTTTCCCCTCATGTTGGAAGGCCAAGGGGAGCCAACGTGCAGAGATCACATGGTAAGAGGGAGAGGAGGAGGTACCAGGCTCTTTTCAACAATCAGTTCTGTGGCTGAATGTGATGGCTCACACCTGTAATCCCAGCACTTTGGGAGGCCAATGCGGGAGGATGGCTTGAGGTCAGGAATTGGAGACCAGCCTGGGCAATATAGTGAGACCTTGTCTATACAAAAAAAAATTTTAATTAAAAAAAAAAACAATTGGCCAGGTATGGTGGCCCATGCCTGTAGTCCCAGCTACTTGGGAGGCTGAGGTGGGAGTGTCACTTGAGCCTAGCAGGTCAAGGCTGCAGTGAGTCACAGTTGTGCCACCGTACTCCAGCCTGCGTGACAGAGTGAGACCCTGTCTCAAAAAAAAAAAAACCCAAATCAGTTCTCTTGGGAACTAAGAGTAAGAACTCACTTCCACCCGAATGGCACCAAGCTATTTATAAGGGATCTGCCCGCGTGATCCAAACACCTCCCATGAAGCCCCACCTCCAACATTGGGGAGCAGGTGTCAACATGAGACCTGGCAGGACCAAACAGACCATATCCAAACCATAGCAAAAGTATAGGGAAATCATAAGGAAATATAATTGCTTCTTACAGCTTTTTTGTAATTTAGGTTTTGTTTGTTTGGTTTATTGGTTTTGTTTTTTTTTTTAATAGGCTCTCACTGTGTCACCCACGCTGGTGTGCAGTGGTGCAGTCATAGCTCACTGCAGCCTTGAACTTCTGAGCCCAAGTGATCCTTCCGCCTCAGCTTCCCAAGTAGCAGGGACTACACGATTATGTACCACCACGCCAAACTCATTTTTAAATTTTTTGTAGAGATGAGATCTCACTGTGTTGCCGAGGCTGGGCTTGAACTCCTGGCTTCAGGTGATGCTCTTGCCCCAGCCTCCCAAAGTGCTGATGTGAGCCATCGCACCTGGCAGCAATTTAGTTTTAAATGTTGTATCAACAATAAAAAGAACATTTTAAATGGTCATCTCTCAAAGAAGAAATGTGTCTTCAACTCTTTTTTTTCTTTTTTTTTTTTCTTTGAGACGGAGTCTTTCTCTGTCACCTAAGTGGCGTACGGTGGCGCGATCTTGGCTCACTTCAACCTCCGCCTCCCGGGTTCAAGCGATCCTTCCACCTCAGCCTCCTGAGAAGCTGGGGTTACAGGCATCCACCACCACACCTGCTAATTTTTGTATTTTTTTTTAGTAGAGACGGGGTTTCACCATGTTGGCCGGGCTGATCTCAATCTCTTGACCTCAAATGATCCACCCACCTTGGCCTCCCAAAGTCTTGGCATTACAGATGTGAGCCACCACACCCGGCCAGTCTTCAACTCTTGTCTAATTCCTATAAGGAGAACTTACTTTTCTCAATATAAACATTTTCTCTCCTTTAAATGTAAATGGATTTTGGATGTTAGTATTTCATG
The DNA here is from genome assembly GCF_000001405.40 of Homo sapiens. Classification (NCBI taxonomy): domain Eukaryota; kingdom Metazoa; phylum Chordata; class Mammalia; order Primates; family Hominidae; genus Homo; species Homo sapiens. The sequence goes on from NC_000023.11 coordinate 15,692,658, forward strand.
CAAAGCAGAATGGGAACGAGCAAATGTTGATCCCTTACTGAAATGCGACTCAGTTTGCTATATGTATTTTATTTTATTTTTCTCCCCGAGTCCTTTTATTCCAAAGAAATATTAATTGCTGTCCTTGCCTAAATTTCTTCCTGATCTTTGTTTCTATCTCATTTTGGATTGTCATATGGTTTTCTTGGTGGCTTTACTTTGGGTGAGGAAACATGTTTAAATGTCATAGGTTGACTGAGGCTGTGGGTTTATTCTGGAGAGATTCTGTATAGTCACGTGTTAACCCTCTTTTCATGGTGTTTCAGCTGCACTTAGTGCATTGGAACGCAGTCAAATTTGAAAACTTTGAGGATGCAGCACTGGAAGAAAATGGTTTGGCTGTGATAGGAGTATTTTTAAAGGTAAAAAATCTCACCAACTTTAAATGACGTGTTGTATTCTAGGATGAAAAGATAGAACAGTATAATATTGTTATTTACTTTAAGAATATTGGGATCCCTACACTGGTAAGATAAATAGTGATTGTTAAGGATATATTTTAAATGGCATGAAACCGTGCCATCCAATAGAGTGGTCACAAGCCACACGTGACAGTTGGGCACTTGAAATGTGGCTGGTGTAACTTAGGAAATGAAGATTTAATTTACTTCTAATTCACTTAAATTTCAATTAAAAAACTGATATTCAATTCAGTTATTGAAAAACTTTTGGGTTGGGCGTGGTGGCTCACGCCTGTAATCCCAGCCCTTTGGGAGGCCGAGGCAGGCAGATCACTTAAGGCCAGGAGTTCGAAGCCAGCCTGGCCAACATGGCGAAACCCTGTCTCTACTAAAAATACAAAAATTGGCCGGGCGTGAAGGCAGGCGCCTGTAATCCCAGCTTCTTGGGAAGCTGAGGCACAAGAATTGCTTGAGCCCACGAGGCAGAGGTTGTAGTAAGCCAGGATCGTGCCACTGCACTCCAGCCTGGGCGACAGAACGAGACTGTCTCAAAAAAAAAAAAAAAAAAAAAAGAAAAACTTTTAAGAATGTTTGGAACCATTTGGATATGTATATATATGTTTTCAAGTATAAATTTTTTGAAATCTAAATATAGATCAAGTATTTTTGATGAAAAAGGTAGCATCCAAATTGAGATGTGCTGAAGTGTAAAATACACAACAGATTTTTAAAACTTAGTATGGAAAAAATATAAACCATCTCATTAATAACTTTTCGTATTGATTACATTTTGAAGTGATAATATATTGAATATATTTGGTAAAATAAAATATTAAAAAGGATTTCATCTATTTTTACTTTTTAAATGTGGTCACTAGAAAATTAATTACCTCTGTGGCTTGTATCATACTTCTGTTTTTAAGCATTGGTATAAAAGGATAAAGGCGAATAAATAAATAATAGTTAAAATGTAAGATTAATGTATTTTAGGCCAGGTGCGATGGCTCACACCTGTTGTCCCAGCACTTTGGGGAGGCCGAGGCGGGCGGATTACTTGAGTCCACGAGTTCGAGACCAGCCTGGCCAACATGGTGAAACCCCGTCTCTACTGAAAATATAAAAATTAGCTGGGTGTGGTGGCGGGCACCTGTAGCCCCAGCTACTCGGGAGGCTGAGGCAAGAGGATCACTTGAACCCGGGAGGCAGGAGCTGCAGTGAGCTGAGATCGCGCCACTGCACTCCAGCCTGGGTGACAGAGTGAGACTCTGTCTCAAAAAATTTAAAAAAAAAGAATACATTTTAAACGGAAGAATGTATTTTAAGCAGAATAGAAAGATAAAGGCAAATAACTAGGAAATCTTGAAGGGAACTAATATTCATGAGTGCTAAGTGACTCCATATTTGCCAAGTGCTTAGTTTATCTTTCTAAGAATTCGGCAATATTATTGTCTCCATTTTTCAGATGAAGAAAGTGAAGCTCAGCGAGGTTAAGTGCTTTCTTGCTAGGTCACACAGCTAGCTAACGGAGGACTGGGGTTAAAAATCCATAGGCCACACTCTCATGGGGCCCCTGAGCTCTTGCAGGTTCAGCAGCTACAGGCTTCCTGCATGCTTCCAACTTTAGTCTGCACTAGAGGCTGAGCGTTTTAAGGGTACCTGGGATTTGTTTTAGTCGGGTACAGTAAGACATGCAGACATGGGAATGACTGTCATGAAGGAAGAAGTTGATCCTGTTTCCAGATCCCTAGAAGCTGGAGGCATGGCACACTGTGCAGAGCCACATGAGGAAGCACCAGGGTTGGTCAAGAGGCAGAGAATGTGAGGGGAAAATGCGGGCAAGAGCTTTTATTGTGGTTTCAGTGGGAAGGAACAGGCGAGGCAGGGTAAGCAGGCTTGGGATTGGCTAGTTTGAATAATTTCAGAGTGTTCTGGGGCCTAGGGGGCTGTCCCCACTTGGCTGATACCTGACCGTGGAGTGATTGGTGCAGGAGAACAGTGGCCCCAGTCTAAGAGCCTGATAAAGGAGATGGTGGGGCTGTAAGCTCTGGATTGCATATGAAAGGTGCTCTTGCAGTTGTCTGTTCTCTCTGGGAATTAGCCAGCCTTGGGAGGGACAGTGCTTGTGGTGTCAACAAGTCCCCAGATATCAAAGCATTAAATACAAAAGCTATTAATAGAAAACGTGCTTTATGTACTGAGTCTCCTGGAACATGCCCTTGAGGACTTAGGGGCCTGCGCCGAAAGCCTGGCCTTCATGTGCTGTAACCTGTTTGAAGAGCTTCAGCCTCCAGGGTCCCTGTGGGCCAAGGCTTAGGAAGGCCCGGGGAGGTGAGTGGAGCAGGAGCACCTTTCCCTGTGGACTGCAGGCACAACGTCAGACAGCCTGCTCATGTGTTCTGTGTCCAGTTTAGTTCGGTGATGTTTATAACATTCTAAATTGCCAGTTTAAGTGGTTTCAGACTGTGATTTGCTTTTAGGTAATCACCAGATGGTCATTTTTAATTCATATTTCATTCCAATTCTACAGTGAGATGTCCGTTGTTTTTAATGTTTTCTCATTTGTTGTTCTTTAGCTAGGCAAACATCATAAAGAGCTATAGAAATTGGTGGATTCCATGCCATCAACTAAGTGTGGGGTAGTATTTTTCCTAAATTGCCTGAAATATATTTTGTGTTTCAATCTCAAGAGTGGAGACATTACCAAGGCACTTTGAATTGGGAAGTTTAAGTAGGTGAACTGTATTCCAGTTCTCTTTCAACACTGCCTTAGAAGGAGACCTGTAATTTATGAATGACCCTGGCCCTGGGTCACATTGCAGGGGACAGAAGTGATCATGTGGGTGGGCCAGTGAGCTTTCTGGTTTTGCTGCAGTGCCGCTGAGGACTTGGGGACTCAGGAACATATTGCTGTCCCCTCCTCTGTTCCTGACACCGGCTCCTTCTAAGTCCTTGTGAACACACCCAGAGCAGCCTTCTGTTCTGTAGCTGCCATCCCACAGGCAGGGAGCAGAGCGCAGTTCTACAGAAACTTGCCTTGTCCAGCTGGAAAGAACAATGACCCACATCCTTCAGGTTGGATGCCTTTGTCCAGCCCCCCAAGATTATTTCTTCTATATTCAGAATCTCAAAGGGCTGTGCTCTGGAGGCCCATATATTGTCTCCTTCTCCCTTTCATCCCCCACTGTATCCTTCTGGTCCCCACCTCTTTCCCCCTGCTTTCCTCTCCATTTCCCTCTTTTTTCCTCTCTCCCCTTTTAGTCCAGGTTTCTGGCTCCTCCTGATCTGCATTTCATTTTTTGTTTGTTTCTATCAACTTTTATTTTAGATACAGGGGGTACCATGTGCAAGTTTGTTACATAAGTATGTTGCATGATGGTGAGGTTTGGGGTACAGATTCCATCACTCAGGTAATGAGCACAGTACCAAATGGGTAGTTTTTTAACCCTCTCCCCCCTCCAGTAACCCCCAGTGTCTATTGTTCCCATCTTTATATCTGTGTGCTCAATGTTTAGTTCTCTCAAGAACATGCAGCATTTGGTTTTCTGTTCCTGCATTAATTCGCTTAGGATGATGGCTTCCAGCTGCATCCATGTTGCTGCAAAGGACATTATTTCATTTTTTATGGCTGTGTAGTATTCCATAGTGTATATATTACATTTTCTTTATCCAGTCCGCCGCTGATGGGCACCTAGGTTGATTCTGTGTCTTTGCTATTGTGAATAGTGTGACAGTGAACATATGAGTGCATGTGTCTTTTTGGCAAAATGATTTATTTTCCTTTGGGTTTATATCCAGTAATGGTATTGCTGCATTAAATGGTAGCTCTGTTTTTAGTTATTTGAGAAATCTACAAACTACTTTCCATAGTGGCTGAACTAATTTACATTCCCACCAACAGTGTATATGCATTCCCTTTTTGCCACAGCCTCACCAACATCTGTTGTTTTTTGACTTTTTAATAATAGCCATTCTGACTGTTTTAAGATGGTATCTCGTTGCGGTTTTGATTTGTACTTTTCTGATGATTACTGATGATGAGCATTTTTCATGTTTGTTGGCTACTTGTATGTCCTGAGAAATGTCTGTTCATGTCCTTTGTCCCTTTTTTAATGGGGTTGTTTTTCTGCATTGCATTTTAAAAGGAAAATTCTCAGTCTCCCTTGAAGAAGTGAAGCCTCCTTCTTTATGCACTGGCCACTGTCTAATACCTCCCAGCAATACTCAGAGGAGACTACCTGCTGGAACCTCACTAGAATTGAGAGATCAAATGGTTTTGGCTGTTTTCCCACTGGAGAATATAAAAAATACACAGTTAATTTTAGAAACAAAGGCTGGGCATGATTCCATCCTAAGCAGCAATTCTTCAGGTAGCTGCCCAGAAGGGCCTGGAGCTCCTCTGGACCACTGCTGATCTCCAGATACTCCCTGAGAACCGTCACCTCGGCGTCCAATTCCTGAGTGGTTTTCACTACTAAATAATGACTCAGTGACCCAGTCTCTTGGCCAGGACGCTGTTATGGAATTTGGGTCGTTTGGCACTTCCTGCCTGGTGCCCACCTGTCTAGATTACTGGACCCAAGTAGGTCCAGTATCTCCCTGGTCCAGCCCTGTCTTGAGTCCATCACCTTTATCATTAAGAAGCAGCCAGTAGAGGTTGATGATGATCAGGTACGTTCTCTCCACAATTTTCATCTAAGGAAATCCTCGTCTCCCCTTTTAAAACAAGGCTGGGCTCAGACTGTGGCATCAGTTTTAACATCTTGTAATGCTTATACATTTTTATTGAAGTGTACCAACGTCTTATCTCAGTTTGGACATGAATTTAGAGATATTTCAAATTAGCTAGAGAGAAGAGTTAAAACATAGAAGAACATAAGCTTTTTACATCTATATTTGACAGTGACATATGTTTTTATTATACATGCATTGTGTAGATTCTCTATGAAAATTAAGACCCTTTTAAATAAAAAAACGAAGGCTGGAAATGGGTGTATTCAAAACCCTTTAAAATCCTTAAGGGAGTTTTGCTATAGAATCTCAGGATAAAGACAGACTCCGACAATATTCATCCAGAAATTTTCATGTAAGTCAGTTGTTTGAAACTTGGGATTTATTTTTCTCTTAGAAACTAAGTCTAAGTGGTGGTTACTACATCAGCACACAAAATCCTGTTTAATTCATAAACTAAACTGTAATAATAACTGCGTTTACTTGTTCATATTGGATTTTTATTGACTAAAAGCTTCCAGCCTCTTTTTCATGCAGCCAGGATAACAGTGATACCAAAACCTATCAAAGATTAGACCATCCTACCCCCAAAATATAACAATAGGCCAATATCTCTAAAAAATATGTAACAACAGAAAAAAAAGCTAAATAAAATAGTAGAAATAGAATCTAGCAGTGCATTAGAAGAAATATATACTTTGTCCAGGTAGGGTTTATTCCAGTAATCCACAGATGGTTCAGTACTAAGAATGATATACTTACAATTAATGGATTTCATCCCATCAACAAATCTATATGATCATTTCCATGGATTTCCTAAAATACGTTAGACAAAACCCACCATCCCTTTAAAAATTTTTTTAATAAAACAGAAATGAAGAATTCCCTAACTGGATGAAGTAGATTTATCTCAGCTCAAAAATAAATAGTATGTTTAATGTGGAAAGGATATCATTAACTCCATGGTTATTAGCATACTAAATATTAAATTTAATTGAATTAACCTCTGGCAGGAGCCAATAAAGTTAGGCCAAAAAACATAAAGAACATTAGAGAAACACTAAAAACTCCTACAAAGATAATTCAGCAATTAGTGGAGTACCATGTCAATTTATAGAAATCAATTCCGTTGGCATATATAACTCACAGTTAGTTAAAAGACATAACAGAAGAAGGAAACCTACTTATAATAGAAACTAAAATAATGTTAATAAACAACATAAAATGTTAAGAAAGCTATAAAACATTTCTGAGGGACACAGAAGACTTGACTTTATAAAATTCATACCCTGTTTTTACATAGGAAGATATTATAAAGACACCTTTGATGTCAGTTCTCCTTAAGTTGATTCCATAAATTTAATATGGTTTTAATAAAAATACCAACAGAATTTTAAAACTAGATATAGTACTTCTAGAGTTCATGTGGAAAAGCAGATAAGCATGAATAGCTGGAAAAATTCTAAAGGAGGAAAATAAGGAATGATTAGACCCATAAGGCTTTAAAGCCACAATAATTAAATAGTATGATACTAGCACATGAATAGGAAGATAAATCAAGGAAGAAAATAGTTCAGAAATATGTCCAAATACATGAGAATTTACTTTATGGTAAAGATAGGATCTCAGCTCAATGCAGGAAAAGATAAATCCAGTAAATGGCATTGGGGGACAACTGAGCAGGCATTTAGGAGAAAAAGTTGGACCCATCGTTCAATCCTGACAAAAATATATTCTGGATGGAACAAAACTTTAAAGGTAAAAAAATGCCATAGAAGTACGAGGATAAGCATAGGAAAATTCTTTCATACATCCAAGTGGAGGAAGCTTTTCTAACTATAAATCAAAACCCAGAAGTAATCAAGAAAACAACTAGCAATTAGACTACATACAAAAATTTTAAAATCCTTTCTGATGAAAATCACCGTAAACAAAAGATAAATGACAAACAGGGAAAACATTTGCAACTCTGTTCCCTCATTCAGCTACTATTTATTCAATGCCTACTATATGCCAGCTACTCTTCTAGGTGTTTGAGACATCATAGTGAACAAAACAGAGAGTTAATTGCCCTAATATACAAAGAGTTTCTAGAAATCAGTTTTTAGATAATCAACAGCAAATGGTATAAACAGACAGCTTACAGTTAAGGAAACAAGAAACCCAATACCATGTGAAAAAATTTTCAGCCTTGCTTATAAAAAGTGACGAAACAAGATGAAACTACACTGAAATACAAATTTTCACATATCAGATTAGCAGAAACCCCAAAATTGTATTGCTCACAGTGCTGGTACAAGTGTGGAGCATGGGCAGCCTCATGTGTTACTGGTAGGTGGTAATGACACATGAATAAAGATATAATAGGCTAAAAAGTATGTTGTTTTACTAATAGTTAATTACAATATCAAAGGAAGATACAATGCTAAGTTGGTACTATTGTAGTAGCTATCAGAGTGCAGTTTACCAAACAGCAATTTATCCTACACATAAACTGCAGACCTAAACAATAATACATATACATAGTTATTCTTTGCACCATTGTTTGCAAACAACCTAAATACCAGTCACCTCTATGGCATTCCTCCTCCAAAATTTGTATTCCCTCATCTAAATCATGAGAAAAGACAAAACCAAACTGAAAAAGGACTTCTACAAAATACATCACCAGCCGTCTTCAAAAGCATCAAGGTCATGAAAAACAAGGCAGAAAAACTCCAGAGTGGAGGAGACCAAGGAGGAGTAGGTTCTGGAGAAGACAAAGGACACTTGGGCAATCTAAAGTCTGGAGTTCACTTAACAGTATCAACCCAATGTTAATTTCTTAGTTTGATGAATGCATCGTGATTATATAACATTAGAGGAAGCTGGATGAAAGGTCTCAACCTCAGCACCACTGACATTGAGGGCAGATCATTCTTGGTTGTGGAGACTGTCCTGTGCATTGCAGGATGTTTAATTGCATCCCTGGCCTCGACTCACTGAGTGCCTATAGTACCACCTCCCCAGGTCATGACAACCAAAAATGTCTCCAGACATTCTCCACTGTCAATTGCAAACTCACCCCTTGTTGAACACCACTGATAGACACTAATCCCTAATATCAACTAACCAATGAAATGCTGTACCTCTTGTTGTATGAGAAGAAGAAACAGACATCTTCTCAAGTCTATGAGAATGGCTTTTAACTAATCAACACCTTGATTAACCAGTAGAAGGCATATTTAGTGATGATTCGCTTATGACTGCCTGTACCTCACCGGGACAAAATTGTGGTTTGTTAGAGAGTCTTTAGCCACAAACAGAATAACAACCACTGGCTTATATTGCAAAAAGGATATGGGAAATTCTATAGATATTGGAAAGAAAAATATATTATAAGAAGTCTAGGCCGGGTGCGGTGGCTCATTCCTGTAACCGCAGCACTTTGGGAGGCTGAGGCAGGCGGATCACCTGATGTCAGGAGTTCAAGACCAGCCTGGCCAACATGGTGAAACCCCGTCTCTACTAAAAATACAAAAAATTAGCTGGGCGTGGTGGTGGGCGCCTGTAATCCCAGCTACTTGGGAGGCTGAGGCAGGAGAATTGCTTGAACCCGGGAGGCGGAGGTTGCAGTGGGCCAAGATCACGCCATTGCACTACAGCCTGGGCAACAAGAGCGAAACTCCATCTCAAAAAAAAAAAAAAAAAAAAAGTCTATACCTACTCTGATGCCATTATCTTGAGATGTCTTAGATATGAATAAAAAGTCATTCCACTCATTATGAGAACTGTCTTTAGAAGAAAATTATACTGAATTATACCATAGGAATATCTCTAGGTTTTGAAAATCATATACCCAGAGATGATTCCATAAATAAGGAATCAGGCAAAAAACCAAAGGAATTCATTGGTGAGAGGAGAGTGTTAGGGATCTCATTCCCCTGCAACTACTGGCTGACCCCAACCCTGCATTGCAAAACACTTGGCCCCCTCTGACCTCAAAAAGCATTTGGTGCTTCCTCATTAAGCTCTATTTATTGTCTTTACTATTCACCCATCTGCCTCAGTCTGGGCCAAATCTATTGCCCAATCTTCAATTGGTTGCGACTTTTTTGTCTCTTCCCGATTCTGGCATTCCAGAGGGTCAATAGGTTCCTTCTCCACGTGCTTTTGAGGGAAATGCCCCCCCCCCAAAAAACTTTTCACACCACCTTGAACAGACTCTAAACTTAGGCACTACAGTTACTAAGCAGCCTTTGGATTCTTTGTTTTTGAAGTTAGATCTTTTCAGCTATTAGTGGAAAATGTGCCTCACTCTACTCCAGGATTACCAATAGAAATGAAAGGACAGAAATGGCATTAGTGTTTAGAGAAGATTATGTATATATGGCTGTATGAACACTGAAAATTATGAGGGTCAACATAAAATCAGCATTACAGGTACTAAAACATAAATCCTGATGGCTTTCACCGTTTTCTTAAGAGCAAAATTGCAAAAAGTGATATTAACAGTCATCCTAGACGAATATGAGCAAATGATTTGTTTTTCCTTAAAAGAGCCTCCAAGTGTATTGTGATCATTTTCACACTGATCAAAGAGAGCACCCTTCTGTCAACAGGTATCTGCAGTTTTCAGGACCTGGCAGAAATTCTTCTATGTTCTGCCTTTAAAGGTCAGGTACAAAAGCAGAGACAGCTGCCAGGCCCCTCTGCCCAGAGCTAAGTGTCTGGGACCATGAGTGGGAAGGACTGAGGCTTGAGCCTCCTTGGTCCTCCAGACAGCATGGGGCGCCACTTGCCCCTTCTGCAGCTGCGCGCGGCAAAGCTGTGGCCTGGCCGTGGCCTCCTGCCCCATGCAACAGTTGGTGGACAGACCGTACCTGGCACACGGCGCCTTGTGCACTTTCCAACATTTTGATGCTAACCGTCGCTAGTCACTGAGCCCTGACATTTGATCTCTGGCCTTGACCGCAGATTTCGGAAACTTCTGGCAGCCCAGTGTCTACTGGAAGGCCCAAGCCGCTTGCCAGAAAGCTGCGCCCCGCCCAAAAGCACTGGGTTCTGCAGTCCAGGCCCTTCCTCAGCTCCCAGGTCCAGGAGAACTGCAAGGTCACCTACTTCCACAGGAAGCACTGGGTCCGCATCCGGCCCCTCCGCACCACTCCTCCCAGCTGGGACTACACCCGCATCTGCATCCAGAGAGAGATGGTCCCCGCCCGCATCCGCGTCCTGAGAGAGATGGTCCCCGAGGCCTGGAGGTGCTTTCCCAACAGGCTGCCGCTGCTGAGCAACATCAGGCCTGATTTCTCCAAGGCTCCCCTGGCCTACGTGAAGCGGTGGCTTTGGACCGCCCGCCACCCCCACAGCCTGTCCGCAGCCTGGTGACCGTGAAAATCGCCCCGCCAGAGAGCAGAGGAAGCCCGACGCCCAGGCCATCTGCCTTCAGGTCTGTGATGAGAAACGGAGTGGCCTGTTCCGTTGTGCCCAGGTCTAGGCCGCTGAGCAGAGCCCTCACTCCCAGGCAGAGTTGTCTGAATCCTTCCTGGCGGCCGCCTGCTGCCCTGACGCCTCAGGCTTGCCTGCACCTGGAAGGAGCTTCGCCAGGTGGGCCATGAGCCTCTGAGCACACCCAGCCTGCTGCCCGGCTCCAAGAGTCAGGCCCCTGCCACCACCTCCTGAGCCTCCAGCCCTCAGCACCTTCACCCTACTGACCGCGGTTCTACCCCCACACCAGCCACCGGCCCCACCGGGGCACTTCCCACTGCTCCAGCCGACCACTCAGCGAGCCCCAGGCCCACCTCTCCTCTCCCTTAAAGCCCTTCCCTTGCCCTTGCCCATTCGCTCCTGCCTTCTCCCTGGGGACAGGAGGCATGCTTCTCCCCAGTTTCCACAATAAAATATTTGTTGTTAATAATAATAGGTGTCTTTATTATCATAGAGATTGTCATATTCTTTCTTTCAAAGACGACACCATGGTTTCTCCAGCTTGGCACTACTACTTGGGCCAGATGGTTCTTTCTTGGTGGGGGGGGGGAGGGGGGAGGGGAAGGGGGAGGGAGGAGCGGGAAGCTGTCTTGTGCATTGCAGGGCCTTAGCAACATCCCTGGCCTCTCACTTCTAGGTGCCAGCAGCACACTCACAGTCCTATCAAAAATGGCTCCAGGCGTTGCCAAATACTCCCTGGGAGGGTAGAGAGGTCAAAAGTCATACTGGTGGAGAACCACTGAGGAACAGTGACCTCTACTGGCAGAAACAGGCAAGCCTAGTCCCCCAAAATGTGCGGTTTTCTAATACATATCAAAGACGTAGGGACAAACCAAATGAAGTGGCGCATGCTGGACAGAAAACATTTTCACCAGTTTTCTAGAATGCTTGGGGTGTGAATGATTCCTGTGGTCTGGTCTTACTAGCAATCAGGAAATGCAAAATTGTTACAAATGAGCTACTATTTTAAACGTTTCAAATTGGCAACAATTTAAAAGTTAAATAATACCAAGGGCTGGTAAAGACGCATGGAATTGGAATCCCAGGTGACGCTGTGGAAGCAAGGAGTCCAGCCACTCTGGAATGGCATTTGGAAGTGATTCCCAGAACAGAAAACGCAGCTACCAGAAACCCTGTGGCACACATACACAGACACTGGTGAGGATGTTCTTTGCGGCACTCGTCACCATAGCAGAGAATTGGAACAACCCAAATGTTTATCAGTACGGGACTAAAGTAAATATAGTATATGCTGTCGAGGGAATACTGTTCCACAGATTAAAGGAAAGAAGCCAGGAGCAGTGGCTCACGACTGTAATCCCAGCCCTTTGGGAAGCTGAGGCAGGCAGGTCACTTTGAGTTTAGAAGTTTGAGACCAGCTTGGACAACATGGCGAAATCCTGTCTCCACAAAAAATACAAAAATTAGCCGGGTCTTGGTGTTGCGCGCCTGTAGTCCCAGCTTCTCAGGAGGCTGAGATAGGAGAATTGCTTGAGTCTCGGCGGCAGAGGTTGCAGTGAGCTGAGATCACGCCACTGTACTCCAGCCTGGGTGGCAGAACAAGACTCAAATAAAAAAAAATATAAAATAAAAAAAAAACAGGAAAGAAATAGCGCAGGGTTTCTCAACATCAGTAGAACCAGGCTAGATAACTCTGTGTGAGAATACTCTGTGTATTGTAGGATGTTTAAGAGCAAACCTGGCATCTGTCTACCAGATACCCTTAGGACTACCAGCAGTTGTGACAATCAAAAATGGCTCCAGGCCTATAATCCCCGCAATTTGTGAGGCCAAGGCAGGTGGATCACTTGAGGCCAGGACTTGGAGACCAGCCTGGGTAACATGGTGAAACCCTGTCTCTACTAAAAATACAAAAATTAGCCGGGTGTGGTGGCACATGCCTGTAATCCCAGCTACTCAAGAGGCTGAGGCACGAAAATCACTTGAACCCGGGAGGCGGAGGTTGCAGTCAGCTGAAATTGTGCCACTGCACTCCAGCCTGGGTGACAGAGTGAGACTCCGTCTCAAGAAAAAAAACAACAACCAAACAAACAAAAACGGCTCCAGGAGTTGCCAAATATCCCCTGAAGGACAAAGTCACCCGCTGATGGCAACCACTGAGCTAAGAGCTACTTTTTTTTTAAAAAAAGGATAAATCTCAAAAGTACTTTCAAATGAAAAAGATTGGAAGTATTTTGTGTAGCACAATGCCATTTATTCAAATAATATATTTTATTACATAATATAGTGCTTATAATTTAATTCATATTTATATTTTATTTATATACTTATATAGCAATTGTTCATTATATATGAATTAAAATATTCATAAAATTGAGGTATTTTGAAATCTTAATATGTAATATATTCTATATTAAGTTTAATATAAAGATTTCATCATATAAATTATATAAAAAATATAAGATTATTTCTGGCATGATAGAGGAGGCCAGAAACCAGGTAGGAGGTAATTTGGATACCTTACCCATATTGTTATTTTTATCTAAAGCCTCTTTAAATACTGTTCAAACATGAATCACATGGTATTCCCCTTTAGAGAGTCATAGAATATAGCCATAAACTAAAGCAAATTCCCTTCTCATGGAGCTTGCTGTCTAAGGGGTTGGAGACAGACGATAAACAAGTAAGTAAATGCATACACTGCATGCTGGTGGAGGGCAGGAAGGCAAGTGCTATAAAGAAAAATAGGGAGGGTTGCATTAAACTCTCAACCCAACTGGGGCCCCACATACTCTCCTTGTCCCAATTACCATGGAATGACACTCTTACTATGTATGCAAGTTCATCAAATATTTCAGTGTTTTCTTTGGTGGCAACTCATACTTTAATAGAGTACCACACAAATAAAATGAAGATACTTTATCTACTTAGAAATAAAGATTCCCATAAGATTTAAATTGTTGCTGAAAATATTAAACCTTACATTTTCAATGGAGACAGTTTTGGTTACACACAAAAAGTCCTGGACTGAAGCTCTAAAAATCTAGCTTTTAGTCTGAAATTTTCCACTCCCCCATCTCTGTGATTGACAAGGCATTGCAATGTGAATGAGGTACAAGAAGGGGCTTGGGTTCTGTGTGCATCAATGGTGACACTTTTGGCATTTTGGGTGGGGTACTCCTTGTTATGTAGGACTGTCCTGAGCCTTAGACAACATTAATTATTTGTCTAAGGCTCAGGACAGTCCCACATAATTAATCCCCACCCTCTAAATACCATAGCACTCTCCAGTCATGGATATAGCTCCAAAACAACCCCTCAACATTTCTGGATGCTGAGGCAAGAAAGACTTCTAAATCTTTGACATTTATTTTCACACTCCACTTGCCTGCTTCTTGCCAAAAATTTTCTAACAACCATCTATAGTTATTCAGCAAGGGCTGGTAATTATTCATTCATTTATTTGGGCTTCATATTACTTTCTTATTTTTTTCATATTACTTTCTTCTTGTGAATTATTTCACTTTTAGAAATTTTATTCTTTGTATAGTTTTAGAGTTTACACAATAATTAGTTCTTTGAAATGCTGTCTTGCTCATTTGACGTAGCTTTTTGTGGGCGTTAACCCCAAAGCTGCTTTCCACAAGACACATCTGAGCTGTCAGTTGTATTAAAATATAATAGTGAGTGTGTGATAACACAAGTCCATAAATTGCTTGACACTCCTCCCTCCAGAAGTGAAGCTTAGGTCTCCTCCCCTAAGTATAAGGGTTTAGAGATTCCCTTCTGACAGTTACAGTTTGGAAAGGGAAACTTGACAGGCACCACGTGATCCAAGGGATCAAGGTGAACTTAACAGTGATGTCATGTGCATATCAGGGACCCTGACACCATATGCTGAGAAGGGCACTTCACCTCATTTTCTTCTCCAATAATCACTGTGTTCTGGCTAAATTATGAGAAAACAGCAGATAATATCCCGTTGAGAACTTTTACAAAATACCCAGTCAACCCTCTTCAGAAGCACCAAGGTCATGAAAAACAAGGAAAGACTGAGAAACACAGAGTTGGGAAGACTAAGGAGAAGGAGATCTAATCGCCTATTGTAATGGATGCATCCTGGTTAGGTATAATAATAGCATTAGGGGAACTGGGTGAAGGGGCCAGAGCAGGCTTTCACAACCTCAACATTTGGGGCCACCTCATTGCTGAGGGAACCATCCTATGCTTTGTAGGAAGTTTACCAGCATCCCTGGCCTGCACATGCCAGCAGTACATCCCTTTCACCATAGCCCCCTACCTGGCCAAATAGTGAACCCAACAGTAAGTACCTCTGTATAGTTCCAAATGTTCTGGGGTGGGGAAAGGGCACAAATTGCCCCAGGTTCAGAACCGTTGTTACACAGGAACTCTATCTCTGCAACTATTTTTTGAATCTAAAGTTATTTTAAATTATGACATATATATGTATATGTATTGATATGGTTTGGCTTTGTGTCCCCACCCAAATCTCATCTCAAATTGTAATCCCCATGTGTCAGGGGAGAGACCTGGGGGGAGGTGATTGGATCAGGGGACAGTTTCCCCCATGCTGTTCTCATAATAGTGAGTTCTCATGAGATCTGATGGTTTTTTGTTTGTTTGTTTGTTTTTGGTTATTGGTTTATTTGGCTGGAGTGCCTTGGTGTGATCTTGGCTCACTGCAACTTCCGTCTCCCAGTTTCAAGCAATTCTTCTGCCACAGCCTCCCAAGTATCTGGGACTACAGGTGCATGCCACCATGTGTGGCTAATTTTTTTATTTTTAGTAGAGACAGGGTTTCACCATGTTGGTCAGGCTTGTCTCGAACTCCTGACCTCAGGTGTTCCACCCTCCTCGGCCTCCCAAAGTGCTAGGGTTACAGGTGTAAGCCAAAATGCCCAGCCAGACCCTATGGTTTTAAAAGGGGCTCTTCCCCCTTCCCTCGCCTGCCACCATGTAAAAACGTGGCTTTGCCTCTCTCTCGCCTTCCACCACAATTGTAAGTTTCCTGAGGCTTCCCCAGCCACGTGGAACTGTGAGTCAATTAAACCTCCTTCCTTTGTAAAATACCCAGTTTCAGGTGGCTCTTTATAGCAGTGTGAGAACGGACTAATGCATGTGTATATCTATAAATTGATATATAGATGTATTTTAGCAAGAGCTAAGCAGTTATTGAAAAAGTTGCCTAGGCACTATAAATTAAACTACAGATAATGACATAAACCACTGGATAAATTACAAGTTCTGATTGGCATCATTGATAATGACATAACAGCTAGAAATATACTTTGAAAATAGTGAGATATATTCAAATGCAAGATATTGGCACCTGCCAGGTGCAGTGGCTCATGCCTGTAATCCCAACACTTTGGGAGGCTGAGGCAGGAGGATTGCTTGAGCCCAGCAGCTTGAGACGAGCCTGGGCAACACAGTGAGACCCTATCTCTACAAAAAAAAATTTTTTTAAACTAGCTGGATGTGATGGCATGCACCCATAGTCCCAGCTACTCGGGAGGCTGAGGCAGGAGGATTGCTCAAATCCAGGAGGTTGAGGCTATAGTGAGCCATGATTGCACCACTGCACTCCAGCCTGGGTGACAGAATAAGACCCTGTCTCAAAAAAAAATGTTTTAAAGACGTTGGCACCCATATGTTGTAAGAATAGTCTTAGTAATTATTCAAAATTTTAAAAACTTGGCTTTTTTCTAGATGTCCAATGCACTGTCCATTGCATGACAGAGCCAAAACTTAGCTTTTTTCTACATTCACATGTTTCATATGTTTGTTATTATGCCATCCACTATACTAATGCCTTAAGTAGCACCATTTCTGTCATTTCTTACAGGATTGGCATTAGGAAAAAAGGTGAATAGTTTTACTTGCTTAGGGTCTTTAATGGAAGAATACTAAACATCCCTCCTACATTATGGTGCTGCCAAGAGTAGTAAAATCTCAGATTTTAAGAAAACAAAAAAGTTACTTTGGGCTCAATAAATAGCAGTCATAAAAATATACCTTTAGAGATGTGTTTATATTTTGTTCACATACATGCAGTTGAACTAGGAATTAATAAGCCCACTTCCCACAGTAGGAATGTTGTGGGAAGGGGGCCAGGGGAAAGCCTAGCCCTGCTCTGAAAGCAGCAAAGGCTGTATATGAAGATGGAGACACACTCTGGGCTGGTGCTTCCTACTTGCTTGGATGATGCTTTCAGAAACTAACTGACGTCTTGGCCTCCCCAAGAGTAAGAAACCGAGGTCCAACAAGAGCTAACACCCAGGCAACAGGGAACTGCTTCTACTCTGGCCATTGTGTGCCAAATCCACCATGGGAGCATCCTCCTATGGGACTGAGGCGAAAAAGAGAAAGAAATTGTGGGCGGGGGTGGGGGTGGGTGGGACACTGTTTTCTTGCATCCACTGCACCTCAATAGACAGGCCTCTGGTTTAAGAGTCAGGATGTTAAACATGCTTCATTCACTCACAACTATTTACTAAGAGCTAACCTTGATTAGCCAGTATGGTTAGGAAAAGAGTTCCTACTACAGCGGCCTTTAGATTCCATGCCCCATCCCATGCAGGAATTTAGTGATGCTAAGACTCTTGAAAACCAAGACCAGAGTCTTGAGCCCACCAGAGCATTAAATACCAAAGTGGAAGCCAGTAACCCCCACGGTGGCAGAATTTGCACATAGTTCCATGCCCTATGTGAGAATAGACCCAGGACATGGGGAGGACAAAGAGCTTCTAGATTTCACATGGCTTGTCTGCATTCTTTGTCAGGAGGGTCTCTAATCCCTGCCCTGATTTGAACTTCATGGCCTCCAAGCAAAGAGCACCTATTTTAATTTGATCAGTTGCAGGGTCACTAGGGAGACTATCAAATACTTTGTCCATCAGCAACAAATAGATTTCTTTGTTCCCTGGGACATGAGAACATGAGACCCAAGTCTTTCCTGTGCAGTGAGCCCCTGTATTCCTGAAGCTTGGCCCATGTGGGTCACTCAGTAAGTGACTGTGAAATGAGTGGATGGATGACAAAAGGTTAACATCTCGCTGTTTCTGGAATTTTTCCCCAAGAGACCCTGTCAAACATTTAGTTGGGTAGGAGCTGCATTAATAAGAGAGGGAAGAAGGAAGAGAGATTACTTCCTTAAAACTTCCCCTACCCGGATACAAATATTCAGAGACACATCATAACAAAAACTATAGTGAAAGGAGAATCCTGAATATACTGTAGATTGAGGTAGCCAAAAGGAATTGTAAACATAAAGCGAGAAAATTTGTGCTAAAAGAGAAGTCACATGAAGAACACAGCTCAGTAGTTAACTTCTTTAGCTATCAAAGGATAGACATTTCTTCTCATTATAAATTTTGTACAACTAGTGACTTCATGGTCTTTCTTCCAAATGTCACTACATTGAATGTCCTCCAAGATTTTCAGAGAATGAAAAATTAACCAACAAGCACTTGTTCAGCTGGACATGTCTTTAATAAACAAACCAAAGTACCATTAGTGTAACTAAATAGAAATCCTGCATTTTCAAGGTGTTAAATATAGATGAGTCTGATGAATTCACTTCAGTAATCATTTTGACCAGTGTTTTTACCAAGAAATTATATTAACTCAGACACAAATGTCTTCTTTAAGCAAGTCGCGAAAAAGAGGTAAAAGTGTTTACTCTCCTTCCTCAAGTGTGGGAAGCCCTGGTCTGAAGGTTTCTCTAAGAATTGGCTCCACTGCCATTTTTCATCAATGGCGCTAGACAGGGCCAACTGCCTCCAAAGAGTAGTAAGAATTGGGCTCTTGTTTTTGGAAATCAAAAGAACTAAATAGGCACTGGGCTGCTGTTTTACAAGCACAAGACTGTTAATCCCCTTACCTTGGATACAGCAGCACATTGTTCCTTTTTAGATCACAAGATTCATCCTTGAATAATTAGGTAGAGGCAGAAATCCATTATATATCCTACACCATTTAGCTCAGAAAAAGAAAGCCATGCCTGAGCTAGACCTCTACCTCTCTTGCTAAAAATGATAAATTATCTAAAAGCCGACATTTGAGTAAACTAAGCAGATGAATTTCCCAGTTGACCTGAGAAATAGTCAGGGGCTGTAGATAAATAAGAGAAGGAAGGAGAGAGAAAATTTCCCAGTTGACCTGGGAAATAGTCAGGGGCTGTAGATAAATAAGGAAGGAGAGAGAAAATTTCCCAGTTGACCTGGGAAATGGAGTAAACGTTATAGCTTCCTTAGAAATTACTTTCAACATTGTAAAATCCTTGTGACATCATTTTAGTAGATCTGGCCTAAATCTTATAATTAGTTGAAACACCCAGTTTTTCAACCAATAACTGCAGAGTTGACATTTCCTATGTAAGTCCCAAGAAAACCTCAAATAGAATAACCTATAGATATTAGAGCATTCTTCTATCAACTAAGTTTTTTCATCTACCATTCTACTTTTTTTTTTTTTTTTTTTTTTTTTTTTTTTTTTTTTTTTGAGATGGAGTCTCACTCTTGTCACCCAGGCTGGAGTGCAGAGGTGTGATCTTGGCTCGCTGGGACCTCAGCCTCCCAGGTTCAGGCGATTCTCCTGCCTCAGCCTCCTGAGTAGCTGGGATTACAGGCACGTGCCACCACGCCCAGCCAATTTATATATTTTTAGTAGAGATGAGGTTTCACTGTGTTGGCCAGGCTGGTCTCAAACTCCTGACCTCAGGTGATCCGCCTGCCTTGGCCTCCCAAAGTGCTGGGATTACAGACAGGAGCCACTGCGCCCGGCCTATCTTCCATTCTGCTTTTAAGGAAAACCAGCAAATAACAAGAAAACCATTTAATGTAAAGATTTGTAAATAATCACTTCAAAAGAAGTGCCTTGTTGCTGTCACATTTAGTCCATCTTCATATAATTCTTATCTGGGCCAGTTTCTTGGGCATGGGACATGTGCAGTTACACAAGCCTGTGCTCTTAAGAGGGTCTTACCCATAGTTTAATGTTCTGCTGTTGTAGTCTTGAAATTCTTAATGATTTAACAAGGGGTCCTCCATTTTCATTTTGCACTGGGCCCTGCAAATTACATAGCCCATCCTGATTTCTACAACTATAGAATAGCACAATGGGAATTCCATATGGATTAATAATATGTGACACTTACGGCTTTTTCTATACGCTTCCAAGTACTTCATATAAATTACTTCATTTCATTCAATGGTAGAATTGGTAGATGCTTAACTTTTAATGAAAGACAAAGTCAGATTCACTCTAAGGATTAAAAAATATATGTAACATTACATTTTAAAGATTTTCAAAAACAATTTGTTGTGGAAATGAATTATTGTCATGAGATATTCCCCACTAGACGGACTTCCTGTAGGGTCAGGGGTCCTGGTCTTCTGTAGGGATGAGCAAGCTTTTCTGAAGGGCCAGGTGCTAAGTGTCTCAGGCTTTGTCTGTTAGGACTACCCAACTCTGCTGTTGTAGCAAGAACACAGCCTGTTAGCAGCAGATACTCAAATGACCAAGCCTCTATTCCAATGACACTTGGTGTGTGGACACTGAAATTGGAATTGCAGATAATTGTTAGGCATCACAAATCTTTTTCATTTTCCAACTGTTTAAAAATGTAAAAATCATTGTTAGCTTGTGAGCTGTATAAAAACAGGTAACAGGCTGGATTTGGCCCACAGGCCATGGTTTGCTGACTGCTGATCTTAGCCCTCATTTGACTCTCAGTGCCCAGCACATAGCAGGCTTTCAGTAGAGGTCACTTAATCCTGTGGCTCCAGCCACAGCAGTGTAGTTCCACGGGCTGGCCTCATGGACAGCAGTGAAGGAAGAGGTTGATGTTGTTCACACTGTTCCCTTTGGGCACTCTGTCAGCTCCTTCTTCCTCGCCTCTTGACAGCATCTGGGGCAGATGGTGTGGCTTTCCTGTCACTTCTGGCTACTAAGGCATCCAGGCCAGCCTAACCAAAACTGCCTTCCTGCCTCTCACCTACAGCTGCTCTCCTTCCAGCAGTTCTGGCCAGAGCAGGGACCTGAGTGGTGGGCTCCAGCCATTTCCTCCGGGCTCCACTCCCTACTCCCTCCCTGCCTGTGCTCCCCTCCACCATGCTTCATTCTCCTCACTTAGGGACAGGAAAGCAAAATGATGGGGGTGTGAGATAGACAAGGAAAGACCAAATTCTTCTTCCTGGACCAGGGCCCTTGTGGTTCTCCCGGCTGTGAGGGGTCCTCTGTGGTGGTGGTCCAGATGCTCTCCACTCAGAATGCTCCTGTGGAGCCTTCAAGGGCCCCTCCAGGGACCTCTGCACTGCATCTTCCCCTGACATGGGTGACATGCTCTCACTGACTTCCTCCACCCCACCTCAGCTCTGCGCCCAGGGGTGTACACCTCCAGCCTCACTCGCTGCCTTGTCCTTGCCCTGTCTCACTTGAGGACATGGGCCTAACAGGCAATGACTCCATCCTGTTCCCTTCCAAAGCCTCTGCTTGGCCCCAGGAATATATCAAGTGCAGACTACTCAGAAAACTGCCCTCTCTCCCCCCAGTCACAGGCGCTCAAGCCAACCTTCCACCATGAAACTTCTCCAGCTACGAGGCAGCCACTAGCTTCAGAGTATCTTCAAGTTTTCTGAAATATTCATGGAATAAGGAATAAGAAAAAAATAAACAGCCAATGTCCAAGACCCCTGAATCCATCTTTGGAAAGGATAATTCTACTGTGTTAGTTTCCTATGGCTGCCATAACAAATACCACAGACTAGATGGCTTAAACAACAGAAGTTAATTTTCTCATAGTCTAGAAGCTGGAAGTCCAAGGGCAAGGTATCAGCAGAGTTGGTTTCTCCTGAAGCCTCTCTTTTTGCCCTGTAATAGCTGTTCTCTCCCTGTCTTCATGTAATGTTTTTGTGTGCACATCTGTGTCCTAACCTCCTCTTCTTTTAAAGACAAAAGTCAGATTGGATTAAGGCTCACCCTCATGACCTCATTTTCCCTTAATTACCTTTTTGAAGATCCTATCTCCAAATACAGTCACATTTTAAGGTACTGGGGTTTGGAACTTCAACATATGAATTTGGGAGGGTAGAGGACAAGATTCAGCTTATAACAGCTACCCTCCAGAATTTTTAATTCACTCAGTCTCACTTTGGAACCAAAAGACCTCTGGAAGGTAGATTTAAAAGCTAACCCATTTGCCAAGCTACTGGTGTTTTCCATCCACCCACCACACTAGAGAGAGGTAGTCTCTTTGCAAAGTTATTTTCAATGCCATCTTGCATTATGTGGTGCCCTTTCCCATAGGAAAAGGCTGTTCATGTAGGAGTGCAGCTTCCTTTATGTCAGTGCATATGGAATCCACCCCAGCACCTGAATTGCATGTTAAACACATCCTGCTTCATTAAGCTGCCCTCATCACTCATCGCCTTGACAGCCAGTATTGCTATAACTCATACTGCCTGGCAGCAAGATCAGCATGTCCCTCCATGCAGGGCACCTGGCCAAGAACCAACTCTTCCTGCCTGGAACATTTTTCCCCTGGCAGGCTCCTTTTTGTTAATCCAGTCCCAGCTTAAATGACACTTCCTCACAAAGGCCTCCTCCTGACCACCCAAGATAAAGAAGTCCCTGCCATCCCACCCCACCATATCATATCATTATCAAGGTAGTTAGTAGTTCTTTTCGTTTGTAACGTGTTTACCATCAATTTCTCCATTGGTCTACAGATGCCATGAAGAGCATTTCCTAAGGACACTCAAGTTGTCACTTGTGTGTTCCAATTTTGGCTTGGGAAATTTTGTGCACCGTGGGCCTAACAGCCATCTTTTATGTCACTGTGACCTATGCAGTTGGCTGCTACTTTTTCATGCAACTACACACAAGTAAAGGTGCAAGTATGTAGACAGTGGTGGCCCCAGGGGATGGTTTGGGGAGAATTTAGCCCATGACAAGTTCCATCAGTACTTCTCTCATAGGCACTCCATATAAATGTGAGATCTCAGTGAAAGGGGAGCTTGCTGCCAAAATGTAGTTTCAACACAAGTCCCGTATAATCTCTCCACCCATCAACAAAGAAAATTTGAAGCCACCACTGTCTGTGAGGGTAGGCTTTCTCATTGACTACTGAAAACTAGAAGGAATGTTTCATATATCATTAATGGCTATTTTGCTCATAGGATGGAATTTTTTTTTTTTTTTTGAGACAGGGTTTTTCTATGTCACCCAGGCTGGAGTGCAGTGATATGATCATAGGTCACTGCTGCCTTGAACTCCTGGACTCAAGTGATTCTTCCTACTCAGCCTCCCAAGTAGGTGGGACAACAGGTACACACCACCGTGCCCAATTAATTTTTTAAAAATGTTTTGTAGAGACGGGGTCTCACTTTGTACTCAGACTGGTATTGAATTCTTGGTTTCAAGTTATCCTTCCACCTCAGCCTCCCAAAGTGTTAGGATTACAGGTGTGAGCCACTGTGCCCAGCCAGGATGGATTTCAAACTAATTTACATTGCAGTGAAACAACTCCCTTGGGCATGAAGGAAGAACTGGCTTTAGATGTTCCCTTGTACTATCTGTAATATAACTTCAGATAGGAAAAGAATAACTTGCTGAAATACAAATAAAATCCAAATCCTCATTTCGGTGAAGAATTTTAGGATTCTCTTTCCTCAAAGTTATTTTCATAAATATAAGGAAAAATAAATTTGAGTTTCACTATCCCCTTGGTGCCTTTCCCTGCTTAAGTAGCAGAAGCACACAAAGACCTCTAATCTACAAACTTGAAAATCAAGAAAGACTATTGTTGATTAAGAGTTGGTACATGCTGTAAAGATAGGGAAGGCTTATTAACACAATGTAGAGATGATGAATGAGCCTGTTCAAGTGTAGATAACAATGATAAGCTCAGAGCAGCAGATAAAAATGAAGATCCTACCTCCCAGGATGGCATCTGGAAGTGGATAGTATTCTGCCAGCTTTGGAAACTGGATGAAAAGCAAATCTGGCAGAGGTACCCATTTCATTCCCAGCTTGCTCAGTAGCTGGTGATTGGAAGAAACTCTGCAACAGTGTTCAATCCCTGGACAGGAAACCCTCCTTCCATGATTCTTCTTTAACATGGGTCTGAGAAAAAGAGAAATACAGTATTTTTTAAAATGAAGATGCTAGCCAACTCTCACCAGAACACATACTTAAATTGTTTTTCAGATCTTGAGGATGATTTAACCTGATCTGTCCTTTCATTGATTCCTCTTAAAACCAAGAGCTTGAGCTGGCTGGGTAGGGGTCCAGTTTTGGTCACAAAAGAAAGCCCCAAGCTATTTAGATCAGAACAGGATTGATGTAGTTCTAGATTGGGTTGGGTATCCTGCCAGTGGAACCAACTTATCCTGGGCAAGTGTGAACAGATTGAAAGCTTGTTCATTGAAATACATAGCATACTTCTCCTAGGGCATTCAAAACATTTCAAAGAAAGAGCCTCCATGCATAAGTGAAATTGAGCATATATACTAATGAGAAGGTGTACAACTCACAAGAGGATAAGGAAAGAGATAATAGCTCTCAACATATGTATACTCTGTGACCCAAATTTCTATTCCTAAGTAAATACCCAAGAAAAAGCATACAGAAAAAACACGTACAAGAAGGTCCATAGCAGTTTAGCCACCTGTTGTGCATGTATCTGACACATAATAGGTGCTCAATAAATGTATATAATTGAACATATCTTTATATCCCACATATGGTTTCACAGGCCAAGTGACACATACTAGTTGTGTCATCAGTTCATACTTCTAGCATGTACTATAAATACTTTAATAAAAACCATTTTATTAACAATTTCCATTTTAGTCTATTATTGCTTTAATAAAACATTGGAATGAGGTCTTTAGGAATGATTTACTCAAGCTTAAGATAACTATGCAGAAGGGCCCAGCAATAAAGAAAGTGTTATTAGAAAGCAATTTTTTCAAAATGAACACTCAGGTACTTCACTTACCGTTTTAGTTGCCAGAGCTGCTCTGTCTCACTCTAAAAGCATTTTCTTGCAAAGGGGTTGGTTTTGATCAACCCAAAAATCTGGCAGCTGTGAAAATCAAAGTTAATGCTATAGAACAGCGTTGTCCAATGGGACATTCTGTGATGATGGGAATGTTCTGTGTCTGTATATGGCAGCCACTACACATAGATGGCTATTGAGCACTCGAAAGAGTGGTAATAATGACAAAATGTGTCAAACAGAGCCCAGTGATTCCTAATATTTTATGCAACTGGAATGAACAAAAAACAGATCTACAACTGAATGGCTCCAAATTATTTACTGAAAGTTTACCCTCTGTCATTTTAGGTGGTTTAATATTTTCTGTTGAAACTCATAAAACAGTCACAGGCTCAAATTTCAAGCCTCAACACATCTGCAAATTTAGAGAAATAACAAGTCCTTTAAATCAAAGATGCACTCAACAGAAAACTGGTTTGTTTTTGTTTATTTTTTTTATTTTTGCTTGGAACAGAGCTGGATGCAAAATTAGGTTGTTTATTGCTGTTTTTTAATATTATTTTTATTGCTGTTTTGACAGTGGTTATTGTCCAGCCTTTTCTCTTACTGGCCCATGTTAATGTATTTTTAAGTTTCAAGGCTAACTACCTGGTTGACAGAGTTCCACCTGAATAGCAATTTCTGGCCAGGCACGGTGACTCATGCCTGTAATCCCAACACTTTGGGAGGTGGATCACTTGAGGTCAGGAGTTCGAGACCAGCCTGCCCAACATGGTGAAACCCTGTCTCCACTAAAAACACAAAAATTAGCCGGGCGTGGTGGCGGGCGCCTGTAATCCCAGCTACTTGGGAGTTTGAGGCTGGAGAATTGCTTGAACACGATCTCATCACTGCACTCCAGCCTGGGCCACAGAGTGAAACTTCATCTCGAAAGAAAGAGAGAGAGAGAGAGAGGGAGGGAGGGAGGGAGGGAGGGAGGGAAGAATAGCAGTTACCAGGAAAAGAGGTCACAACATCCTTTTGGAATAGAAAACAAAAGGCAAACAAAAAAGGAAGAAAAACCCACTCTGCACTTAAAGCTGCCTGAGCCATTCTGTGACCCAGATTAAAATATCAGAAAAAGAACAAAGCCACCACCTAAAAGGTTTAATGATTAACACCCATCATTTGGGTTAATATTTTCATAGAAGTCACCTGTCTCCTGTCAGTTATTTATGGAAATCTACAGATTCGTTGTTTTTTTCCAGACTCTACCTCAAAAGAATGTTTCCTCTGCTGACTCAAAGTTGGAATCCTTCCCTCACCCCTTCTGCGAGTCTCTGGTTACGTGTATGATGGGAAGAATTGAGTCCTATCTAGAGGTTTTTTGGCATGCACCTTCCACCTTTTCGGGGCTAGGATACCTGGTTCATAGACAGACTATCTTCATTCAGGAAACAAACGTGACTCCTTTCTCTCTGGTAAACAAAGGGTGCCCTTCCATGAAGGGCCTCACCTGACTCACCACAGCGGGTGAACATCCCAGGAGAGCTTCAGAGCTTCCTCTTACCTACTTGAGGGTAGAGGGTGGGAGGAGGGAGAGGATCGAAAAACTACCTATCGAATACTGTACTTATTGTCTGGGTGACAAAATAATCTGTACACCAGACTCCCGTGACACACAATTTACCTATATAACACACTTGCACATGTACCCCTGAACCTAAAATAAAAGTTAAAAAAGAACGCTGAAGTTGCAACAAAACCTCAGAGATGCTCTGAGAATTAAGATAATGAGTGTAAAAGAATCTTTCCCCGTGGGCATTCCACAGATGCCAATCGACGCCCCGCCCAGAGGTTGATGTCAGGGCTTTCCTCTCTACCATGCTGCCTCTTCATAAATTCAGTCCCCAAATTCTACCCCATTCCTCGAAAATCATGAATGGCAGAATTAGATTGGGTGACCTTGGTGTTAAATAGAAATATTGGATTTTCAAAGCAACAACGAGGAAAATATCAACAATGAGACTTCTGCAGCACTTTGAGAAACACATCATTTCTTCCTCCTTGCAAGGGTGGTATTTTATTGTAAAGGACCCATGTCCATCAGCTAAATCCAACTGAGGAAGCTTTTTCTCTCTCCTTCATCTTGGTCGCAAGGACACGGAGTCAGGAAAAGCTGTACTAAAAGAAGAGGGAGCCACAACTTAGTCCAGCCATCCTAGCAATGTCACTATATTAAGTGCAATGGAAATTTCCAGAAGGAAGAGCTCACCTAGCTAACCCCTGGAAAAAAAAAAAAAAAAGCCAGACTAGATGAAGTCATCTTGGGAAATGTTAAACTAAGTAAAGTCATGATGGTAAGGAAAAATCAATATACATAGAGATAGAGATTATAACAAAGCATTTTATTTGCATCAAGGAAGAAAGCTATGCTAAGGACATAGAAACCTGCTTCAGCTTTCCTTTAGCCTTACACTTCATAAAAGTATCAAGTGGCTTTCTTTGGCTTTTGCTTAGTCATCTATATAGCTAGGGTTGAAGACAGTAAAACACTGAGTCTTAGTGTAAGTCATTCGTTTGAGAAGACAATCTCTTTTGAATGATGATTTCTCGATGTTTGTTGTATCATCTTTTTAAAAAGAGCAATATAAATTCTTCTTAGAAAATACAAAGAAGCACAAGGAGAAAAGTAAAAATCACCTGTAATTCCACCAGCGTCAAAGAATGACCAATGTTAATGTTTTCTAAATATTTGGAACATACCATTCTAAGCCTTGTGTTTTCTTTTGTGTGTATATACATAAATTCTTAAAAACAAAACGAATCATGCTATTATACAGCTTTGTCATCTTCTTTGCTGAACTTAACTGTGTTCTGTTTTTGTTTTTTTTTGTTTTTTTTTTTTTGTTGTTGTTGTTGTTTTTATAGAGATAGGATCTTACTCTGTTGCCCAGGCTGGAGTGCAGTGGCACCATCATAGCTCAGTGCAGCCTCGACCTCCTGGGTTCAAGCAACCCTCCTGCCTCAGCCGCCCTCCGCCCCCACAATAGCTGGGAGTACAGGCACATGCCACCATACCCAGCTAATTTTAAACTTTTTTTGAATGGATGGGGTCTTGCTTATATTGCCCAGGCTGGTCTCGAATTCCTGAGCTCAAGCAATCTTCCTGTCTCAGCCTTCTTGATTGCTAGAATTACAGACCTGAGCACTGCATCCGATCCACAGTGTTACTTTGAGTGTATTCCCACATCTTTTAATAACTGTCTAATATTTCATTCATTTTATAGATCTGTTGTATGCTTTTAAATTTATTTTTTATTTTTTTAAATTACAGCAAGCAATGCTATAATAAATATTCTGGAAACTGACAAATTTTTATTCACTTCTATTAATATCTTTGGTGTAAATTTAAATTTTGGAGTCAAAAGGTATAGAAACATGTAGGGTTTTAGTATGTGTTAATTTCCTTTCAAAAGGATTATGTCAGTGTACAGATTATTTGCTGTATATGAGTGTCCATTTTCCAGGATCCCGCGCCATATATTATTGGCTCTCAAAACTCTTTTGGCAAAACAAGTGGTATAGCAGTATGTAAATACTGCTTCCATTTGCAATCATTTGTTTCATAGTACAACTGAACATTTTTATATGTTGAATGGTCATTTGTATTTCTTTTTCTGCTTATTTGATCCTTTGCACTTTTTCTGCCAAAATTTTCATTATTCTCAATTTTTTTTTGCATGAATTTGTGTGTGCACAGGCATTCCTTTTTTTTTTTTTTCTTTTTGAGACAGAGTCTTGCTCTGTCAGGCTGGAGTGCAGTGGCTCAATCTCGGCTCACTGCAACCTCCACCTCCCAGGTTCAAGCGATTCTCCTGCCTCAGCCACCTGAGTAGCTGGGATTACAGGCACACCACCATGCCTGCCTAATCTTTGTATTTTTAGTAGAGCTGGGGTTTCACCGTGTTGGCCAGGCTGGTCTCGAACTCCTGACCTCAGGTGATCCACCCACCCCAGCCTCCCAAACTGCTGGGATGACAGGCATGAGCCTCCACACCCTGCTGTACAGACATTCTTTGCCAGTTGTTAGTTCCCCTTTCAATTTGATATATGATTTTTTTGCATTTTCCCAGAAAGCAATCCTATTATTTCATGTCATCTGCATATACTTTAAAGTTTCTCTCCTGCTTTTCAATAGTAATACCTAGTTGTTGATGTTGTTGTTTTGTCTCATTGTAGTGGCACTATCACAACAGAGTGACATAATGGTGGGATAACATGGACACTTGTCTTCTTCCTTACTGTAATGGGACTATTTCTACTCCACATAATCTGGTGAGTCACTGTTAAATATGATTTGTTTTCTGATAAAAGTATCCTTTTATTTCCAGTTTACTAAAAATTATTTTAATCAGTAATCAATTTTGAAATGTAACTATCTTTTCAGTATGTATTATTATGATCATTGGGTTTTTTAATCATTTAGTACTTTTATACTGATAAATTTCTTTACATTGATCTAACCCTTATATAAGTTAATTTTTATTTCAATTTTTCATTATTTGATTTTGACTATTTTAGTTATTTTCAGCAAGCTACTAGACATATTTTGCTAGGTTTTTCCTAAGATTTTTAGCTCTGTTTTCATGAAGAATAGCATATAGGTTTCTTTTCAGGAGCTAATTCTTGAAGATTTTTCCTTTTTATTGCCACCTTGAATATGGTATAGAAATATTTCTAGCATTTTCTGTGTTTTGAAATACTTTAAAAAGCATATGAAATAAACACTTTATGGATAAATAATCTGAATCATGCATATTTGTGGTGAGAAGTTCTCTGAAAACTTCTCATTTCTTCCACGGTCATTTGTATCAGATTTCATGAATCTTTCTAAATCCATTTAGACTCTACAATTTCCAAGACAATCCTTTAATTCATTCAGATTTTTCAGTATTCTCATGAGCATTATAGGATATTTTCTATAAAATATCTGTTTTTGTTGCTATGTTCTCTTTATATTTGCTAGTGAATACATTACTTTTTTCTCAGTTTCCCATTGGACATGCCAGAAGTTTTGCTAGTTTTTTGTTGTTATTTTTTCAAAGAACGTGCTCTTGGATTAATTTTCACTTTTATTCTTTCTGTTTCCTGATTCATTCATCTTAGTTCATTGATTAAGTTATAGTTGTTTTGCTGTTTTGTTTATAACTCTTGAGTTGACTAATAAGCTTGTTTACTTTTGGTCTTAGTTAATAATGAAAACATCTGTGGCTATGGATTTTCCTCCGAGTACTACTCTGGCTATATGACATAAGAAATATAGATGTATAGTAATCTCATTATCATTAATTTTCAGAATAGTCTATAATAACAGTTTTCATTTTTTCCTATAACCCAGTTATTACATTTAAAAGTATTTTCTAAATTTCTAAGTTCTTTTCAGATTTAACTCTAAATATATATGTATCATATTTTAAATATTGTTCTTATTAATCTCAAGCACATGAATACATATTTAATCTTAGAGTTTATGGGAGGAAATCTGTACAGTTTACTTTTAATATCCAAATATATTTTGTAAATAACTTCAAATAAGCATCTGACAATATTCATTTATTATTGTTATTTGCTCTGGCATTCTCCTTTTTTTTTTTTCTTTTTTTAAATTTCAACTTTTATCTTAGATTTTCGGGGGCACATGTACAGGCTTGTTTGTTACAAGGGTATATTGTGTGATCCTGAGGTTTGGGGTATGATTGAACTCATCACCCAGTGAGCATAGTACTCAGTAGGTGATTTTTCAACCCTTGTCCCCCACCCTCCTCCTCTTGTCATCCCAGTGTCTATTGTTGACAATATTCTTTTTAAAGGAATTGTAAGTGAATATTGCACTGTTACATTTCTGTTTTTAAAATAAAAGCATTGTCTTGACTTTCACATTATTTTAAAGCAGATATATCATATTAATATGATTAATACTATTAAAGGGCATGAAGTGGAAACTTTCTTAAGGTAGTAAGATTTTTATATCAGGATAAAGCTAATTCTTGCCCATGGGCTGATGTACTCATATGTTTAGATTTGTTTGACCACAGCAAAAAAAAATTGCTAAATGTGCGGCCCAAAGTGGCAAGATTTCAGTTAATGACTTGTATGGGTCCTATGAGATAAATAAAAAGACAAAAGCTCAAATGACAAATTTGCGACACTGCCAATAACTTGATTTCAAATATGAAGACACCACAGGTGACATGTCACATAGAAGGTACAAAAAACAAATTCATTGTTAAATAGCTTGATGGAGATCTCAGTAAAATAAATAGAAAATGGAACTAGATACTAGGATTCTTGCCTCTCAAGATATTATCTGTATTTTTTTAAACTTTTCAAAATCTTGCACAAATTTAGTGATTGTCTTGATGTGCAAGCTTTTTTTGTTTGTTTGTTTGTTTTTGAGACAGAGTCTTGCTTCGTCACC
The DNA here is from genome assembly GCF_000001405.40 of Homo sapiens. NCBI lineage: Eukaryota > Metazoa > Chordata > Mammalia > Primates > Hominidae > Homo > Homo sapiens. Next base: position 15,723,736 of record NC_000023.11, read on the forward strand.
CAGGCTGGAGTGTAGTGGCACAATCGTGACTCACTGCAGCCTCCGCCTCCTGGGTTCAAGCAATTCTTGTGCTTCAGACTCCCAAGTAGCTGGGACTACAGGTGCACACCACCACGCCCAGCTAATTTTTGTATTTTTTGTAGAGACAGGGTTTCACCATGTTGGCTAGGCTGATCTCGACCTCCTGACCTCAAGTGATCTGCCTGCCTCAGCCTCCCAAAGTGCTAGGATTACAGGCATGAGCCACCATGTACAAGTTTTAAGTAGTAAGTTTTCAGAATCTTTATATCTGTGTAACTTGCTTCATAAACTGCTCATTTCAGCAACTTCACATAAGGGAGCTTAATAACTTATTAGTAACTGTGGTAATGATGACAAATAAAGCAGTTTGAATCATTCTGAATATGTTACTATTTACTTCCAAATGTTCAGAGTTTAGAGCATGTAGATTTAAAAGTTCAGATGACTGTTGCCATGAGCCACACAAAAGGGCACCAAGTCTCCTGAGATGGGAAAAAGAAATTGATTTCTCTGTGTTTTTTATACTCCACAACACTCTTGAAAAGCACTTTCTGGGCACATAACTATTGATCTACTGCTCTGGGGTAAATATGAGATCACATGAAAATGAAACGTGTCATTCTTTTGATTCATGCAAGATGCCTTTTAAAGTTCATCAGAGTCATAAAAGCATGTGGGCATATGTAGGCTCCATTCACCTGCAATAAAACGAGAATTAGGGAGGGCTGATGTTCCTTTTAAATTTGACTCTGAGTATTCTGTTTCATTATCACAGAAATGTAGTAAACATATAATGCCTAAAACTAGTATTATAAATTGTGAAACCATTTCAAATGTGATATTACTCTGTAAATTTTTATTGGGTTTTGGGAAATTTATCTGGCTGTGACACATTAAAAGAAATCAAATAAAACCTTTAATGGCTGAATATGGAAACGTTTTATAAGATTTTAAAATCATGCATTTTTAAAACCAGCATCTAAATTATTTAGCACCATTCAGAAATTTTCTAGAAGTTGTAGATTTTTAATCACATGTGATCCTTCATAGTTTAATGCAATGAAATTGATATGTCTACATAATAAAGCAATTTCAAGAGGTTTATAATAATTAGCCCAATATTTGCTGAATAATTAAGAGGTAACAAAATGGTTCTATTCTCTTTAAGCTATCATTAGGTTAAGATACATATGGAGATTAAAGATTTTTGCCTCATGTGCAAAGCCTATTCTATTTTAACCCAGGGGTTCTCAATCAGGGGCAATTTTGCCCCCCAGAGAACATTTGGCAATGTCTGGAGAGACATTTTTGGTTGTCACAATTGCAGTGGGCAGGGATGGGGGTGCTACTGACATCTAGTGGGTAGAGACCAGGGACACTGCTGAACATCCCGCATTATGTAGGGTAGCTCCACCACAAAGAATTATCTGGGTCCCCAAAGACAATAGTGCTGAGGTGGAGAAACCTTGTTTCAACCTAATGTTGCTACTTTCATTGTATAAATGATTTTGGGGCCAGGTGCGGTGGCTTATGTCTGTAATCCCAGCACTTTGGGATACCAAGGAGGGGAGGATCACTTGAGGTCAGGAGTTCGAGACCAGCCTGACCAACATGGTGAAACCCTTTCTCTATTTTAAAAATACAAAAATTAGCCAGGCATGGTGGCACGTGCCTGTAATCCAAGGTACTTGGGAGGCTGAGGCAGGAGAGTTGCTTGAGCCCAGGAGGCGGAGGTTGCAGTGAGCGGAGATCACACCACTGCACTCCAGCCTGGGCAACAGAGTGAGACTGTCTCAAAAAAAAAAAAAAAAAAAGATGATTTTGGATAATAGATCATGTATGCCTTCCTAGTTTCCCAATATTAGAAATAGTAACTTAGGGTCTAGTGTTTTAGAGACAATTTTGGTGCTGACACCTTAATTGGCATCATTACTTTTATTGTTGACATGTATAAATAAATAAGTCCTATACTGAGGAAACCTCCTAGATGTAGGTGTAGTGAATTTTCTCTATACCTGCTTAGGTAACAATGATTGAGTTCAATCTTGAACTCAGTCTTGACTGCTGCCTAGCAACTTCTTGTCTCAGTACTGCACAGTTTACCTTGAAGAGTTCTGAACTTGGACTTGTTCATCTTAAACTGAGAAGAATGCAAAGAGTTTGCTTATAAACTTTTGCACTGCTTGTACAAAATGAAGTTTTAATTTAACTTCAGTCTTTTCTCTTTTTTTTTTTTTTTTTTTTTGCTGGGATTACAGGCGTGAGCCACTGTGCCCACCCTCTTTTCTCTTTTAAAACTCTGTTTTTCTCTACGGTGAGCACAGCATTTTGATATGTTATTCTTATGAAGGTTCCCCCTATATTATCACTATCAGCCTAACTTATCAATTTGCAAATTTCCTCTGTTTGTCCTTTTATTAACTACCATTTTAAAATTTGAGGTTATTTCCATTAACCCAACTAGTAAGAAGAAAGAAATTAGCAGTTAAAGGCCTAAATAATGTTTCTCTAAAGATTATCATTTAATAAACTTATGGGATACTGCTTAAAATGAAAGATCAGTCAAATATATATACAATATGTGTTATAAGCTTATAATTTATCATTTATTCCATATTCTTTTTTTAAATTTATTACTTTTTTATTTTTTATTATGGGTACATAATAGTTGTATATATAGCATACATGTGATGTTTTGATACAGGCATACAATTTATAATGATCAAATCAGGGTAATTGGGGCACCCATCACCTCAAGAATTTATCATTTCTTTGTGTTAGGAACAGTCCAATTCCCCTCTTTTATATTAAAATATACAATAAATTAGGCCAGGTGCGGTGGCTCATGCCTGTAATCACAGCACTTTGGGAAGCTGAGGCAGGCAGATGACTTGAGGCCAGGAGTTCAACACCAGCCCGGCCAACATGGCGAAACCCTGTCTCTACTAAAAACACAAAAATTTGCCAGGCATGGTGGCATGCACCTGTAACTCCAGCTTCTTGAGAGGCCAAGGCACGAAAATTGCTTGAACCCAGAAGCTGGAGGTTACAGTGAACTGAGATCATGCCACTGCACTCCAGCCTAAGCGACAAAGCAAGACTCTGTCCCCCTGCCTCAAAAAAAAAAAAAAAATATATATATATATATGTGTGTGTGTGTGTGTGTATATATATGTATGCACACACAATAAATTATTGTTAACTATAGTCACCCTATTGTTATGTGTACTTTTATTTTAGGAAATACTGGTAAATAGCTTATTGAAATGTTGTAGCAATATATACTTTCATGAGAATGCATGACTTTGCTAATATCCTCACATTCACCAACACTGGATATTATTACTCTTAATCTTAGCCATCTTATAAGTAAAATTAATTTCTTTTTGTTTAAATTTGAATTATTAGTGAGGTTGGGAATAGTTGTGTATTCTTTTGTTTTAACTTTCAGGTTCAGGGGTACATGTGCAGGTTTGCTATATAGGTACATTGCATGTCCTGGGGGTTTGGTGAACAGATTATTTTGTCACCCAGATAATAAGCATTGTACCTGATAGGTAGTTTTCTGATCCACACCCTCCTCCCACCCTCCACCCTCAAGTAGGCCCCAGTGTCTGTTGTTCCCTTCTTTGTGTCCATATGTACTCAAGGTTTAGCTTCTACTTGTAAGTGAGAACATGCAGTATTTGGTTTTCTGTTCCTGTGTTAGTTTGCTTAGGATAATGGCCTCCAGCTTCATCCATGTTGCTGCAAAGGACATGATCTCATTCTTTTTTATAGCTGCATAGTATTTCATTGTATATATGTACCACATTTTTTAAATCCAGTCTACTGTTGATGGTCGTTTAGGTTGATTCCATGTCTTTGCCATTGTGAATAGTGCTGTGATGAACATACATGTACATCTGTCTTTATGGCAGAATGATTTATATTCCTTTGGGCATATACCCAGTAATGGGATTGCTGGGTCGAATCCAGTCCTAGCTGCCAGCATCGCTATACTATTAACTGATTGTAACCTCAATACTACTTTCTTTGACCCTGCCAGTGGAGGTGACTCTATCTTATATCAACATTTATTCTGATTTTTTGGTCACCCCAAAGTCTATATCCTTATCCTACCAGGTTTCGGAATAATCTCCCATATTGTAACATATTATTCCGGGAGAACTCCAAACTGCTTTCCACATTGACTGAACTAATTTCCCACCAGCAGCATATAAGTGTTCCCTTTTCTCCACACCCCCACCAGAATGTTATTTTTTGACTTTTTAATAATAGCAGTGCTGATAGATGTGAGATGTTCTCTCATTGTGGTTTTGATTTGCATTTCTCTAATGATTAGTGATGTCGAGGTTTTTTTCATATGCCTGTTTGACCATGTGTATGTCTTCTTTTGAAAAGTGTTAGCTCATGTCCTTTGCCCACTTTTTAATGGGGGATTGTTTAGTTTTTGCTTGTAAATTTGTTTAAGTTCCTCACAGGTTCTGGATATTAGACCTTTGTCAGATACATAGTTTGCAAATATCTTTTCCCATTCTGTAGGTTGTCTGTTTACTCCGTTGATAGTTTCTTTTGTGTACAGAAGCTGTTTAGTTTAATTAGGTCCCATTTGTCAATGTTTGGTTTTGTTGCAGTTTCTTTTGGAGACTTCATCATGAAATCTCTGTGAGGTCCTATGTCCAGAATGATATTTCCTAGGTTATCTTCCAGATTTTTATAGTTTTAGCTTTACATTTGGGCCTTTAATCCATCTTGAGTTGATTTTTGTATGTGGTGTAAGGAAGGGGTCCAGTTTCAGTCTTCTGCATATGGCTAGCCAGTTATCCCATCACCTTTTATTGAATAGGGAATACTTTTGCTCTTCTTTTTTTTTTTTTTTTTTTTTTTGTCGATTTTGTTGAAGATCAGATGGTTTTAAGTGTGCCTTATTTCTGGGCTCTCTATTCTGTTCCATTGGTCTATGTGTCTGTTTTTGTACCAATACCATGCTGTTTTGGTTACTGTAGCCCTGTAGTATAGTTTGAAATCAGATTATATGATACCTCCAGCGATGTTCTTTTTGCTTAGAATTGCCTTGGCTATTTAGCCCGTTTTTTGGTTCCATGTGAATTTTAAAATAGTTTTTTCTAGTTCTGTGAAGAGTGTCATTGATAGTTTGATAGGAATAGCATTGAATCTGTAAATAGCTTTGGGCAGTATGGCCATTTTAATGATATTTTAGGTTCAGAGGTATATGAGCAGGTTTATTATATAGTTACATTGTGTGTCGTGGGGGTTTGGTATACAGATTATTTTGTCACCCAGGTAATAAGCAAGTCTCTGCGAGTCAGAGTCACCGTGTCCCACTTCTGTCCTTTATGTTTGTTTTCAGGAGATTGCCTTAACTTGAATCCTGTGGGCTTTCGTTTTTTACCTTTAAACTTCCTGCCATTTTTCCAGGTCTATCCTGATTATCACCTCCTTTGAGAAACCTTTCTTTGCTTTTGCTTTAGTTATAGCTTTATAAGTGACTTGTCACATCTAGTAACTTCATCCTTTCCTTGTCCTGTGCTCCCATAGCATTTTGTTCACATTTGTACATGCATCTATTGCTGACATGATTTACTTTTGTGTCCTGCAAATTGTAAGTTCCTGGAGGACAGGGACTATATTTGGTTCATTTTTGCATTTTTCATAGCCCATGATTATTTGATTGTCGAATATAACTGAATTGACTAGTCTTCATCATAAACTGAAGTTCTAAGAAGCCCAAAACTGTTGGAAATGAAGTGTCTTGAGGTATATTTGATTTTTTTTTCTCATTCCTAGCTTAGGATTAAAAGCGACAACAACAAAGAAAACCAAACAAAAACCCAACTTCCAGAATCGATCATAAACAAAGAATCCTGGAATGTTTTTGTCTTCATCCTGATATTTTATGTCTTTTTTTTTTTTTTTTTTTTGAGACAAGGTCCCACTCTATCACCCAGACTGAGTGCAGCGGCGCCATCTTGGGTCACTGAAACCTCTGCCTCCTGGGCTCAAGCGAGCCTCCCACCTCAGCCTCTTGAGTAGCGGGGACTACAGACATGCGCCACCATGCCTGGCCAATTTTTTTATTATTTGTAGAGATGAGGTTTTGCCACATTGCTCAGGTTGGAATGCCCTATTTTAAGATGAGAAAATCTTATGAAACTAGCATATTCAAAAGGCTCACCAAATTTTGTAGGTTAATTAACAGCCATAACTGTTATGAACTTTGACTTATTTTTCACAGGCTAATTTTTTTTACTTCAGAGAATATTAATTACTACTGTTTGGAAATAAAAATTAACTCAGAGAAACTGAGTGAGTGTCATTTTGCCAACATATTTATAAAGTGGAAATTTAAAGGACAGTTTCTTAAATGGAATGCATGAGCATCTGTCTTTTTGTGTCTCATTCTGTGAATGATTCCCAATAAGGAATAATGAGTCCCATGTAGTCAAAGCAAGACTGTATTGACTCTTCTGATATTTTCTCCTAGATACTCAATTATTTACACTGCTTCTTGGTGTTATATTGAAAGTTTTCCATGGTCTTGGCACATAATGCTTATTTTTCTGGGCTAAAAACTCATGCAGCCATGCATGGAGTTAGGATTTTCAGTCTTTAATCACTTATTTGGCTGCCTGGTTGGAGTTTACCCTAAAGTGTTCAGCCTTGTCCATCCATACTTTACAAAGAGATAGAGGTAGAGGAGGCTGGGTGCGGTGGCTCACATCTGTAATCCCAGCACTTTGGGAGACTGAGGCGGGCAGATTACCTGAGGTCAGGAGTTGGAGACCAGCCTGGCCAACATGGTGAAACCCCATCTCTACTAAAAATACAAAAAATTAGCTGGGCGTGGTGACACACGCCTGAAATCCCAGCTACTTGGAAGGCTGAAGCAGAATTGCTTGAACCCGGGAGGTGGAGGTTGCAGTGAGCTGAGATCGTGCCATTGCACTCCAGCCTGAGTGACAGAGCAAGACTGTCTCAAAAAAACAAAAAAAGAAAGAAAGAACGAGGTAGAGGGGGCATTAGATCACGTGCCACTTTGTTTAGATGCTCTCATTTTCATAACAGAACCTTAAACTAAGTTCCTCCTGGTTGGTATACAAAGCGTATAAATTAATCAACACCTCAACATTTCTGCCCTTAGGTTTTGGCCCGTGAAAATGACCTTGAATTCTCTACCAAGTGATAGTTATCAAGTGTGCTGTAATGAGAAATGTTGTTTTGGTAGGACTGTAAAAGACCTGCATGCAAGGTCTCCATTCCTACAAATCAAATATGTCACATAGGTTGTTGTAGGTAGCCACTCACGCATCTTGTACCCACGATAAACATTGTTAATCAGTCACAGAACATTTTCCTTCTGAGCATGGACTCAGCCACAGAACTTCACAACACAGTTTATTTAGGCAGCTAATATGAATGGATCAGAGTTGACATGCAAATTGAAACCTACTTGCCATGCTGGGGAATAATAACCTAAATGCTACCATGGATTAATCCAGACCATTCCCTGTTGGGGTGATTGGACCCAACACCAGGTCTTGGGGGAGATGAAGTCCGTCGGACTCAAAGGAATGAGAAAAGACAGTTTGAGAGAGAAAGTGGGACCAGGGGGCCATCACTAAGTATGGAGGCTGTGAAGGCCCCGAGCTCTGGAAGCCCAGACTATTTATTGGTGATCAAACAAAGAAACAGGTGGTGAGAATGTGGGGTTGAAAAGGAGCGTTGCATTAAGCACATGATTTACAGCTGTGATGGTTTAGCATATGCTCTGCTACTTGAGATAACGGAGAGCAGGTTCTTTTAACTCAAGATACAATCGCTCCTAGGAGAGCAAGGAGCCAGCAAGTCTAGACACATTCCAGGGCCATGAGGGGTTTTATGCCCTGAGCCCTGGATTCTATCTAAGCAGGAGGGGTTTTATGCCCTAGGCTTAGATTATGGTGCAGCAGGGTAGCCTTCCACCCTTTAGCACAGAGCTTGGTGTTCCAGAGGCCACAAGGGGTTTTAGACCATGGACCCCGGACATGGTCCAAGACTCTTTTACATTATGTCAGACATGCAAGCCCTGCATCAGCTTCTCCCAACACTCAGCTTTTCTCCCAACAATTCCCAACGTGTGTACAGTCTATGGAGTTGAACAGGAAGGTTTGTATAGTCATAGAATTGACTTAATGGACTGTGCTTTGTGATTGTAACAATAGCTTACATTGAAGGAAACTGTGTAATTCTTTAGGACACTTATTTCCCACTTAGCTCACAACCTTATCTTTCTGAGGATTCAGGGTTTCTTTTGGCATTGAAAATCAAGAAAAACTGTAGTTCTCAAAATCAATCAAACAAGCAAACAAAACTCTGGCTTTTAGTTTATGAACACTGGGCTGGGTGCAGTGGCTCACACCTTATAATCCTAGCACTTTGGGAGGCTGAGGTGGATGGATTACCTGAGGTCAGGAGTTCAAGAACTAGCCTGGCCAGCATGGTAAAACCCCATCTCTACTAAAAGAAAAAAAAATTAGCCAGGCATGGTGGCGTGTGCCTGTAGTCCCAGCTACTCAGGTGGCTGAGGCTCGACAATCTCTCGAACCCAGGAGGAGGAGGTTGCAGTGAGCCAAGATGATGCCACTGCACTCCAGCCTGGGCGACAGAGCGAGACTCTGTCTCAATTATATATATTATTAACACTGGAAAACCTTAAAATGATGGTGATTCTCTCTTGCTATGGGCATTCAGAAGCTTAGAGCCAAATCTCTGGCCCACCTTTAGCAAGGACATTTTCCTCTGTGCTAAGAAGGAAAAAGTTCAGGCTTGGTGACTTGTTTATTTTATCATTGGCTGCATTATTCTCTTTCCTTTAAACTTCCCTTTCCGTGGTTCCTTCAGCTATTTCTTTTATCCAATATTGTCTTTAATTTTGAAACTGCCTCAAATCATTTGTGGAAGAAGATGAGCTGTTGCTAACTACATAAAAATGAACACAGTAACTTAATACAAACCATATTTGGTCCCAATTTTTGTTTCTGTTTTCAGGCAAGAAATGTCTTACATTTGAAACATTTTCTATACATGAGGCAGAATTCTCAGGGTCAGGGTGAACTTAATAAAAATGTTTTGTTGAAAAATTGTTCTTTTCTCTGTGCTCCTTCTAGCTCAACTTTGTGAATGTTCCCACTGTCTTCAAGGCAGAAATAGAACAGAAGGTGGGAAAAGAAGGGAACTAATATGTGATTCTAAAATCTTTACTGTTTAAAAAAATAAAAGTGAAATATTTATTGCTGGTAGATGAAGAATTATGTGTAGCAAATCTTGCTGCTATGAGAGGGAAAAAGTGTAGCTCTATACACAAGTAAAAAGGGCATACAAACAGTGAAGATTTATTGTGTAAAAGACTGTAGTAAGTACTATAAATGTGGCTTCCTGTGTTTGCTGCCCAGAAATATCCTACTAATCAGATCAAGAAAGCCTGGCTATGAAAAAATATGGCATCCTGGCCAGGTGCGGTGGCTCATGTCTGTAATTCCAGCACTTTGGGAGGCCCAGGTGGGTGGATCACCTGAGGTCAGCTGTTCAAGACCAGCCTGACCAACATGGTGAAACCCCGTCTCTACTAAAAATACAAAAAATTAGCTGGGCATGGTGTTGCATGCCTGTAATCCCAGCTACTCAGGAGGCTGAGGCAGGAGAATCACTTGAACCTGGGAGGTGGAGGTTGCAGTGAGCCGAGATCAGCCATTGCATACCAGCCTGGGCAACAAGAGTGAAACTCTGTCTCAAAAAAAAAAAAAAAAAGAAAAAAGAAAAAATATGACATCCTAAATAACCACTGTGTTTAATGACATATCAGATTTTACATTCTAGTTCAAGCTTATCTCAGCTTGAACCAGAGTACCTAGCAGTTCATAGGCTAGCACTTGAGTAGCACTGCCTTCTATCATTTATAGTTTAGTTCCTGGCATATAACTAAGCAGTCACTGAACAGATAAAGGAATTAATGAATCATAAAATTATTCATTTAGCAATATTTAAAGGGTATTTGCTGATGCCCCAGGTACTGTGTTAACTGCCAGGAGTACAAAGTTGGGCAAATTGGTCAGAGTCCCTGCTCTTAGGGAATTTACATTATAGTAAACAACCAACCAACAAATAATCAAATAATTTCAAATACTGAGAAACACTATGAAGAAAATAAAATAGGTAATAGAGATGGAGAGGTGAAGCTGTTACTCAAAGTGTCTTTTTGTTTTGTTTTGTTTTGTTTTGTTTTGAGACGAAGTCTCGCTCTCACCCAGGCTGGAGTGCAATGGCGTGATCTCGGCTCACTGCAACCTCCGCCTCCTGGGTTCAAGTGATTCTCCTGCCTCATCTTCCTGAGTAGCTGAGATTACAGGTGCCCACCACCGCGCCTAGCTAATTTTTGTATTTTTAGTAGAGACAGTGTTTCGCCATGTTGGCCAGGCCAGTCTCGAACTCCTGACCTCAGGTGATCTGCCTGCCTCGGTCTCCCAAAGTGCTGGGATTATAGGCATGAGCCACCGTGCCAGCCTCAGAGTGTCTTATAGAACCTCAGGATTGCATCTCCTGGCAGCATGCTTGAAATCTAGAATCTCAAGTCACATCGCGGAACCACTGCATCAGAGTCTGCATTGTAACATGATCTTCGGGTGATCTCTGGGCACAGTGCAGATTGAGAGGCTCTGGATACAACTTCAGATATGGTTGTCAGGAAAAACATATCTAAAGAGGTGACATTTTAGCTAAGTACTGAATAATGAGAAAACTCCAGCCATGTAAAGATCCGAGTAAAGAGTGGTCCAAACAATGGGAACAACAAAAGAAAATGTTCAGAGACAGGAATGAACATGGGAAGACCAGTATAGGTGGATCAGAGTGAGAAAGGGACCTGGAACTCTCTACACTCTGGTATTTATCAAAAACCCTGTGGTGAGAAATTATTTATTTATTTATTTATTTTTGAGACGGAGTTTCGCTGTTGTTGCCCAGCCGGGAGTGCAATGGTGCAATCTCGGCTCACTGCAACCTCTGCCTCCCAGGTTCAAGCAATTCTCCTGCCTCAGCCTCCCTAGTAGCTGGGATTACAGGCATGTGCCACCATGCCTGGATAATCTTCTATTTTTCGTAGAGATGGGGTTTCTCCAGGTTGGTCAGGCTGGTCTCAAACTCCTGACCTCAGGTGATCTGCCCGCCTCAGCCTCCCAAAGTGCTGGGATTACAGGCATGAGCTGCTGCGCCTGGCCACGAGAATTGTTGATTTTGAGTGACTGCACAAAGTTCTGCATGCAAGACCTCTATTTCTACAAAGCAGAGGTACCAGGTAGGTTATTGCATGCAGCCACTTACCTATCCTGCACCCACAGCATTGTTAACTGAGTACAGAACTTTTTCTTTCTGAGCCTGGACAAAGCCCCCAAACTTCTCAACATAGTTATTCAGGCAGCTACTACAAATAGTTCAGAGTTAACATGTGAGTTGAAACCTATTTGCCATCCTGGGGAAAGATGATCTAAATGCTACCCTGGATTAAGCCAGACCATTGAGGGCTTGTGTATTCAAGTGAACAGAAATATGTTGATGGTTCATGGAATTTTTTTTTTTTTTGATACAGGGTCTCAGTCTGTTGCCCAGGCTGTAATGCCGTGGTGTGATCACGGCTCACTGCAGCCTCAGCCTCCCTAGGCTCAGATGATCCTCTCACTTCAGCCTCCCAAGTAGCTGGGACTACAAGCATACATCACCACACTCAGCTAATTTTGTAGAGATGGGGCTTCACCATGTTGTCCAGGCCGGTCTCTAACTCGTGGGCTCATGCAATCCTCCTGCCTCAGCCTCCCAAACTACTGGGATTACAGGCCTGAGCCACTATGCCTGGCCAATTCATAGAATTGATTTAATGCACTGTGCTTTGTGATTGTGCCAACAGTTTCCATTGAGGGGATTTGGGTGTCACTCCTTATGACACATAGTTCCCACTAGGCTCACTACATCATCTTTATGAGGAAACTGTATTTCTCTCAGGACTAAAATTCAAGAAAAACTGCTTCTATAAAAACAAAACAGCCGGGCACGGTGGCTCCCGCCTGTAATCCCAGCACTTTGGGAGGCTGAGGCAAGTGGATCACCTGAGGCCAGGAGTTCGAGACCAGCCTGGCCAGCATGGTGAAACCCCGTCTCTACTAAAAATACAAAAATTAGCTGGGCATGGTGGCGGGCGCCTGTAATCCCAGCTATTTGGGAGGCTGAGGCAGGAGAATCACTTGAACCCGGGAGGCAGAGGTTGCAGTGAGCCGAGATCATGCCATTGCACTCCAGCCTGGGCAACAAGAGTGAAATTCCATTAAAAAAAAAAAAAAAAAAAAAAAGGCCGGGTGCAGTGGCTCACACCTGTAATCCCAGCACTTTGGGAGGCCGAGGCGGGTGGATCACCTGAGGTCGGGAGTTCAAGACCAGCCTGACCAACATGGAGAAACCCCATCTCTACTAAAAATACAAAATTAGCCGGGCATGATGGTGCATGCCTGTAATTCCAGCTACTCAGGAGGCTGAGGCAGGAGAATCGCTTGAACCTGAGGGCCGAAGGTTGCAGTGAGCTGAGATCGCGCCATTGCACTCCAGCCTGGGCAACAAGTGCAAAACTCTGTCTCAAAAAAAAAAAAAAAAAAAAGGGAAAAGAAAAAAAGCCAGTTTTTATCTTATGAACAGTAAAAACCTAAAAATGATTGCTATTTCCTCTTTTCTATGGCTATTCAACAGCTTAGTTAGGGTCAAATTTCTGGCCTACTTCTGACAACTGTTCTGGATCTGATGGAGTGCAAACTTAAATGTTAATCTTATCATTGGCCACATCATTCTCCTTCCATTAAGCTCTCCTTTCACTGGTTCCTTCCCCTATTTTTAAATCTACTAATGTCTATATTTTAGGACGCTGCCTCAAATCATTTGTGGAAGAAGGTGAAGTAGAACTACTTGTATAAAAATAAACTCAGTAATTTATATAGACTGTATTTGGACCAATTTCTGTGAATTCATTTTTCAGGCAAAAAATGACTGACAGTTGAAACATTTTATAAATGAGGCAGAGTTCTCAGGGTCAGGGCGAGCATAATGAAAGTGTTCTGTTGAAAGTTGTTCTTTTCTCTGTGTTCCTTCTAGCCCAACATTTTGAATATTCTCACTGTCTTCAAGCCAGAAATGCAAGGGAGGAGAAGAAAAAAGAACTGTGTGATAGTAAAATCTTTATTGTTGGCATATGAAGCAATATAAGTAGCAAATTTTACTTCTACAAAGGGGGGAAATTATATATTTCTATACATGTGGAAGAGTAGATATTCAGTGAAGATTTTTTGATAATTTATTGTGTAAAGAAATGTACTAAATACTATAAAAGTGGCTTCCTATGTTTACTACCCCCAAATATTCCTACTAATGACCTGAGATTACCAACTCCTTTTCCACCTATTAACCTTTTGCCACATCTTCCCCAATTTTCTCATCCAAACCCAAGTTGGGGCAACTTCAGACTGTAAGCTTCTTGAGGCTTGTCTTGTTTGTCAGGGGAGCATGTACTCAATAAATGAAATTTGCATGAATGAGTCAGAGATTTATGTACACAGGGGAAGAAAGCTGGTTATAGCTTCTTCATATTTTTCACGTGGACCCAGAGTTGTAAATTGAGGGAAGAAGGATAGCAGAGTAATCTCAAAGCACAAAGTGGGGGTGATGTCTTCACACGCCCTCAGCAGCAACGGGGCACTGGGTGCTTAGGAAAGCCCATCTGAAGGAGACATCAGGAAGTAGAGGAATTCTGTTTTTTCCACTCATCTGCCTAGTATTTAAGGTCGGCTAAGAGGCTAGAAGGAACACATCCACAGTTCTGCTTTAGAGGATATGAAAATTGGGCTGGAAGGAACACGGGTCCACAGTTCGAGTTCAGAGGACATAAAAACTGGCTCAAAGAAACTCGGGTAAATTGGACATGAAAACTAGCGGGAAAGGACACGTTCAGTGTTTGTTTCCCTACTGAGTCACCTGTTCCCAGCACATAAAGTCGTGGTGTTTGGAGATGGGAGGAACCGAGGGAAAGTCACTTTTTAGATAAGGCTCTGAAGCCCCAGGTCTAGTTTCAATCCACTAATGCGGCCAGCGGCGAGCAGGAGGAGGGAGGATTGGTCCGGCGGGGGCGGGGCCAGAGCAGGGCTCAGAGGCGTGGCCCAGGCTAGAGGGAAGAGCCCAGGGGGAGCGCAGAGGCGGGGCTAGGAGGGAGCAGGGGTGAATGGGGGCGTGGCCCGGGCGAGAGGGGCGTGGCTGTAGCTAAAGGGGTGTGGCCAGGGTGGAGGGCAGAGACTGGCACAGTTTGGTTGGGCGTGACCGGGGCAATAAGTACGGACGTAGTGGGGCGTGGATCTGCCAGGTGGGGGCGTGGCCTCCATTGAGGGGCGTGGCCCTGGTATGTGGGGCGTAACAGGGCACGAGGGGGCGTAGCTTCGATGGCCGGACGTGCAGGCTGCGGATCCCCGTAGGCGAGCGAGCGGCTAGGTTCGTGATCTGGAGAGACGCTCAGGTAAGGACGGGTGGCCGAGAGGAGTGGGGGGCGACCAGGGACAGGCCGATCCAGACAGGGCCGTGATTCTTCCCACGACTCTCCGCTCTGGCGCACCGGGTTCCGGAGCTAGGAGAGCTGTTGATCCTGCGAGTATTGTCTGGGTCCCGGCAGGGCGCCCGGGAGTACTGAGTGGGGCCTAATGGGGTGTCGAACTCCCCCACCCCAGCCCTCTTCCTCCACTATGGGAGTTACCAAACGGCTGTCATCCTTTAAGGTTCTTTGCACAGGACGCGATAACAGCTGTTCCAGAGAAAAGGGGGTGGGGGCGCGGGAGAGCAGTTCCTTGGTAGGTAGGGTTGCCAAGGTTGGTTGAATCCAAATAACTCCAGAAAGTCCAGCCTTCTGTGAAATAGCTAGAGACGGGGGTAAGGGCGACAAATCTGAGGTTGCGGTTCCAGAAACCGAGGCTCAGTAAACTGGAACTCCCTCAGATCTGCATTGTATCCGCACCACCCACTATGCTAGGGGCTGTGGAGAGACTCACAGCCACTCACCCCCAAGACAGGGTATCAGCATCACAACTGTGCCATGCGGGCAAATCTGAGCTTTCTTCACCCTGCAGTTCTTTCTTCTGGCCTTTTTGTTTTGTGCTCAGCCCTAAAGCTGAAGGAGAGGAACCTCCAAATACAAACCTTGTTGGTTTTCGTGATTCTTGTGGCATTCAATGTTAAATGCTTCTGCCCCGAGGCTTGTGGCAATTGGTTAATATTGATGTCAGTGCCCTTCCCTCCTGTGTATTTTCGCTGGGAAAGTTTGAGAGATAAGGGGAGTTGATGTGTACAACTTAGTTTGAAAAGAACTTGTTCTCTCCTAGCCACTGAAAACCGCGTTGCTTTCTGCTTCCCATTCTTCCTTTACTGATAATCTGGCCATCACTCTGCTGTTTAAAAGTCTTGCTAGAGTATGGAGACAAGTAGTGCTATTTCTGTGGTGAGAGAAGCTGCCCCAGAGCA
This sequence comes from Homo sapiens, assembly GCF_000001405.40. Taxonomy (NCBI): domain Eukaryota; kingdom Metazoa; phylum Chordata; class Mammalia; order Primates; family Hominidae; genus Homo; species Homo sapiens. The sequence goes on from NC_000023.11 coordinate 15,739,348, forward strand.
TACCCTTGAATTGTCCCTGCACATCTCTCAGGAGTGGCCACTCTTCTTGGGTATGTTGGAAGTGGAAAACCGTAAAGCTTTCTAGGAATATTTTTTACTGAGGTTTTTTTTTTTTTTTAACCTCAGCATCAGGGTTGGAATTCACTGAAATGCCAAAAGCAGCAAGGGCACCGTTCTCTGTGCCTGTACACACCTGCCCTCTTCTCCCTGGAGCCAGGCAAAAAGCTGCAACCACTCACAATTGGAACGCAGTAAAGGTTGAGTGAATTGTGAGTGAATGAATGAATATGAATATTTGGGAAATTTGACGGAAAGGGGAAAATGCATTTCATCTGATTGGTGGCACTGGGCAATTAATTGCAGCACAAAGAGCAGTTATTAGAAACATATTCTGAAACCTTTGGCTACCACACATTGGGATCATGCTCCCAGGGAAGAAGTGGGTGAGAGGGGGAAGCTGAGCTTTCTCAGTCAAGATATCGCAGCATAATCTCTAATTTAGATTTCAGGGAATTGCAAAAAGGCTTGTTGCCTTTTGAAATCAGGTGGTGATCAAAGGAAGGGTCCATCTGTTGAAAATGAAGGAATTTTTTTCCAATGTAATTGTAACCTTTAGTCAGAGTACATTCTTTTTTTTCTGTCTGTTTTGCCTACATATGAATGGCTTAATCAGGCAGAGTTCAAGCTGCTTGTCATTTAATAAATACAAGATTTATGAATGACTCATTGAGGGCTTTCAAAATCTTTGTTTCCACGCATTTCTAAGTCTGGAAAACAGCTAAGGGGCAGGTTAGCAAAATCCAAGGATATACATAAATCATCAGTGATGGCAAAGAGTATATAACACAGAAAGCTCCCCTGTAGTCCATCGAGCCCAGGGACCCATCTTTATGGACAAACTTATGTACGGACAGATTCTCCCTGAAATACAGTAATGTATGGTATTAGTTGATATGTGCTGTGTTTGCTGGTTAAACATTATTTTTGGTTTCACAAACTTGGGTTTTATGAATGCAGTGAGTAAGTTTAAATAACCAACTCTTAAAAAACTATAACTTCTAATTTAACAGAGAGGATAGACCTTAGGCCTGAACAAAAATAACCTCATGTATTGTTATAGGTATTGCAATCAAGCATTAGCTAAATTGAATTTCTGTTTACTTGGATTTTCCTGGAACCTCCTCACCTGGATCTTCCAAGCTCTGCGCCTTCCTTGATTGCCTTTGACCGTTCTCAGTCTCAGCATCCTTCATGGCTCCTTTTTGTGAGTCTCCCTTGATATACCTGTAACTGCTGGGAGGAGGGGATTCTCTTTCTATCTGTAGCTTCCTGACTGCTCCTGAGCACCAGAGCTGTGTTGCCAACTCTCTCCTAGACCTTTCCTCTCAGCTATCCCATTGACACCTTAAATCCAATATGATTAGAGGGCTGGGCGCCATGGCTCACGCCTGTACGCCTGTAATCCCAGCACTTTGGGAGGCTGAGGCGGGTGGATCGTTTGAGGCCAGGAGTTCGAGACCAGCCTGGACAACATGGCGAAACCCCGTCTCTACCAAAAATACAAAAATTAGCTGGACGTGGTGGTACGCCTGTGGTCCCAGCTACTTGGGAGGCTGAGGTGGGATAATCACTTGAGCGTGGGAGGCGGAGGGTACAGTGAGCCAAGATCGTGCCACTGCACTCCAGCGTGGGTGACAGAGACCCCATCTCGTTCTGTTTTTCTTTTTCTTTTTTTTTTGAGACGGAGTCTCGCCCTGTCACCTAGGCTGGAGTGCAGCGGCACAATCTCGGCTCACTGCAACCTCCGCCTCCTGGGTTCAAGTGATTCTCCTGCCTCAGCCTCCCGAGTAGCTGGGCTTATAGGCTTGCACCACCATGCACGGCTAATTTTTGTACTTTTAGTGGAGATGGGGTTTTGCTATGTTGGCCAGGCTGGTCTGGGACTCCTGCCATCAAGTGATCCACCCTCCTCGGCCTCCTAAAGTGCTGGGATTACAGGCGTGAGCCTCTGCACCTGACCCGGAGACCCTGTCTCAAAAAAAAAAAAAAAAAAAAATCCCATTTGATTAGAGGTATGACCTGCCATCATCTTTCCCTTCCCTGTTTCTCATGACAGGTTTGTGGGGGATTTTGTTTGTTTGTTTTTTTTTGAGACAGTGTCTTGCTGTGTCGCCCAGGCTGGAGTGCAGTGGCACGATCTCAGCTCACTGCAACCTCTGCCTCCTGGGTTCAAGCAATTCTCTGCCTCAGCCTCCCGAGTACAGGCGCCCGCCACCACGCCTGGCTCATTTTTGTATTTTTAGACAAAAATCTCTAGACGAGGTTTCACCATCTTGGCCAGGCTGGTCTGGAACTCCTGACCTCTTGATCCACCCGCCTCGGCCTCCCAAAGTGCTGGGATTACAGATGTGAGCCACTGTGCCCGGCCTAACAAATTCTATTTTTCTGTACAGGGATTCATCCTCGTCTTACTGCTAGCATCACTCCAGCCATTAAATGAGATCTTCCTCCACTTCTTCCTTTTATTCTCCTTTAACTGAGTGACAGACCCTACATTTTAAAAATCACAATGGCTATCTTTGAATACCAAGTACCCTGTCCAACTATACTGTCACTGCCCAGTTCAGTGCTTCATATTCTCTTACTCAGATTATTGGAGTTTCACTTCAAACTCCACATGCTTAAACCTGAGCTACTTATTTCCCACCCAAAACCTGTTTCTCCCACTGTCTCCCCTATCTCAGTTTGTGGTAACTTTATCTTTCCAGTTGTGTAGACCAAGAATCTTCCAGTAATCCTTAACTCCTTTCTTTCACATCTTATGGGCTGTATATTCAAGATATATCAAAATTCAACCACTTCTTACCACCTCCACTGTGACATCTCTGGATTAGTTCAAGCCTTGGATTATCCCTAAAGGGTTTTCCTACTTCTTTCCTACTTCCTGCTTCTTTCCTGTTCCTCCCTGTTTCTACTCCCCAAGGCAATTTTCAACAGGACATGCTGTGATGTTTTTCTGTTTTTTTGGGTTTTTTTTGAGACGGAGTCTCGCTCTGTCACTCTGATGCCAGGCTGGAGTGCGGTGGCGCAATCTCAGCTCACTACAACCTCCACCTCCTGGGTTCAAGCAATTCTCCTGCCTCAGCCTCCCGAGTAGCTGGGATTACAGACGTGCATCACCATACCTGGCTAATTTTTGTATTTTTAGTAGAGTCGTGGTTTCACCATGTTGGCCAGACTGGTCACGAACTCCTGACCTCCAGTGATCCTCTCCTCCCGCCTCGGCCTCCCGAAGTGCTGGAATTACACGCATGAGGCAACACGCCCAGCCTGAGTGATCTTTTAAAAATGTAAATTACTGTATGTAAATGTAAAATGTTACTGCTCTGCTCGGAAACCTCCACTGTCTCCCCTTTTTACTTAGAGCAGTGATTTTCAACCTGTGGTAACCCTATTCCCCTCCCGCAGGGGACATCTGGCAATATCTGTAGATATTTTTTGTTGTAACAACTCTGGTATAGGGTGGAACTGGCATCTATTGGATGCTAGCCAGTACCGATGCTCCTAAACACCCTACAATGCACACAGCATTCCCCCACAACCAAGAGTCATCTGATCAAAAATGTCAACAGTGCCAAGACTGAGAAACCCTAACTTAGAGAAAGAACCCTTGCAGTAGCCCAGAAGTCTTGATCTGTCATCCATTACCTGTGAACCTCATCTCCTACTGCCTTCCTCCTGGTTCACTCTACTCCTGCCATATTGGCCTCCTTACTATCCCTTGAATATGCCAGACATACGCCCACTTCAGGATCTTTGCCCAGGCAGTTCCCCACGCCTGAAATGTCCTTCCTTTAGATAGCCATGTAACTAATTCCCTACCTCCTCCAATCCTTTGCTCAAATTTTATCTTCTCAGCGAGGCCTCCTGTGAACAATATATTTAAAAATATAATACCCTCTCTCAAGTGGCACTCCAAATTCATCTTACCCTGCTCCACTTTTTACTAGACATATTCAAATTGTCTCTACAACTGACTTGTTTATTACATTTGTTGTTTATTACCTGTATCCCCTACTAAAATGTGAGCTCCATAAGGGTAAGGGCTTTGTTCTGTTCCCCAATGAACCTAGAACCATGTTTCATACTTAATAGATGTTCAATTGATATCTTAATGACAAAAAGAATAAAAGAGTGATAGACTGAATGAAGGTTGGTTAAAGGAATCACCTCCTCACTGACTTTCCTGGCTCCACTCACTCCCATCCATCCCGTACTCCATTGTCAGAGTCATCAGAAACCATCACTGCTTTCTCCTGTACCCATGGAATAATATCCAAAAGGCTTCCAGTCTCTTGGAAGTTCATATTCCCCAAATTAATCTCAAATCCTCATCTAGCCCCACCTCCTGCTGCATCCCCTGGGCATCTGCTTGGCCAGTGCATTGACAAATATTAATAGCAGACTTGGAATGATGGGAAGTTCAGAAATACTCTTGGCTTTCTTTCAGAAAAACAGGTTTGAGGTTTGTGGGGTTTTGTTTTTGTTTTGTCTAAAGGAGAAAAAGAAAATCTTCAGAGTCAGGGTCCCCTACAGTGAGATCAGCACCATTCTGGGGCACAGATAGAGGTCCAGACTTTTGGACCACTACAAGCAATCTACCACTGAGTGTGGAGGAGAATGACTGAGAGGGTGAAGGTGAGGATGAAGTCAGGCCCTCTGGAGCCCTCCTGCCCCCTAGCCCTAGAGAGTCAGTCTGGATGTACAGGAGAAACTTCCTCTAGGCCAGGCGTCATTGGCCTCCAGCCTTGGTGTCATGCAGACAGTGTGATTGCAGAATGGAGGGCAGTCCTCAAGGCATGACCATGGCCCTGGCCGTCAGCCCCAGCCTGCCATGCCTCAGTGCTTTCCGGATGGCTCTCTGTGGAGCAGAGTCAAGGGTCATTTCCCAGATGTCTCTGAATGCCATGCTAACAGGCCTCAGACCCACCCCCGACCAACAGCCTCTTGTGCAGGGCCCTGTGCCTTGGCCTCATGTGTGTTCACTCATCTGTTTGTACAGCTCTCCTGGCTGGCGGCCATGCCCTTGGCCTTGTCTTATCACAAGCTTCCCTTTGAAGGCAGAGCCCACACATCCTTTCTGTTGACTTTGCATTGTACTTGCCATCATCTTCCCAAAAATTACTATGTCTCATTCTAACTCGATTGTGAGCAAGAAAGGAGGCCTTTTCCACTTGTTTGCCCACATCCCCCTGATACTGGAATTGTTTATTGAGTAAACCTAAAGTTCTTCCCATTTTGACTCCAATTGTTCTCTTCAGCATTGGGGCCTCATCATCCCCTGCCACCTCCTCATCATCGCGGAAGGTTCCCCTGTCCATCCCTCTGCCTTTGCCTCCCTGTTAAATTGTCTCTCTCCTACAATACATTTTTCAGATGCCACCCTTTCCTGAAACTTAGAGCCCCTGCGCCACATATTCCCATTGCACTAAATCAAGGCCGTCATTGTGTCCAGCTTTGATTAAGAAATTTCTGTTTATGGCCAGGCACGGTGGCTCATGCCTGTAATCCCAGCACTTTAGGGGCCAAGGTGGGCAGATCACCTGAGGTCAGGAGTTCGAGACCAGCCTGGCCAACATGGTGAAACCCCGTCTCTACTAAAAATACAGAAATTAGCCGGGCATGGTGGTGGGTGCCTGTATTCCCAGCTACTCTGGAGGCTGAGGCAGGAGAATTGCTTGAAGCTGGGAGGCGGAGGTTGCAGTGAGCCGAGATCGCACCACTGCACTCCAGCCTGGGTGACAGAGCGTGACTCTGTCTCAAAAAAAAAAAAAAAAAAAGAAAAGAAAAGAAAAGAAAAGAAAAATCTGTTTAATTATACTAAGTAAAATAAGCCAGTCACAGAAGGACAAATACCGTACGATCCCACTTACGTGGGGTATCTAGAATAGGCAAATAAATACACAGAGACAAAGTAAAAGCGAGATTGCCAGGGGCTAAGGGATAGAGGAGGAGTTATTGTTTAGTGAGTACATAGTTTATGTTGGGGATGATGAAATAGTTTTGGGTGCAGATGGTGGTGATGGTTGCACAACATTATGAATGTATTTAATGCCACTGAATTTGTACATTTACAGCTGGTTAAAATGATAACTATTATATATGTTTTATCACAATTTTTAAAAGGTAACAAAAAAAGAAGTATTTGTTTAAATAGTTTTTCTTTGTAGATTGCAAGCTTGTGGGAGTGGGGAAAGAGCATGATCTTTTCATCTTTACACAGCACAGTGCTCGACATGAGATAATCACTCACTGTTCCTTCAGTTCAGGACTGGAAATCAATGGAAAGGAAGAACAGTTAAGGCAAGCTTTCCCCATATCTTTTAGAAGGTTTTGAAATTTCATTTTAATGTCAAATCAGTTTTATCAGAGGGAATCCTGATTAGTTGCAGTTGTTTGTTTGGGGATATTTATTGACTTTAAAAGAAAACAAAAAAATGATACTAAAAGTCGTCCAAAATGACTATTTTCATAGCTTTTTGCATTTATATGATGGGTAGCATTTTAACAAAATCAATTTGAGTAATAATAACTTGTATTTATATAACACTTAGCAGCTTTTTCAAAGAGCTTTCATAGCTTGCACCATTTGAAGCCACAGAAAGCGTCAACTTCTTTTTTTTTTTTTTTTTTTTTTTTTGAGACGGAGTCTCGCTCTGTCACTCTGTCACTCAGGCTGGAGTGCAGTGGTGCAGTGGCATGATCTCGGCTCACTGCAACCTACACCTCCCGGGTTCAAGCGATTCTCTTGCCTCAGCCTCCTGAGTAGCTGGGACTACAGGTGCACGCCACCACGCCCGGCTAATTTTTTGTATTTTTAGTAGAGATGGGGTTTCGCCATGTTGGCCAGGATGGTCTCGATCTCCTGACCTCATGATCCACCAGCCTCAGCTTCCCAAAGTGCTGGGGTTACAGGCGTGAGCCACTGCACCTGGCCAAACTTCTTGTATAGTGTAACTGAGCAACTATTTTTCCTGCTCCTTGGGTTCTAGATTCTTGCATAAATTTAAGGGTGTACTTTAAGCATTAATCTTAACCATTTCAGTTCATATTATTGTAACCACTCAAGGGATTCTTCCTGCCTGCTGCACAAAGAAAGACCACGGGGCATTGTAACCGCCCAGTGGGTTCACATTGCCCGCTGCCTGGACAGAATCGATTTACCAAGACAGGGGAATTGCAATGGAGAAAGAGTAATTCACATAGAGCCAACTGTGTGGGAGACCAGAGTTTTATTATTAAATCAGTCTCCCCGAGCATCCAGGGATCAGTTTTTAAAGATAATTTCGCGGGTAAGGGCTTGAGAAGTGGGGAGTGCTGATTGCTCAGGTTGGAGATGGAATCATAGGGGGTTGAAGTGAGGTTTTCTTGCTGTCTTTTGTTCCTGGGTAGGATGGCAGAACTGGTTGAGCCAGATTACGGGTCTGGGTGGTGTCAGCTGATCCATCAAGTGCAGGGTCTGCAAAATATCTCAAGCGCTGATCTTAGGTTTTACAATAGTGATGTTATCCCAAGGAGCAATTTGGGGAGGTTCAGACTCTGAGCCAGAGGCTGCACAACCCCTAAACTATAATTTCTAACCACTAGCTAAGTTGTTAGTCCTGCAGAGGCAGACTCGTCCCCAGGCAAGAAGGGGGTCTTTTTGGGAAAGGGCTGCTATCAATTTTGTTTCAGAGTCACACCATGAACTGAATTCTTTCCCAAAGTTAGTTCAGCCTATGTCCAGGAATGAACAAAGACAGCCTAAAGGTTAGAAGCAAGATGGAGTTGATTAGGTCTGATTTTATTCACTGTCATAATTTCCTCAGTTATAATTTTGCAAAGGCGGTTTCAGCATTGTAGTAAAGAAAGAGTTTAAGTAGACACGAGGCTGGCCACACCATGTGGGAGATGGAATTAGTACTGAAATAATCTCCTCCAAAGCTCATAGGTTACGGGTTTTTCAAAGGCAGTTTAGGGGAATGGGTGGAGGTGGCTAGGCTTGCTGCTGATTGTTTGAGGAGGAGATGAGATCAAAGTGTCCTTTGATTTCAAAAATACAATGAGGGATAAGTTGATAGGATGTCTGGGAATTTGCTTCAAAATAAGCTGGGGAGGAAAAATGGCAGGAGGGGGGGTAGAAGATGTATAAATAAAACTTGATTGGCCATGAACAGACAATTGTTGAAATGGAATATTGGGTACATGGGTGGTTTTATTATAGTGTTCTCACTATACTTGTATAAAATTTAAGTTTTCCATAATAAAGTTTTTCTTTGTTAAGAAAAACAAAGCAGAGTGAGATTCTAAATTGAAGTTGCCAATGGCCTATTGTTCTTTAAGTCTGCTCAGTTAATTCAGTTAAGGAAGTTATTTGAAAACAGGGTGCTAATGACGCGGCTTTGTTTTCTGGGGTAAATACCCTGGGTTCGGTGTCTCACACGGAGAAGATTAACGACAGGGACACACACGTGGAGTTCAGGAGAGGAAAGTTTAATAGGCAGAAGAAAGGAGAGAGGAGAGCAGCTCTTTCTCTTGCGAGAGGAGAGCAGCTCTCTCTCTTGCAAGAGAGGCGTCCAAAAATGGGACAAGTGGCGGACTGCAGCAGATTTTATAGGCAGGCTTGAGGAGGCGGTGTCTGATTTACATAGGGGCCACAGATTGGTTCGACCAGGTGTGACATTTACATAGCACGCAGGAAGGCTGGTCGCCCCACCCTAATCTTATTTTGCAAAGGGGCTTTCTACTTGGCCAGTGCCATCTTGTCTGCTCCTTACTGTACACTTAGCTGGCAAAGGGAAGATGAAGCCGCCATTTGGAACATGCCTAGTCCTATGTAGTATTTTTCTATTGGCACAACTGCCAGCATTCACCTGTGCAAGCTTCCAGCTTGCTTGTCTATGTCTGCAGCTCAATTTTACAGGCTGCTCTTTGTTAGGAAAGAAAATGATTTGGGGGCTGCTTTTTATTAAAAGGAAAACCTTACTGAGGACTCCCATATCCTCACTATCTGCCTAAGTAATTTCTTCTTAACTCCTATATCACTATTATTTAGCTCAAGGCACCATCAAGATAATCCCTTGAAAGTTGATTACCAGTCCATGTTTGATATCCTGAGTCAAACATTTGCATCTCTTAAATAAGGTGCATTTTGACATACATGCTCCGTTCAAAAATGTATATACACAAACACACACATAAAACTATAAGCAGGCCAGATGCAGTGGCTCACACCTGTTATCCCAGCACTTTGCGAGGCCATTAAGCAGGAGGATTGCTTGAGTCCAGGAGTTTGAGACCAGCCCAGGTAATATAGTGAGAACCCCCCCCCCCGCCCCCGCCAACCCCCATCTCTAAAAAAAATAAAGTTAGCCAGGGATGGTCGGGCACAGTGGCTCACACCTGTAATCCCAGCACTTTGGGAGGCTTGAGGTGGGAGGATCACTTGAGATCAGGGATTCAAGAACAGCCTGGCCAACATGGTAAAACCCTATCTCTATGAAAAATACAAAAAAGAGCCTCTGCACAGGTCGGAGGGAAAGAAAGGAGTTGGAAGATCTGAAGCCCACGTAGCTGGTGGGCAGGCAGGAGTGCAAATGGATGTGAGGCCGAGATCTTAGCAGGCCCAGAGCACATGGCCTTGCAGCCACACCACAGTCATGGTTGCACAAAGGATGTCCTGAACATCTGTTTGAATGTGTCTCAAGTACTCAGACTAAACACTTCTAAATCTGTAGTGGAATGAATGTGTAACCAAGAAGAATTGATTTTTTTTTTTTCAAAATTTCAGAATGGAATAGGGATAGTTTTCAGGGAAAATGGATGAAGCAGTATTGTGGTGGGGAAAGTGTTCAAAGTTAATATTACCATAACTTCAGAACACCATAGTGAATACCTTGGAAAGCATCATCTTCATCTTCTGAGACTTTGACTGTGACCATGTGAAAGGTAGAGAGAGAATTCAGGATTAACTTTGTCTGTTTTCCCATGTTCAAGGGCCATTGTGTTACACCTAAAATTGGCAAAGAGTCATAGATTATATTTAAGCTCAGATTTCAAAACTGTCCATGACTATTTTGGCAGGATGTATCTTGGGTTTTTTGTTTTGTTTTTGTTTTTGTTTTTTTGTTGTTGTTGTTTTGTATGCAATCTAGATGCAGATGTTTGTTTTTAGTCAGCCTGGAGGGAGCTTTAATGTTGGGGTTCTTCGTACATGTAAATACCATGCTGGATAATTAATTGGGATTTCCTGGAGCAATTTTTTTTTTTTTAAGAAACTGTACTGTAAACAGTTTTTCATTCTTGTGGATAAAGAGAAGCTTTTCTCTGGATTTCTAATATTCGCCAACCCTGAGGGAAAGGCAAAGCATGTGAGTCAGTCCTCAGGACCCTCCCTGCCCTCCACTGAGGGGACCAATGAGTTTGAGGAACAAGAGTGGATAAACCGTTGACTCTCATCTGCCCTCCCTCCCTCCACCTCAGGGTGTGTACTGCTAGTCTGAATATTGTCCTGCTTAGAGGTTTCTCCATCATCTTAAGTTTCTGTTGTTTACAGCTTTCCCTCCTCTGCCCTCATCCCTCTAGATTATTAAGTTCCTGCAACTTAACTGGGAACTGATCAAGATTTCAAGCTAAAGATGGTGGTGATGAACAGCCTGAGGGTCATTCTTCAAGCCTCTCCAGGCAAATTGCTGTGGAGAAAGTTCCAGATTCCGAGATTCATGCCAGCGAGGCCCTGCAGCCTCTATACTTGTACTTACAAAACCCGGAACCGAGCCTGTGAGTACACCACTTCCTTAAAGAGAACAAAAAGGGCTCCAGCCTGAGTGACAGAGTGAAATCTCATCTCTTAGAAAAAAAGAGAAAAGAAAAGAGGGAGCAAGTGTGCAAGAGCAAAAATACTCATCTTTATAATAATCACACATGTTAAACATTTGTAGCTATGCTGTCTTTGGCTTTCCAGTGTAGGATTATATGCCTTATGAACTGTGAGAATAACTGTTTCTCTGTTGATTCATGAAAGTAAATGTAGAATGTTCTTTCTTGACTAATTTTAGCATGTTAAAATGATGTCATGCAGAAACTGGACAAGAGACAGATCCCGGTTTTTAATATTTTGGAACCTGTTGTTTATTATTTCTTGGTAGCAATTGTCTTTTTTTTTTTCTTTTAAACAAAGGTTGATCCACAAACCACAAATTATTTCTGGGAACCTTAAGTTTCTGGAAGTTGCATGTAAATGTTTGTAAACAGTTTACTAGCTTCAACGTTCTGGAATATTCTGTCCTGAGTTAGGAATTACTGAATTAATTCTAGCTGATCAGTTTGCAAGTGTGTGCTCTGCTGTAAGGATGGAAGATTGAGTGAGGCAGGAAATGGTCTTCCTCACACCTCTCTCATCTCGTTCCCCTCCTGGAAATACAAGGCATTGCCCATGTCCGGATGTGGCAGGGATTCTCCACTGCGGCATGATGGACATTGAGGATGGATCATTGTGTGTTGTAGGGGGTTGTCCTGTGCCCTGGAGGGTCTTTAGCAGCATTCCTGGCCTCTGCCTACTAGTTGCTAGTAGCACCCTCATGAAGCTATAACAACCAAAACTGTCTGCAGACATTGCCAAACATGCTCTGCGTGACTGCCCTAGAGAGGGCAGTTGAGAGAATGGGAAAGGATAATGTGTGTATTTGTGAACAGATAACTTTGAGTTAATGAAGAGATGAAATGGCTAAGTATTATCATTAAGGAGGAATTTTTCATGTTTTCCATTATTTAAAAAACATTGGCACAGAGTTTTCAAATGTTGGACTGCACTGAGGTCTAGGTTTCTCCCCTTTAGTGTTTATTTTCTTTGACCCCATATGCACATAATAAAAAGACTGAGTAAGAATGGAATGCTTGTAAATTAGTAATGCTAATCTAGCTACATCCAAGGGCTTGAAACTGCTCTACAAATATATTTTCACTGTAAGTTTATTTTGTTTCCTTCAACATTGACTGTGTTCTTTTTCAAATAAACGGACCAGAGGCATAATAAATTTCTGGTTGCTAGGTGTGGTTTCCTACAAACATGCCACATCCTACTGAGACTGGCTTATTCTGAACACTGGCACTTTGTGGTCTATGGTTTATATTGGAAAGTATTAATAGTTTTGCTTTTTTTTTTTTTGACAGTTGAAATTAAACATCCAAATCCGGTATACGTATGTAGTTAGGATAGTTTGCTGCTTTTAGTGCTGACAAAAAAAAACAAACAGTAGTGGCTTCGGGAGGGGCAGTTTTACTTAGTGAATTTCCCACAACAGATGACATGTTCTTGTTTCTAAGTTACTAGGAAAAACAGGGGACAGTCACCATTTGATTTTGTTTGTAGCATATTATACTGTTCCAACCTGTTTGCCCCAAGAATAATATTGTGGTCTTTGCTGCTCTGGGCCTTCGAGCCGGTCCTGTTTCTATGTTCTGGACCCTCGTCTGCTCAATTGTAAAGACAATTCTCATTGTTTCTGACAGCTCAATACCCCAACAGAAGGCCAATGTACACTTGTGACCAAGAATGACCCCAGATTCTTGAGGGTTTGAAAAGATAACGTGTTAATGAAAAAAGCCAAATTCTAAAATATTTGAAGAGGTTCATTCTGAGCCAAATATGAGTGACTGTGGCCCATGATACAGCCTCAAGAGGTCCTGAGAACACATGCCCAAGGTGGTTGGGTTACAGCATGGTTTAGGGAGACAGAAGTTACACGCAAGACATAAATCAATACATGTAAGGTATACATTGTGAGGACGAAACTCTGATTTTTTTTTTATCTTGCCCAAATTCCTATCTAAGGGGTCTGGGGAGTCATGCCCCACAAATCATAAATTCTCACCAGATGGGTTTTATTCAACCCTATATATCGTGATTTACTTTCCAAGCTGACTTTGGCATAACATTACAAGACAAAGAAGAAAATCAAAATATTTTACCCCAAAACATGTTTCTTTGCCATGTTTTGAAATAGCCCTGCAAAGCTGTTCTGCATGGGGGAAAATTTGTATCTGTAAAGAATCTCTGGGCCAGGCGCGATGGCTTACGCCTGTAATCTCAGCACTTTGCGAGGCCGAGGCGGGCGGATCACAAGGTCAGGAGATCAAGACTATCCTGGCTAACACGGTGAAACCCCGTCTCTACTAAAAATACAGAAAATTAGCCAGGCGTGGTGGTGGGCGCCTGCAGTCCCAGCTACTAAGGATGCTGAGGCATGAGAATGGCGTGAACCCGGGAGGCGGAGCTTGCAGTGAGCCGAGATCGCGCCACTGCACTCCAGCCTGGGCGACAGAGCGAGACTCTGTCTCAAAAAAAAAAAAAATCTCTGTTAACATAGCTAGATCTTTTTTTTCCAGACCCTCCCAATCCTAAAGAGATTAACTAAGATCTGAATAGGAAATATTTCTCATCTATTGTCTCTAAGGGCAGCTACTATAAGACTTCAAAGGAACTTTGATCTCCACAATCTTTATCTTAACCTGAACATTCCCTTTCTACCAATCCCAGGTCTTTAGACAAACTCAACCAATTGTCAACCAGAAAATGTTTAAATTTACCTATAGCGTAGAAGCCCCCCCAACCCCCACCCCAGCTTTGAGCTGTCCCGCCTTTCTGGACCAAACCAATGCATTTCTTAAATGTATTTGATTGATGTCTCGTGCCTCTCTAAAATGTATAAAAACAAGCTGTACCCTGAGCACCATGAGCACATGTTCTCAGGTCCTCCTGTGGGCTGTGTCACAGGCCACAGTCACCCATATTTGGCTCAGAATAAATCTCTTCAAATATTTTACAGAGTTCGACTCTTTTCGACAACACTTGGTTTGGCCTAGAAAGGTAGGACATCTCTAAGCAGGGGCTTACAGGTCATAAGTAAGTGGATTCAAAGATTTTCTGTTTGGCAGTTGGTTGAAAAAGTTAAGCTTTGCCTAAAGAGTTGAAGTCAACTGAAAGAAATGCTTGAGTTAAGATAAGGGGGATTGTAGAAGCCAAGGTTCTTGTTATGTAGATGAAGCCTCCCAGTAGCAGGCTTCAGAGAGATTAGATGGTAAACCTCTCTTATGGGACCTTAAAAGGTGTCAGATCTCTCCTGGATCAGGAAAAGACCTGGAAAGGGACAGGGGCTCTCTACAGAATGGACATTTCTCCCACAAGGGATGGCTTTGCAGGGCCATTTCAAAATATGTCAAAGAAATATATTTTGGGGTAAGGCTGGGTACAGTGACTCATGCCTGTAATCCCAGCACTTTGGGAGGCCAAGGCAGGTGGATCACCTGAGGTCAGGAGTTCGAGATCAGCCTGGCCAACATGGTGAAACCCCATCTCTACTAAAAATACAAAAATTAGCCAGGTGTGGTGGTATGCACCTGTAATCCCAGCTACTCAGGAGGCTGAGGCAAAAGAATCACTTGAACCCAGGAGGCAGAGGTTCCAGGTGAGCTGAGATCGTGCCATTGCACTCCAGCCTGGGCGACAAGAGCGAAATTCTCTCCCAAAAAATAAATAAATGAATTTCGGGGTAAAATACTTTGATTTCTTTCAGAGCCTGCTGTCTGTCATGTGATGCTCTACCAGGGTCAGGTTGGAGGTAGGTATTGTATTGCTACAAAGATTCTGTTATGTCAGTCTTATGATCTCTATTTGAGTGTTAAAGCTGGTCAGTTGTGCCTAAACTCTAAAGGGAGGGTATATAATGAGGCATGCCCAACCTCTCTTCCCCTCATGGCCTGAACTAGTTCTTCAGGTTTCTTTGGGATCCCCCTGGCCAGGGTAGGGGGGATCCATTCAGTCCGTTGGGTAGCTTACAATTTCATTTCTGGTTCACATGTGCAAAGTCCTTAGCTAGTGATGTCACGCAGTGAGGACTCAGTGTTGGCAGCTACTTCTAGTACTACAGTTGTTATCATCATCATAGGCTCAGTGCCTGCCTCAGATGTTTAAATCTGACCATTTTAAGAGGAGGCAAAGCAAAATAAGGAGTGAATGAAAGTAGGAGGTTGTGGCAAATTCGGAAAGCAGCATTTCAGGTCAGCCCTGTGCTCTGTGCTCATCATATCTTTGAATCTTTGGCTGTCAACTCAGATTGCTGTTTGGTGTTATCTCAGGTAGCAGACAGTAACTGTTGATAGTCCTAACTTTGGAGACTTGTAATATAATAAGATAAAGATAAAAGCCTATACCTATTATCCAATGTGGAAATAAAATCAGTTTCCCTTAGGTATCATCTGGTGAAATTTAGTCTAATGGTCACATAAGAAGATTTAGGCATGAGATCTTAGACCATAGGAAAGTGCATTTAATAATTCTTAATTGAATGAAATATAAAGAATATCAGGTAAAATGGAAATGATACTGATTTGTTATTCCAATGATTCTTAATGTTGATGATCTCCGTACTTGTAGAAGAAAGATAAACATGTTAGGATAATAGGGACTAAAGAAGCCAGCAGTGTATAAAATGCAGCCACTAACCCCATGTGGGTATTTACATGTAAATTTAAATTCATTAAATTTTTATAGCTACATATGCCTAGATCTTAATATACTGGACATTTCTATCATCAGAGAGGGTTCTATTTGACAGCAGTAATCTATATCATAACTGTACTGTGTTTGAAAGCTTTTCTATTATTTCTCCAATTAATTTTGAAGAATAAAAATAAAGCCTGGAGAGTAAGAAAAAGCTTGTTTTGCAGTGTTTTCACAAAGAATTCTGAAATATAGACTCAGGATGCCCCTAGATTGTCTTTTATTAACATGCAAGTAACCTTGAGAAAAAATGAGCTGATTAAGAGCCACTTAGAATTGCATTAATGGCCTCAGGGTTATCTTCAGCTGCCTGGGACTGACAAATAGCCCTGGAACTGACCATCAGGAAATGTGGGCTGTAGTCTCCTGTGCTGATAACTGCACAGGTATCCTGTGGCTAATGGACTCAGCATCCAAGTTCCTTTTATAGCCCTGATGATGCTCTAACAAGGCAATTTGTGATTCTGCGATCATCCTCAACCAAGTCATATGGAGGGTCCCTGTGTATACACCCATCACTGCATTAAGGCCAAGGCCTACACGGATATCTTCAGTAACATGAGGAAGTAGCACATCCCTCATAAAAAGGGCAGTGCATAGCAAGGGACCAGATAAAAAGCACATGAGGGTATAAGGCAATGCTTTCCGGTAGATAAATAACGTAAGCCACAAATATGAGCCGTATGGGTCATTCTGTATTTTCTAATAGGCCAGGTACAGTGGCTCATGCCTGTAAGCCCAGGACTTTGGGAGGCCAAGGTGGGACGATCGCTTGAGGCCAGGAGTTTGAGACCTGCCTGGGCAGCATAGCAACACCCCATCTCTACAATAAAATAAAATAAAAATATGAGTAATTCTATATTTTGTAATAACCGCATCTTAAAAAGTGCAAGTTAAACAGGTCAAAGTAGTTTGACTAATATACTTTATTTAACCAAATATATCTAAAATATTATCACTTTAACATGAAATGAATATAAGAATTATAAATGAAATTTTAATATTATTTATTTTGTACTGAGCCTTTGAAGTTCCTGGTATTGTACATTTATATAGTACATCTCAATTTAGACTAGCACACAGGGACAGTGCTACCATATTGGGGAGCTCAGGAACAGAGAGAATAGGTGTTGAGGAGTAAGAACAGTTGAAAGATGCTTTATTTAAGGTGGGAGTGTCAGAGAAGGGGCTTGAACTGACCTTGAAAGCCTAGTAGAATTTTAAGGAACAAACGAATAACAGATAGATACGATTAGGTGAACCTAAGAAGTGTTCAGGGTAAACCAGCTTGCCTGGTAGAGAGATGGTGGCTGTGAGGTAATGGGTAGAGAGCCTTGGTATCAATTTGTTTGGTTTTCTGTATCAGTAAAATAAGCATTTAGTACCTCTTCTGTGCCTTGTACCAAGTAAAGCCCTGGAGACTATAGAAAAAGTGGAGGACACAGACCTCATGGGCTTGGAGTTGACACAGGCCCTTTGGGCAGATAAAGCAAACACAGATTACCTGAGGAATGGTTGGATGCTAAATGGTATGAAAGCAAATTCAGTGTGTGTTCAGAAAAAGCAAAGCTCAGGATGGTTGGAGAATATGTCATCAGGGAGATAAGACTTGAACTGGAAAAGATTTCTATAAGTGTTAAGGAAAAGGAAGGGCTTCTAAGCACAAGCCAAAGTGGGGCTAAAGGCCAGGTGTGGGGGCTCATGCCTGTAATCCTAGCACTTTGGAAGGCCAAGACAGGAAGATAGCTTGAGCCCAGGAGTTCAAGACCAGCCTGGGCAACATAGTGAGACCCTATCTCTACAAAAAATTTTATTTAAAAAGTTTTTAGCCAGGCGCAGTGGCTCATGCCTGTAATCCCAGCACTTTGGGAGGCCAAGGCGGGTGGATCACAAGGTCAGGAGATCGAGACCATCCTGGCTAACACCGTGAAACCCCGTCTCTACTAAAAATACAAAAATTTAGCCGGGTGTGGTGGCGGGCACCTGTAAGTCCCAGCTACTCGGGAGGCTGAGGCAGTTGAATGGCAGGAACCGGGGAGGCAGAGCTTGCAGTGAGCCGAGATCGCGCCACTGCTCTCCAGCCTGGGCAACAGAGTGAGACTCCGTCTCAAAAAAAAAAAAAAAAAGTTTTTAAAAACCAAAGTAGATGGCCGGGTGCAGTGGCTCACACCTGTAATCCCAGCACTTTGGGAGGCCAAGGCGGGTGGATCACGAGGTCAGGAGTTCAAGACCAGCCTGGCCAAGATGGTGAAACCCCATCTCTACTAAAAATACCAAAAATTAGGCCAGGTGCGGTGGCTCACGCCTGTAATCCCAGCACTTTGGGAGGCCAAGGCGGGCAGATCACAAGGTCAAGAGATCGAGACCATCCTGGCTACTGAAGACATGGTGAAATCCCGTCTCTACTAAAAAATAGAAAAATTAGCTGGGCATTATGGTGGGTGCCTGTAGTCCCAGCTACGTGGGAGGCTGAGGCAGGAGAATCGCTTGAACCTGGGAGTCAGAGGTTGCAGTGAGCTGAGATCACGCCACTGCACTCCAGCCTAGCGACAGAGCGAGACTCTGTCTCAAAAACAAACAAGCAACAACAACAACAACAAAAACCCACAAAAATTAGCCGGGCATGGTGACAGGCACCTATAATCCCAGCTACTCGGGAGGCTGACGCAGGAAAATTGCTTGAACGCAGGAGGTGGAGGTTGCAGTGAGCCAAGATCGTGCCACTGCACTCTAGCCTGGGTGACAGAGCGAGACTCCATCTCAAAAAAAAAAAAAAAACCCCAAAGTAGACATAAACTTGTGTAGGCAGGCAGTTGTAAGAAGAGTAGCATGCTAAGGGGAACAGCATGACAAGAAAAGTACATAGGAACACCAGAGTTTGGGAAGAATGAGGAAAATGAGATTAGATAAGTGAGATGGGTTCTAATAGGAAAACCTGGGCATTGAACATAGAAGTTACAACTTGATATACTGTTTTTAGCGTAGGAGCAATGTGACAAAGGTGGTTATTTAGGAAAATTGCTGAGTGGCAGAACTCAGGAGTAGAGGAGAGTTAGAAAAGAGGAAAAGCAACCAAGAGGCTTTGTATGAAGTCTGGGGGTTAGGGTTCTGAACTAGGCCGCTGTTCTGGGAAAGGTGAAGAAGAGATAAACCTGAATGATTCTTAAAGAAAAATAATGAAATAAAGCAAAAAGGAGAAGCAAACTGTCTTATTCTGTTTGGGCTGCTATAACAAAGTACCTCAGACTAGATAATTTATACACAACAGAAATTTGTTGCTCACAGTTCTGGAGGCCAGGAAGTCCAAAAAACCAAGGTGCCAGTAGATTCAGTGTCTGATGAGGGTTCTCTTTGCTTCAAAGAATTTGCCTTCTTGCTGCATCCTCACGTGGTGGAAGGAGCTCAGAAGCTTTCTCAAGCCTCTTTTATAAGGGTATTAATCCCGTTCATGAGAGCTCTGCCTTCGTGACTATGTCACCTCCCAGTGGCCTCAGCTCTTAATACCATCACCTTGGGGAAAAGGATTTCAGCGTGTACATTTTTGGGTTTTATTTTTTTATTTTTATTTTTTTATTTTTTGAGACAGGGTCTTGCTCTCTTGCCCAGACTGGAGTGCAGTGGCACAATTTCAGCTCACTGCAACCTCCGCCTCCCGGGTTCAAGAGATTCTCCTGCCTCAGCCTCTCAAGTAGCTGGGACTACAGGTATGAGCCACCACACCCAGCTAATGTTTTGTATTTTTACAAGAAATGGTGTCTCCCCATGTTGGCCAGGCTGGTCTCAAACTACTGACCTCAATTGATCTGCCCACCTTGGCCTGCCAAAGTGTTGGGATTACAGGTGCAAGCCACTGCTGCCTGGCTAAATTTTGAGGAGACGTATACATTCACACCATAGCACAAATCTTCCCAGTGATGCTCCTCATCTTATTCCATCCACAAGTATTAACCGAAAGCCAGCTGGCTTACAGAGCAGTGAGGAAGGCAGATAATTAGACACATACGCATATAATTATAACTGCACCTATGTAATAAATGTCATGAAAGAAAAATCGGAGTGCTATGATTTAAAAATTATAATATGAAGTGATCATATTATAAGAGAGTAGCCAGAGGTCACTTTGTCAAGGAGGTAACAATTAAGCCCAAGACCTAAAGATAATGGGAGCCAGCCCTGAGCCAAATGAGGGGTAGTTGATTTCTGTGGAGGAGGAGCACGAAGAAAGGGACTAAGGCAGGAATGAGCTTTCCGTGTTTCAAGGGCTGAAAGAAGGACAGTGCCAAAGCTGGGGAAATAGGTGGTTGCAGCAAACTGAATGTTCATGACCCCCTAACATTTGTGTGTTGAAATCCTAACCACCAAGGTGATGGTATTAAGAGGTGGGGCTTTGGGGAGGTGATTAGATCGTGAGGGCAGAGTTCTCATGAATAGGATTAGTTCCCAATATAAAAGAGACCCCAGAGAGCTCCCTCGTACCTTGTACCATGTGAAGACAGCAAGGAGGCTGTCTATGAACCAGAAGACAGGACCTTGCCGGACACCCAGTCTGCTGGTGCCTCGATCTTGGACTTCCCAGACTCCAGAACTGTGAGAAATAAATTTCTCTTATTTATAAGCCACCTAGTCTATGACATTCTGTCATAGCAGGCTGAATGGACTAAGACAGTGCTAAAGCACAAAATAAACCAAACCTAGGACTACTCATATAAACAACTAAAATCAAGCACTTCCTCAACATGGAATCCTTTGCAGGGCTTTTGTTGCCCATCAGCTAGAAATTACTGACACCTTTTTTTTTTTTTTTTTTTTTTTTTTTTTTTTGAGTCGGAGTCTTGACCTGTCGCCCTGGCTGGAGTGCAATGACACAATCTATCTCAGCTCACTGCAGCCTCCACCTCCTGGTTTCAAGCAATTCTCCTGCCTCAGCCTCCCGAGTAGCTGGGATTATAGGTGCGCACCACCACGCCCAGCTAATTTTTTGTATCTTTAGTAGAGATGGGGTTTCACCATGTTGGCCAGGCTGGTCTTGAACTCCTGACCTCAGGTGATCTGCCTGCCTCGGCCTCCCAAAGTGCTGAGATTACAGGCATGAGCCACCGCACCCGGCCAACACTTTCTTAATGACAGTATGCCTTTGTTAGCATAAACCACAGTTGATAAAATCATTATCTGTTTATTTCATTTTCCCTATACAAGAAGAACCTGAAAATGAAGCTTCTGTTAGACCACTTAATCATCTTATTTTTGAGGTAAAATATGAGCAACAACCAGGAAATTGTTTCGATCTGATTTTTGCTTAAATAGAGGAAAAGGAAGGGAGTAGGAGAGAACAAAAGTGTCAGTTTATCTTTAGCAAAACAAACCCTTGGCAAAAAATTGGCTTCAGTAAGGGGGCAGTGACCAAGGACCCCCTCCCCACACAGTGAGTTGGATGGTCTAACCTAGATGGTCTAGTTTAGTAAAGGAGGAGGGAGGTGGGTAGGAGGAAAGAAACCTTCTGGAAGCTGAACTTGTAAACTCAAGGGCATAAACTGATCTTGTCATTATGGTCATTAAAGAGCAATTGAAGGAACAGGCTCAGTTTTCTTGGGCTGGTATTTGCATGAGTGTGAGTGTTGATACTTCCCATTTCATGCATGAGATGGGGAAAAATTAAGGATGACCAAGGCGTCGTCTTAGGGACCTAATCACTCCAGTTCTTCCCTAGTTGTCACAGGAGACCCTCATTGAATGGCTTTGAAGAGTGTGTACTCTCAAATTATCAGCCACAGTCTGAGTGTCTCAGAGGGGAAGGTGCATAGTCTCTTTGTGTCAGGAATCTTTACAAACAGAATCAGGGCCTTTCAAGGGCTTTCTAGAAGTTAAAAAATTAACACAATTTGAATCATTTTTCAGATCATTTGAATCCTTTCAAGTCATTTGAATTTGAGCTTTTCCCCCCCAACAATGGCAGTTGGATATGTTACAGGGCATATGTTTATTTTATTTTTTATTTTTGCCTTTAAAAGAGATGTTTATTCATGATGAATATGAATCCAAGTGTTTGGGTGGATATAACAGAACCAAATGTAACAGAAATTTAAGATCATCTTTCCCTCTAAGATGAAAAATACGGTATATTATATGTTATTGGATAAAATTACTAAACATTTTTAGACCCTGAGGTTGTATATTTTATGATGTTGGCTGCTGCGTAGTTGCCATGATTGCTTTTTCAAATTGTTAATTTCTTTCTTTTTTAAAATTTCTATTTTTATTTTACATTCAGGGTTTACATATGCAGATTTGTTACATGGGTATATTGCATGGTGATGAGGTTTGGGCTTCTATTGATCCTGTCATCCAGATAGTGAACATAGTACCTAATAGGATGTTTTCCAGAAGGGCATATGTTTAATAAGATACCACAGGGCAACAAAAAAGGAGGAAGATGTGGCTCCTGCCCACAAGGAATTTGCATTCTAATTAGATTATGACAGTATGGCCCAGATTCCATTTCAGATGTGCCAGTTCATGTGCATTTTCCATTTTAGTTTTCTGAAACAGAAACTTCTTGTTCTTTAAAGTTCTTGTTCTTCACAAGTTGTTTTATACTGAGGAAAGAAAAAAACCCAGAACATTGGGTTCAGACCTCTCCAGAGATGACAGTACTGCATTATATGAAGAAATAGAAAGAAAAGAGTATTATGAGTTTGCATGCACCTTTTATCTTTAGACCAGGGTTTATCAACTTTGGCACTATTGGCTTTTGGGTCAGGATGCTTCTTTGTCTTGTCGGGGGGAGCCCATCCAGGGCATTATAGGATCTTTAGCAGCATCCCTGGCCTCTAACCACTAGATGTCACTAGCACCCTCTCCCAGTTTTGCCATCTGAAAATGTCTCCAGACATTGCCAAATGTTTTTGGGGGACTGAATTGCTTTCTCTGTTGAAAACCACTGATTTAGGCACTCTCAGGAGAGCTCTTTGTCTGTATTGCTGGAGCATTTTTATAAATAAAACAAAACAAAACAAAACACTGAGGTTAAGATACTGACTTACGGTCAGGCGCAGTGGTTTGCGCCTGTAATCCCAGCACTTTGGGAGGCTGAGGTGGGTGGATAACTTGAGGCCAGGAGTTCAAGCCCATCCGGGCCAACACAGCGAAACCCCATCTCTACTAAAAATACACAAAAGTTAGCCGGGTGTGGTGGCATGCGCCTGTAATCCCAGTTACTCAGGAGGCTGAGGCAGGAGAATTGCTTGAACCCAGGAGGCGGAGGTTGCAGTGAGCCAAGATCATGCCACTGCACTCCAGCCTGGGAGACAGAGCAAGACTCCATCTAAAAAAAAAAAAAGGTATTGACTTCCGGCTTTCAGCAATTACCGAAGGAAGAGGATTATCTGCTCTGTCAGAGTAAACCAGAGGCAGGTTTCTGCTTTTCATGGAAATAGGAGATGATGCTGCCATACGTGAGGGATTTGACAGAGTAACAAAACAACTACCTTAGTCTCATCCTTATTCTTTTTTTTTTTGAGACAGAGTCTTACTCTGTCACCCAGGCTGGAGTGCAGTGGCGCAATCTCGGCTCACTACAATCGCCATCTCCCGGGTTCAAGCGATTTTCCTGCCTCAGCCTCCCAAGTAGCTGGGACTACAGGCGTGTGCCACCACACCCGGCTAATTTTTAATAGAGACAGGGTTTCACTGTGTCTCGATCTCCTGACCTCGTGATCCGCCAAAGTGCTGGGATTACAGGCATGAGCCACCATGCCCAGCCAGTGTCATCCTTATTCTTAGTGGTGGGGCGAGATGCAGAGGGTCGTTGGTAATTATTTCCTTCATGTTTCTCCTAGTTTTCCTGTTGTTCTTGATTCTACCCATCCATGGTACTTCTAAAGGACAGGGAAATGGACCACCCCAAACTGATGTACATTGGTTCTGCTCATCACACTTGGGGGTCTCAACAGGCTGATCTGTGTTATCAGCAAGTCTGCTGATACTTATCAGGGACTTGCTACAGAGACCTGGTGCTTGACTCTGGAAGAAAATCAGCATCAGCAATGTCTTCAGTGCCTGTGGAGGATAAATTATATGTGTACACCTTAATAGATAATCTCCACATCCCTGTGACACACTGCAACCTCCAGGGACCTTAGCAATGCCGATGTTCTACCCAGGTTTTGCAGGATGGCTGCCTGGTCCTCAGAGTTTGCTTACATAGGAGGTGAACTCAACTCAGCACGCACAGTTATGTGGGGCGAGCATCTTACAGGATGCAGGCTACGCAAGCCTTTTTTTCTACCAGCCAACCAATTAAACGCTGACAATACTGATTCAATGTTTCCTTTCCCAAAGTTCTCCCATTTCCTTTTTTGAAAATAAATCTGTTATTGAAAATTGAATTAATTTGTCTTTGTATTTAAAGCCACTTTGGGGAGTTGGGGGTTGGGAAATTCTCGATGAAGAAAAGAAACTCATTTATGAATACCCTATTTCCACATGGCACCAAACTCCATGCATTATATTGTGATCACAGCACTGATTGCACTTGGTTTAGGTGAGCTTAGTAAGCAGACTGAGATGTGTTGGTTTTGCAAGATGCCAAAATGCTATTCCTCTGCCAGGTGCTCTCTGACCTATCTTTATCCTCTACTTTTGTGTATCCATTAAACCCCTAAGTGGCTGTATTGGTCAGGGTTCTCCAGAAGCAGAACCAATAAGGTATATAGAGAGATGGATGAGAGGGAATTTATTAGTGGAAATTGCTCACATGATTATAGAGGCTGGGAAGTCCCATGACAGGCCATCTGCAAGCCAGAGACCCTGAGATACTGGTAGTATGGGACAGTCCAAGACACAGGCCTTAGAACCAGGGAAACTGATGGTATAACTCTCAGTCTGAGGCCAAATGCCTGAGAACCCAGAGAGGTGCTGGTGTAAGTTCTGGCGTCCAAAGGCTGGGAAGCCTGTAGCTGTTACCCAAGGACAGGAGCAGAAGAGTGTATCCAAGATTCAGCAGATAGATGGACACATTCAGTTTTTCCATGTTTTTGTTCTCTCTGGCCCCCCAGCAGTTTAGATGATACCTGCCCACATTAAGGGCAGATCTTTCCCACCTAGTCCACTCAGAATTACATGCTAGTCTCCTCTGTAAACACCCCCAGAGAAACACCCCAAAATAATGCTTTACCAGGTTTCTAGGTATCCTTTAATCCAGTCAAGTCAGCAGCTAAAAGTAACCATCATAGTGGCTAATTCCTAAGGCTTTTAGTTTCCATTAGCCCTGACAGGTTCTCTAGAAGTACAGTAGACAGGCTTTTTTTTTTTTCTTTTGAGACATGGTTTGGGTCTGTTGCCCAGGCTGGAGTGCAGTGGTGCTATCATGGCTCACAACAGCCTCGACCTCCCGGGCTCAATCCTCCCACTTTAGCTTCCCCGGTAGCTAGGACTACAGGTGTGTACCACCACGCCTGGATAATTTTTTGCATATTTTGTAGAGACAGGGTTTCGCCGTGTTTCCTAGGCTGGTCTCAAACTTCTGGCCTCAAGTGATCCACCCGCCTTGGCCTCCCCAAGTGCTGGGATTATAGGAGTGAGCCACTGCACTCGGTCCAACAGTCTTGATAATAGGCTGACCTGCTTTCTCCTAGTGCATCCACTCTGGGAGAGCGTGGACCTGGTTCCTGGGGGCGATCGCCAGTCACCCATCAACATTCGGTGGAGGGACAGTGTTTATGATCCCGGCTTAAAACCACTGACCATCTCTTATGACCCAGCCACCTGCCTCCACGTCTGGAATAATGGGTACTCTTTCCTCGTGGAATTTGAAGATTCTACAGATAAATCAGGTGAGGGCAAGATCTGGTGGTCTTGTAAGGAGTTAAAGAAACAGTGTCATGTTAACAGAGGACACATCAAACTCTCTCCATGATAGTATTGACCTCTTTGTGAGCAATGGCATGGAACTCATTGATCTTAACTTTTTGAATGTGTGAAAAAAAATTCCTTCTAGTTTTTATGCATATTTTCTTCAACTAGTATAGGTAGTATTTTTAATTAATAAATATATCTCTATCTCTCTATGTATAGATTTATAATTGGTATAGAGCATAGGTGTGCAATGGAAGTTTTACCAGAAATTTATTTTGTATGTGTATATTGAATATGTACTAATTTTTTTCCTTTGCTTGTTGACTTTATGAGAACTTTTACATTAAATAGTAACATTGTTTAATCAGAGTTAACTTAGCAGATTACAATACACTTGAAATGGGGCCAAAAGGATATTCATGTGTGCATTAGGTTGCAAAGACTAGTCATGTATTAGAGAAATGGAAACTTATGATCTGGTAATTTTGTTAAATAAACAGTGTTACCTACCTAGTTTAAAAGAAACACAATTTAAAAGAGTTTTTAAAATTCAAATATTATATTGATTTTGAATCTTTTTTTTCACCTTCCTGGATGTAAACTAATGTGAATGATTTCAAAGTTTACCTGAAACTTATAGTGTCTATGGAAGACAGAAGGTGGTTAATTTTGTGAAGGTTTATTTTCCCTTTTTTTTTGTTTGCTTGTTTGTTTTACTGCATTTGATGATGTCAAATAGTCCAAATTAGTCTCAAAATAATTATTATTTGGAATAGTTTAAAGTGGTTATCAACCAGTGGTAATTCTGCCAACTTTCCCCCATACCCCTCCATATCCCTCACTCCCCGCTGTAGGATCCGAAGGCGTTTTTCATTGTCACAACTTGGGAAATGAAATTGGCATCTAGTGTGTCAAAGTCAGGGATGCCACTAAAGATCCTGCAGTGCGCCGGATATCCTTAACGAAGAGTTGTCTAGCCTGCAGTATCAATAGAGCTGAAGCGGAGAAATCTTGATCTCAAGGAAACTTGTTTTCTCTCATGAATGTTAGGAAATGAGTCCATAAAAATGATAATGAGGCCAGGAGCGGTGGCTTATGCCTGTAATCTCAGCATTTTGGGAGGCCGAGGTGGGTGGATTGCCTGAGCTTAGGAGTTCGAGATCACCCTGGGCAACATGGTGAAACCCCATCTTTACTAAAATACAAAGCATTAGCCGGGTGTGGTGGCGCATGCCTGTAATCCCAGCTACTCGGGAGGCTGAGGCAGGAGAATTACTTGAACCTGGGAGGCAGAGGTTGCAGTGAGCCGAGATCGCGCCACTGCACTCCAGCCTGGCATCAGAGTGAGACTCTGTCTCAAAAAAAAAAAAAAAAAAAAAAAGTAAATATTCACTCCTGCATTTATCCTGGCTCTGAGTCTCAACTGTGTCTTTGTTTTCTTTGTATTTTCCTAGTGATGCTCTGATACTTAGACATGGCACTCTGGCCTAACTACAAACAGACTGCTCCTCCAGTGGGCTTAATCTCTGTCTGGTTTTCTCCCTTCTGATATGTGTCTCTGCCATGATTCAGAAGGTATTTGAGTCTGTCTAAGAATTTAGGTGTTTCCATGTCCCCAACTTTCCTTTCTCCTCCATGGTATGACGCAGCCCCAAAACCATGAACATCTTACTTTCATATCTCAAAGTAGGAAGTTCTTTTTCCCCCAGATTCATGGGCATCTTTCTTTTCCCCCCTTTTTTTGCGTTGTTATTTATTTAAATTTTATATTTGTGAATTCACAGGTTGATGTGTTTCATTATATTGTTTCTAATTCTCTTAAAGTAACTTACTATACAAGTAAAAGCTTCTTGTACCACATAAAACCATCTCATGTGCCATCCTTTGGGAAACATTGTTTAAGGCCATCTGGGTCTGTTGGTGGAATAGCTAGAGAAGGGAGGAATAAAAAAGATAAGAAAGAAAAATGATACTGATATATGTTCTTTTAAAATATATTTAGTGGGTATAAGTTTAGTTTTGTTTTGTTACATGGATATATTGTGTAGCGGTGAAGTCTGGGCTTTTATTATACCCCTCATCATGCATCTTTCTTAATTTCCCCAAAACTCTAGAGTGTGCCCCCTTCTCAACTGGAAGTCCATAATATTACCTTGTTTATACGGATTCCAGAAATCTTCAAAACAACAAGCTAAATTCCTGTGTTCTGGATGACTGTCTGGCACTCTGGTGAGCTCTACTTGTCCCCCATGGGGCTCTACCATTATCCTTGCCAGACGTAAACTAATGGGCAGACCCAGTCTATAGGATACCAACCCTCATCCATTTACTCTGCATGCATAGTAATCCTTTTGAATTCTCAACCCCATCTAGGGCCCTAGCAGCCTGCTTTCTTCTGGGGATCCTTGGTATTGGTCAGCTTTCTAAAGCCCTTGACAGTATAGGGACTGTCTGTTGCCAATATATCATTGCTTCATTGAGTTGGAAGTCTTAGAAAGTTGCTTAATGAGTTTCTTAACTAAGTGACTTGAGCCCAAGAACTTTCAGGGTAAATAGCTGTTTTATCTTTTAGTCCTCTCTTTTTCTTTTGAACAATAGATTCTAGAATTTTTTTTTTTTTTTGAGACAGAGTCTCGCTCTGTTGTCCAGGCTGGAGTGCAGTGGCATGATTGCAGCTCACTGCAGCCTCAACCTCCTGGACTCAAGCAATCCTCCCACCTCAGCCTCCCGAGTAGCTGGGACCACAGGCATGTGCCACCACGCTCGGCTAATTTTTTTGTTTGTTTGTTTGTTTTTGTTTTTGTTTTTAAGACGGAGTTTTGCTCTTGTTGCCCAGGCTGGAGTGCAATGGCGTGATCTCGGCTCACTGCAACCTCTGCCTCCCGGGCTCAAGTGATTCTCCCACCTCAGCCTCCTGAGTAGCTGGGATTACAGGTGCCTGCCACTACACCCTGCTAATTTTCGGTATTTGTAGTAGAGACAGGGTTTCACCATGTTGGCCAGGCTGGTCTCGAACTCCTGACCTCAGGACCTCAGGTGATCCACCTGCCTCGGCCTCCCAAATTGCTGGGATTACAGGTGTGAGCCACTGCACCTGGCCTTTTTTTTTTTTTTTTTTTGAGATGGTGTCTCACTCTGTCGCCCAGGCTGGAGTGCAGTGGCGTGATCTTGGCTCACTGCAACCTTCACCTCCTGGCTTCAGGCAATTATCCCGCCTCAGCCTCCTGAGTAGCTGGGATTACAGGCACATGCCATCACACCTGGCTAATTTTTGTATTTTAGTAGAGACGGGTTTCACCATGTTGGCCAGGCTGGTCTCAAACTCCTGACCTCAAGTG
Source organism: Homo sapiens (assembly GCF_000001405.40). NCBI lineage: Eukaryota > Metazoa > Chordata > Mammalia > Primates > Hominidae > Homo > Homo sapiens. The sequence goes on from NC_000023.11 coordinate 15,768,136, forward strand.
ATCTGCCCACCTTGGCCTCCCAAAGTGCTGAGATTATAGGTGTGAGCCACTGCTCCCAGCTCCGGCAAATTTTTGTATTTTTTGTAGAGATGGGGTTCCTGAGATCAAGTGATCCTCCCACCTCGGCCTCCCAAAGTGCTTGGATTATAGGTATGAGCCACCGAGCCAGGCCTCAAGAATTCTTATCTACCCATTTGCATGAGTAATCTTAGATGGAAAACAAGTCATCAACGTTTTTGTCATAATAGCTTCTTTTTAGATACCTACAAACCCAACTGACTAAATCACCCCTTGAACCTGTCTTCCCTGGGAGTGTCAGTCACACACTTACAAAATATGCAAGAAAACTTGTAGAGAGTTTGCTAATTTTTTTGTTTGGTTAGAAAGAACTAAAACTGATAGCCCTTTTAAATTATGCTTTAATAATTATTTTCTTTAAGATAGCATCAATTTTTAGTAATTACCTAATTTTCTCTCTCTCTCTCTCTCTCTTTTTCCACCTTTCAGTGACTGCCTCTTATTTCCTGTTTATTCTTTGCTGCTATTTCTCCATGTTGTTGCAAAACAATCAATAGCATGCAAAGAGGAAAAAAAGAGTGAATGAACATAAAAAATAAAAAGTGAAAGAAAGCAAGACATTTTAGAAACAAAGGCAAGAAACAATTCTAGAAAAGTAAAAACCTAATAAATATCGATGTCTATAAATTTCAAAGACAAAACCCTAAGAAATGCTGCCACAGTGTGCTTTGTGAGGATTGGAATAAAGTGCAAGGAAAAGGAGCTGGGGAAGGTATGTGACAAAAACATCATACCAGTCCTTTTGGGATGCAGCTAAAGCAGTGCTTAGAGGGAAATGTATAGATGAAAATGCCTACAATAGAGAAGAACTTTCTCAAGTCAGTATCTCAGCTTTCCGCCTTAAGAAACTAGAAAAAGAAGAACAAACTAAACCCAAAAGCAAGTAGAGAGAAGGGCATAATAAAGAACGAGCAGAAATCAATGAAATCAAAAGTTGGTTCTTTGGGAAGATCAACAAAGTTCACAAACTTTTAATTGGGGGAGACCAAGAAAAAAATAAAAGAAGACTCAAATTACTAAACTCTGGAATGAAAGAGAGGACAACATGACCTACCTACCTTGATAGGATTATAAGAGAAGGTATGTGAACATCTCATACCGCAGTCCTCTCCTGGGTGTTGTTTGGTATTTGGTTCCCCTGAGTAGGACACCGTTACTGATTTGAATGAGTGCATATAAGAGAGTCGAAATACTGTGGGGAAGGGCACTAAATTGTCCCTGGATGATCCCTGTCAATTATCATCTCCTCTGGAATTCCTCTTATTGGCACTGTCAACAGGCATTAAGGAGATGGAGAGGTGAGTGCCTTTGTTCTCCTCCTCAGGGTGCTTCCTGCTCCATCCTGCTTCCCTGACTTTACACTTCTTTGCGGCAGTGCCAGTGAACCTAGTAAGAATGCTTTCACAAACATTTAAGTTCTCCTTCCCTGTTTTAGGTCCTACATTTACTTTAAAACACACATACACAGTTTAAAACACACACACACACAGTTTAATGATTTTTAAAGGAAATTTACAGAGTTGTGCAACCATCACTATAGTCTAATTTTAAAACATTTCCATCACCCCAGAAGCATTCCTTGTGTCCATTTCCTGCATTTGCTTTTATTTATGTGGGTTCTGTGTATTTCCTTTCTCTTCACCATCCCTTTCTCTGTCAGCTCCTTCTCTTTCACATTGAAAAACAAAAGGAGGGAGTGAATATTACAGATTGCTTACTACCAGCCAGACTCTCTGCTGAATGTTTTATATTTGTTATGTAATTTTTTTAGAAGTTTAATCCTTTCTCATCTTAGAGCATGGAAAGAATAAAATATCAGGCCAAGCATGATGGCTCATGTCTGTAATCCCAGTGCTTTGGGAGGCCGATGTGGGTGGATCACTTGAGGTCAGGAGTTCGAGACCAGCCTGGCCAACATGGTGAAACTCCTTCTCTACCAAAATACAAAAATTATTTGGGCATGGTGGCACACGCCTGTAATTCCAGCTTCTTGGGGAGGCTGAGACAGGAGAATCACTTGAACCTGGGAGTTGGAGGTTGCAGTGAGGCGAGATCGTGCCACTGCATTCCAGCCTGGGCAACAGAGTGAGACTCTGTCTCAAAAAAAAATTAAAAAATAAAAGAATAAAATATCAACAACCTCAAATACATAAGTATATATTTATTTGATATGTGTTATGACTGCTTTGCTTTCCAATTCACTATCTTCTGTCTACCTGCCCCATTTCTTTGTTTCTTTCCTTTTTTTCTGTAGAGACTGGGTCTCACTATGTTTTTCAGGCTGGTCTCAAACTCCTGGCCTCAAGTGATCCTCCCACCTTGGCCTCCCGGAGTGCTAGGATTACAGGTGTGAGCCACTGCTGGGCCTGCCCCATTTCTTGATGACTATATTTCCTTCTTTCCTGCATTCATCTGCCCCACCCAACCCCACCTTTTTCCTTTAATCTTGCTGAGGTTACCAGTGACATCCCAATTAACTAGCCTGACAGCTGCTTGACAGTCTATTTCTCTCTCTCTCTCTTTCTTTCTTTCCTTTCCTTTTCTTTTCTATGTTTTATTTATTTTTATTTTTTAGAAAGAGTCTTTCTCTGTTGCCCAGGCTGGAGTGCAGTGGCGTGATCTTGGCTCACTGCAAGCTCCATCTCCCAGGTTCACACCATTCTCCTGCGTCAGCCTCCCGAGGAGCTGGGACTACAGGCACCCGCCACCATGCCCAGCTAATTTTTTTTTATTTTTAGCAGAGACGGGGTTTCACCATGTTAGCCAGGATGGTCTTGATCTCCTGACCTCATGATCCGCCCGCCTCAGCCTCCCAAAGTGCTAGGATTACAGGCATGAGCCACCGTGCCCGGCCAAAAACATCTTATCTGGGCCAGCCGCAGTGGCTCAACTGCCTGTAATCCCAGCACTTTGGGAGGCTGAGATGGGTGGATCTCTTGAGCTCAGGAGTTCAAGACAAGCCTGAGCAACATGACAAAACCTCATCTCTACAAAAAAAAAAAAAAAAAAAAGCCTGGCATGGTGATGCACGTCTGTAGTCCCAACTACTCAGGAGACTGAGGTAGGAGGATGGCTTGAGCCCAGGAGGCAGAGGTTGCAGTGAGCCGACATTGTGCCACTGCACTCCAGCTTGGGCGACAGACTAAGACCCTGTTTCAAAAAAAAAAAAACACTTGTCAATATTTTGCCTATAATATATTGGTAATAATTTGTGTGTGTGTGTGTGTGTTTGCGACAGAGTCTCGGTCTGTCACTCAGGCTGGAGTGCAGTGGCACGATCTCAGCTCACCGCAACCTCCGCCTCCTGGGTTCAAGTGATTCTTGTGCCTCAGCCACCTGAGTAGCTGGGACTACAGGCATGGGCCACCACGCCCAGCTAATTTTTTTTTTTTTTTTTAATTTTTAGTAGACATGGGGTTTCACCATGTTGGCCAGGCTGATCTCAAATTCCTGACCTCAGATGAGCCACCCGCTTCAGCCTCCCAAAGTGTTGGGATTACAGGTGTGAGCCACCAGGCCCGGCCAGTGTGTTTTTTCAATTGACATATTTGTATACATTTACCAGGTACAATGTAATCTTTTGATATATGTATGCATTGTGGAATGATTATATCAAGCAATGAAAATATCCATCACCTCACATGCTTACCATTTTTTTTTTTGTAGCGAGAAAATCTACTGTTACTCTTTTAGTAATTTTGAAATGTGCAATAGATTATTATCAACTATGGTCACCATGCTGTGCAATAAATCTTGAAAACATATTCTTCCTAACTGAAACTTTGTACCTTTTGACCAACATCTCCCAGGTGATCATTTTTGACTTGCAAATGTCCTATTCCATTTCAATGAAAGGGAAAGCAACACTAGTATCTTCAAAACTTGAAAAGCAAAGTGTCTGTGCATAAAAAAAGAAAGATCCTTTTATCCCCATATTTCAGTATTATAAAGTCATGTTGGATAAATGTGCTGAGAGAAATTTGCATTTTATTGCACACAAAAGAAAACTGGACACAATAATATAGGATATAAAATTAAGTCAAGAGTTGGCCTTTAACAATTGTTTGTAGCTTGTTATGTAGTTAAATCTTGATGTTATTTGGTCTTGTCCTTATACGTGCATTGACTTCATGAAAATCAAATTTATAATCACTTGTATATAATTCAGTGTAATCCATTTAAGACAGTTCACATGGAGGGTCCATTGGAGATTTGGCCTTTCACCCACATTCCTCCACTGCACAAATAACTCTTCCCTGAATTGTTGGATGTGCCATTTTAGTGATCAAGGGAGGACCCCTGGAACACAACTACCGATTGAAGCAGTTCCATTTTCACTGGGGGGCCATCGATGCCTGGGGTTCTGAGCACACCGTGGACAGCAAATGCTTCCCAGCAGAGGTATGTTGAGAAGGTCAGGAACAGTGACAACTGTAGAGAAGTGGGGATAATTCTGAACTTTTAGTTGTAAGACATTATTAGAATCAGGTGATTCCTATAAATGCTAAATAGCTTTCTCAGGCAGTTTTGATCATTCTCAGCTAAGACATGTAAAAATGTTAACTTCTCTCATCTCAAATAATATAGTTGAAATGAACCTTAAGATCCTGAAACTGAATTCTTCTGGAATTCGAAAGTGGACTCAAATAGTAGCCCAAAGTAATAACCCAGGGAACATTGTGGAGCCACAGGTTGAATTAATGCAAGTTTGCGGTGGTGGGAGCCTAAATGAAGGCTGTGGCAATAGAAATAGAGAAAAAGGGCAAGATTTATCAAGCATTTCTGAAATTAAAGCAACAGGACTTGAAGGTAGGGTTCTCTTCAGGATAGGAGAAGGCAAGGTTAACCACGACTTTGTGGTGTCTCACTTGGGAGGCTGGGTGATAATGCACTCATAACTGATGAATGAGGAATGATTTGTAGGGAAATAAAGGGAGATTTTAAGGAAATAGAATTTCTTCTTACAACTTTTTTCCTAATTCAATTGTAAATGTTATGTAAAAAAAGCCCATTTAAAAATTTATTTTATATTTTTTATATTTGTTTCATTTTATTTTGCTTTGTGAGACAGGGTCTCACTCTGTCACCCAGGCTGGAGTGCAGTGGCACAATCACGGTTCACTGCAGCCTCGACCTTAAGCAATCCTCCCACCTCAAGACAACAGGCGCACATCACCATGCCCTGCTAATTTTTTTTTTTTTTTTTTTTTTTTTGGGACAGAGTTTTGCTCTGTCGCCCAGGCTGGAGTGCAGTGGCGTGATCTTGGCTCACTGCAAGCTCTGCCTCCCGGGTTCACACCATTCTCCTGTCTCAGCCCCCCAAGTAGCTGGGACTACAAGCGCCCACCACTGCGCCCAGCTAATTTTTTGTATTTTTAGTAGAGATGGAGTTTCACCGTGTTAGCCAGGATGGTCTCGATCTCCTGACCTTGTGATCCACCCACCTCGGCCTCCCAAAGTGCTGGGATTACAGGCGTGAGCCACCGCGCCCGGCCTGCCCTGCTAATTTTTAAATTTTTTTGTAGAGACAAGGTTTCACTATGTCGTCCAGGCTGGTCTCATACTGCTGGATTCAAGTGATTCTCCCACCTTGACCTCCCAAAATGCTGAGATTACAGGTGTGAGCCACCACACCCAG